>NC_000011.10:77116302-77419332 GCF_000001405.40 Homo sapiens
GGTGAGTGTGTATGTGCCCTGGGCGTCCGGGGCTGAGGGGGCTTCCCACGGGCCTGGCGGGGAGCACCAGGTGGGGAGTCAGGAGCCAGGCCTCTCCTGCATGCCCCATCATCAATTTGCTGTGTGGCCTTGGACAAGTCACACCATCTCAGAGCCTGTTTCCTCCTCTGTAAAATTAGTTGGGCAGTACCAGGCCCTTTCATCCCCACAGTCCCCTCTGCCGAACTGAGGGGTCCTGGAGCCGCTGTGGCACCCAGACCGAGCCTTTGGCATGCAGGTCAGGGAGCCGTCTAAGAGGTGGGCCCACCAGGATCTCCCCGGCAAGGGTAAGGAGGCATGAAGCACAGTCCAGCACCAGCAGTATGGTGTGGCCAGGGGCACTGGGGCTATGCCCAGCCCCTCTCCAGGAAGCCCTGCCCTCAGCCTGCCTCCAGGGGCCCTCTGGCAGCCTGATTTCTGAAATTAGGTAGCAGAGGCTCCTAGAGGAACTAGCTTCTAAGCTGAGACTTGAGGTACAGAGTAGGCCTTGGTGGGCAAGGAAGAGGACGTGGCTCAGAGGTGAGAGAACACAGCTGTGTTTGAGAAGGGAGCTAAGCAGGTACATGGGTGAGCTGGGAAGATGACAGCAGCTCAGCTTAAAGAGCCCAGTAATTGGCTGGGTACAGTGGCTCATGTCTATAATCCCAGCACTTTGGGAGGTCAAGGTAGAAGGATTGCTTGAGTCCAGGAGTTTGAGACCAGCCTGGGCAGCATAGTGGGACCCCATCTCTACAAAAATGAAAAATTAGCTGGGTGTGATGATGTACCCCTGTAGTCTCAGCTACTCTAGAGGCTGAGAGGGGAGGATTGCTTGAGCCCAGGAGGTTGAGTTTATAGTGAGCCATGATCGCACCACTGCACTCCATCCTGGGCTAAAGAGCAAGACCCTGTTTCAAAAACAAAAAGAAAAACCCCAGTAGTAATAAAAGTTCATCCTGCATTCATCCAGCCTGCATGAGTCCTGAATGTGGGCTAGGCTCAGTGTCACCCTTCAGCAGAACCTGATATGGAAACTCAGTCCCTTCCTGGAGGGGTATTGGCATCCTGTGTGTGCTGGATTCTGTCAGGGCCCCCAGGCAGACTGGGGGCAGATGGCAGTGGTCCTGGCACCCAATGATGAACCCTTCTGCAGGTGTCAGGTCAGCTGCTGCAGGAGGCCACCCAGGCCACTTTGCCAGTCTTGCTCAGGAGTCAGCAGATAAAAACACGGCAGAGCTCCTTGCCTTTAGAAAGAGTTTCTTCCAAAGGCCTTTCTCTTACATGTTCACGGTTAATTCACTGCCCCCTGCCCCCACCAGCTCCCTGGAGGCGTTCACAGTGTGCAGTGACCATAGCAACACCCTGGCCACCGCAGCAGGCTCACCATGGGGTTCCCACCATCCACTTACTCAGGCCTCTCAACAGCCATGGAAGATCCTGGATGCAGATGTGCTTTATAAACTGTACAGGGCAGCAGACAGTAGTTATTAACACCATTCACAATAGTAACAGCCAGCGTTTGCCAGTGCGTGCTCTGTCAGCCGAAAGTTGCACTGCCTGCTTTGATTGCATTACCTAATTCCTTCACTAGCTCTGAGATGGGCACCTGCTGTTAGATTCAGCCTCATTTTACAGGTGAGGAAACAGGTCAAAAGAGAGGTTAAGGGTCTGTGCAATGCCATGCCTGTGCCCTTGTGTGGGCTTAGCTCCCCTCTCAAAGCCAGCTGTGTTCTCTCACCTCTGGGCCATATGGACATATTAGGTTGTTGGGCTGGGGGGCCAAGAGCCTGGGGAGGTGTGGGGGAGGTACCCTGCTCAGCCCCTCCCCACATCCAGGATGACCTTCGAGGACGTGTGCCGGTACTTCACGGACATCATCAAGTGCCGCGTGATCAACACATCCCACCTGAGCATCCACAAGACGTGGGAGGAGGCCCGGCTGCATGGCGCCTGGACGCTGCATGAGGACCCGCGACAGAACCGCGGTGGCGGCTGCATCAACCACAAGGACACCTTCTTCCAGAACCCACAGGTGGGCGTTCTCAGGAACCCCCACCCTGCCCTGTAGCAGCTGCGGGGTGCCTTGCCACTGTCCTGCCAGGGACTCCTGCATGACCTTGGGTAATCCCTGTCCTTCCTTGGGCCTCAGCAAACCTGTCTGTACAGTGGGGGTTAGATGGGCACATCCGTCCCATCTGGGGGTCATGAAGCCCCCAGCCTCACAATCTAACCTGCAGATGGTAAAAATGAGGAAACCGCGGCTCTGAGGGACATTTGGGTGTCTTGTTCTGAGCTACAGGGACACTTAGAGGCTGAGCCAGGGACTCAGCCCCTTGTTTCCACAACAGCACAATTCTGTCCCTTCTGGGAACTTGGCTGGGCTGGGCTTCCCCACGGGGCCTCTCCCCACAGCCTCCTCAGTCTGACCCGTGGCGCTGCTTAGCCCTGGTGCTTGGTGTGCCTCTGTTGAGCACCACCTGTGTGCCAGGCTCTGTGCAGAGTGGCCACCCTGGCATTGAGTTTCCCCAGCCTTCATGCAGGGTAGCCATTGCAGGCATTGGTAGGCCCACCTCACAGCAGAGGGACCAAGGCGCAGAGAGGTGCTGTGACTGGTCCAGGCTCTGGAGTCTGAGCTTCCGGGAGCCAGCCAGCCCATGCCTGGTGTGGTCTCATTGCAGTGTCTCTCTCTCTCCTTGGCCACACCTGCAGTACATCTTCGAAGTCAAGAAGCCAGAAGATGAAGTCCTGATCTGCATCCAGCAGCGGCCAAAGCGGTCTACGCGCCGGGAGGGCAAGGGTGAGAACCTGGCCATTGGCTTTGACATCTACAAGGTGAGGCCAGCCGGGTCCCCTGCCGTGGGTGGGGAGAGGGAGGGAGCTGGAGTTTGGACTGCCCATGCCTGAGGAAGAACGCTCTAGAACACCTTGGTCACTGCCGCTGCCCTGGCTGCCGTGGCAGACATTGTGAGGATGCCGTGGCATGGGCCCCACTTGAATATTCACAGAGGGCCCAGCCTGCCCAGCCTTGGCTTCTGTGGGAGCTCTCAGCCTGATTTCTTTCTGCCTAAGACCCACAGGCCTGGGATGTTTGGTGGATGAGGAAGGGGAAGATTACTGGTGGTTGGGGCCGGGCCCTGGGAGGCTCTGGGCATCTACTGGGCCCCCACTGCTCCTCCCTCAGGCCTCAGGGCCCCTTGCAGCCCCTTAGCCTTCCTGCATTGGAGGCCTTGCTGGGCACCAGGAGGAGGCATCCTTGAGCATAGCCAGGTGGGGTCACCTATGGCCGCACCGCCTGGCCTGGAACCTGAGGCCTTCCACGTGTTGTGATGCCCAGTGTGTGGTGACAGTCAGCATGGCGGGACCCCATGTGCCTGTCAGACCTTGAGAACGGAATGAAGCCACCGGGCCCTGCAGAGGCTGGGTACATGCTGAGTCCTTGGCATCTGATGTGCCTGGCCACGCCGTGGCACTTTGTTTATACTCTTGTGCTGGTACATTCATTGCATGCTAGTGTCTTGTGACATATTGTTGTGACTTTGCCATGTGACGATCTTCACTAGTGTGACCAGAACACTTTTTTCAGGATTGTCAGGCAGGTCCTGGCAGCTGGTGATGGCATTTCGTGGACAGGTGCTGTGACCTCTGCAGATCCTGATACTTGGTTGTGCTGTTGGAGTCAGAAACCCCACTGACATTGTTACCAGGGGGATTCCTATTGCCCTCTATTTTTTTTGTTTGTTTGTTTTACAGAGGGTCTTGCTCTGTAACCCAGACCAGAGGGCAGTGGTGCTGTCATAGCTCATTACAGTCTCAAACTCCTGGACTCAAACGATCCTCCCACCTCAGTCTCCCTAGTAGTTGGGACTATAGGTGAACACCACCATGCCTGGCTAATTTTTAAGTTTTTTGTAGAGCTGGGGTCTCGCTTTGTTGCCCATGCTGACCTTGAACGTCCAGCTTCAAGTGTTCCTCCCACCTTGGCCTCCCAAAGCGCTGGGATTACAGGCATGAGCCACTGCGCCCAGCCTCCTTTAATAGTTTTTATTGAGATATAATTCACAGAGCATGCAATTCAGCCATGTAAAGTATACAATCTAATGACTTTTGTGTGATCAGAGTTTATGCAACCATCACCACAATCAACTGTAGAACATTTTCATCTCCCCAAAAGAAACCCACTCCCTTTAACCACCACCACCCATTCCCATTGACCTCTTCCCTTCAGCCCTGGGCAAACACGAATCCGCTTCTGTTATTATAGATTTGCCTGTTCCGGACATTTCATATAAAGGGATTCCATCGTCCCTTCCATGGTGGTGAGGGGGAGGCGGGGTGGGCCAGGGTGTTGTAGGGTGTGTCTCCGCGTGGCCCAGCCCCTCCCGCCTCCTGCAGGTGGAGGAGAACCGCCAGTACCGCATGCACAGCCTGCAGCACAAGGCCGCCAGCTCCATCTACATCAACTCACGCAGCGTCTTCCTGCGCACCGACCAGCCCGAGGGCCGCTATGTCATCATCCCCACAACCTTCGAGCCAGGCCACACTGGCGAGTTCCTGCTCCGAGTCTTCACTGATGTGCCCTCCAACTGCCGGTACTTGGGGGCTGGCTTGAGGCCAGTGTGGGTGGGAGTGACATTCACACTGGGCCAACCAGGAACCTGCAGCCTCAGAGATGCTCAGTGTCTCTGGGCCTCCAGCCACTCTGGGCTGATACCAGTGCCCATCTCCTTCCCTTCTCTTCCCTTGTTCCCCTGTCCCAGCATCCCTGGCCATGACTAGGAACAGCTTCTTGTATGTGCACTGCACTCTACAGTTGACAAAGAAGCTTTCACTCATCTTGATCTTCCTGCATCCCTGAGTGGGAGGCCTGACTCCCGCACTTTACCAGTGAGATTCAGGGGCCGAGGTTAGAAGGGTTGTCTGAGGTCATGCAGCCAGCGGTGGAGATGGGCTGGGCCACCCAGCCTGCCTGGTTCCAGGGTTGGGTCTTGTCACCACAATTTCCTGTCCCATGGGGGTGGCTCTGGGCTCCAGTGGACTGCTGAAGCTCTCTCAGTCCTTGCTGGGGCATAGACCCTGTGCGTCCCGCACTGCCCTCCACTGTGATACACAGCCCAGGCTCGGTGTCCCCTGAAGGACAGGTGAGCTCTGCCCACGTGCCAGAGCCAGGAGGCAGCTTGTGGCATGTGGAGTCAGACGGCTCAGGGTCCTGCCGGCCCAGGCTCCCCAGCTTTCCAGCTGTTTGGGCAAGCCCTTCACCTGGGTGAGCCTGCTGCTTCCTCAGCTGTGACATGGGCACCATAATAGCCTTTGCGGGGCTTTGCAGGGATTAGGAATCACCCATAACGCCAGCAGGGGGCTTGGCACACAGCAGGTGCTCAGTAAGGTGCCTTTCCCCTGGGGAAGGATGGGGTACCCTTGATAGGGATAGAGAAGGCAGGAAGCCCACAGGGCTTGGAGCTGGGGACTGCCCATGGGGATTTGCTCAGGACTAAATGAAATCAAGTTTGGGCTAAATACTGCTTCTCTTCCCTTCCCACTTCCTGAACCCCCTCTTCACCCCTGTCTTCCTGGCCCTTCTCCATCACTCCCCTCTCCCCTGCCGCCCCATATCAGGGAGCTGCGCCTGGATGAGCCCCCACACACCTGCTGGAGCTCCCTCTGTGGCTACCCCCAGCTGGTGACCCAGGTACATGTCCTGGGAGCTGCTGGCCTCAAGGACTCCCCAACAGGTGAGCTCTCCCAGGGAGAGTCCCCCGGCCCTCCTGCCAGTTGTCCCATGGCCTCTCTCCACCAGCACGGATACCAGCCTCAGAGCTCTCCTGCTCTCAGAGGCACTGCAGGCCTGGCCATTTCTGGGGTGATGCCTGATGCTGGGCACATAGAGAGGAAAAGGTTTACCTTCTGCTCTCAGGAGGCTTCCAGCTGGGAGGGAGGCCTCAGGAAAGGCTTCCTGGAGGGAGTGGCCTTTTTCTAGGCTGAGAAGGTATTAAGATACAAAGCCTGATGAAAGGGGGTAAGGGAGAAAGGTGCTCCGGGCAGAGGGAGCAGTGTGGGTAAAGCTCTGGAGGCTGGAGATGGCCAGTGTGCCCCTGCTGGCCGGCCTGTCTCTGGAAACGAAGGGGCCCTGAGGTGGGTCAGGCTCCAGTCTCTCCATCTGAATAACTGAGCCGGGTGGGCATCTCACCTGTAGATATCTGTGGCCCTGCCACAGCCCCCACCCCCACCCTCACCCCATCTCCCACTCCCTCTCCCTAGGGGCTAACTCTTATGTGATCATCAAGTGTGAGGGAGACAAAGTCCGCTCGGCTGTGCAGAAGGGCACCTCCACACCAGAGTACAATGTGAAAGGCATCTTCTACCGCAAGAAGCTGAGCCAGCCCATCACTGTACAGGTGAGCCCCCTGGTCCAGAGGCCACCTCCTGGGCTCCTAGCCTGAGGCTTCCCCACTCAGGGGGACAAGCCCAGGTGGAAGACCCTCTGACGAGGACCCAGGCATGCTGGGCTCTAGCTGTCTGTCTATCCCTGACCCCTGGTGTGGCTTTGGGAGCTCTCTTGCCACTCCAAGGTCCCTCTGTAGGTGGGTGAATTGGATTAGTTGGTGTGGTCCTGAGACCCAGCAGGGTCCATCTCCTGGCTGGGGACAGCAGTCATCTCTGCTGACCTCACCCTCAGCTTTGGGAACTATCCCTCCCATTTCCCCGTGGGGGGCCCACCTGGAAAGTGGCGTTGAGCCACTGTGTGGTGCGTGTGGCTGTTTCCCAAGAGCCTTGGGCAGGGGATAGAAAGCCAGTGTCCTCCCCATGGCTTCCTTCTCCTCTCAGGCTGATGTGGCCTGGGGATGATGATTCTGAACTCAATACTAGGGAGCTCTCTGGCCCCCAGGCCTTGATCAGCATCTCTCTCAGTGAGACAGCATCTGTAAACAAACATTTGGGTCCCCCTGGGGGAGCCACTGTGGCTTATCCAAGTTTTCTTAACACTGAGTCCCACTGGATCAAATCACAGACCTGTATGTCTCAGGGCTGGAAAGACCCCTAGGGGCAGCTGACTCAACCTTCATATTAAAGATGGGGAAACTAGGGCAGTGGGTGTACCGCTTGTCCAAGTTCACCCAAGATCAACAGCGGAGCTAATAACAGATTTCACTTTATGCATGGGAGGGAGCTTAGCTAGCTGAGGAGCCTGAGGCTCTGGAAGGGGCACCACCTTGCCCGTAGTTCATGGGGAGGCAGACAGCCCAGGGCCCCCGATCCTCAGCCAGGCTTGCACTTCAAGGCCCTGCCACCACCACCAGCACCCCCCATAGACCTATATTGCTGGTCTTGGAGGTAGCCCGCCCCTCCCATGATCCTCTGTCTCTTCCCAGGTCTGGAACCACCGAGTGCTGAAGGATGAATTTCTGGGCCAGGTGCACCTAAAGGCTGACCCGGACAACCTCCAGGCCCTGCATACCCTCCACCTCCGGGACCGAAATAGCCGGCAGCCCAGCAACCTGCCAGGCACTGTGGCCGTGCACATTCTCAGCAGCACCTCCCTCATGGCTGTCTGACACCTGCCCACCTACCTGGCTCTGACCGTTCCCACCACCATCTGCATGTCCCCACTGGGCCTGAGTCTAGCCTGGGAGCCAGGATACTGGGGTCCTTTTCCCACTCTTCCACTGACTTGCTGTGTGACCTTAGGAAGTCTCTGCCCCTCTCTCAGCCTCAGTGTCCCGAGGGCCCCGAAGCATTCCATTCTCGTGGAGGAGTTTCCTTGCTGAGATTTCAAATAGTCCTCCCCACCTCAACTGTCACCACTGCTAAGGGACTCTATCCATTGAGCACATTTTCCTAAGGCCCTGCTGTCTGCCGAGGAGCGCCAAGAAGATGTCACTTGTTTACACACGAACTGCCACATCCCCAAGCTCCGTTCTTGCCCCTCGTGTCCTAGGCCCAACCCAGCCTCCCAGACCTCACTTTCCCCATCAGCAATACCTGGTGTTCTCCCACCTTGAAAGGACTCTTGGCTCCTGCCGGGTTCCTGCTCAGGCTGGAATTGGGAAAATATGCAGGTGACATTTGTTCATTCTCTAATCCCATCCTCTCACCCATCCATTTCCTCACTCAGTGGAGATTTGCCAAATGAATAAACGACACCTTTGAGGCCCCAGGTGAAGCGGGGCCCTACTCCGGCCTCTGCCTTGGGCCTCGCCTCTGTCCTCAGGTCCTCTCAGAGGCAGATACCTAGGGGAGCTGCTGCTGCCTGCTCATTCTAGCTTCCGATTCCATTCCCAGCCCCTGCGTTAAGGTCCCTGGAGAGGTGGCGTCAGTGGGGGTGAGGAAGGGCATCTTCCTGACTCCTCTGCCCAGTGCTGGAAGGAGCATGCCTGGGTTAGTGGGCCAGGGGCCAGGCAGCTGGGGGCCTTTGGGGACCAGAAGGGGAGATGTGCTCCCAGAGCCTCTCTGCTGTAAGACCCCAGCTTTTCCTGGAAGATGGGACTCTGGGGTGTGTGGTGCTCACCAGAGTCAGGCCACCCACTGGGCTCGGCAGGAGATAGGGAGCCCCATCACCTGACCACAGCCCCCCACCAACATTCCCCCAAAATGCAGCCTAGGAGGCCGCAGTGCTCTTCTTCCTGCCCAGACCAAAATGTTCCTTTTAGTCCTCAATGTTTTATATTCTTTTTGTTTTGAAAATCTCAATTTTAATCAGGGGTTTTAAAAGAAAATTGAAAGCCTGAACCTCCATTTTTCTTCTTGGCTCCAGTTTTGCTGGTCCTCTGGAGAACTCTTCGTGAGCACTGGTGCCGTGACCCACTTGGGATCTCTGCTGTGCCCTTCTCGGGCTTCCAGACCAGGTGTAGCAAATGAAAAAGTGCAGTTAATTCAAGAACAGGAATCCCTGTGTCCTTGCTGGGATTTCCTTTTGGGAACCTGACTTTCCGACTCCAGATCCTGCTGTCTGGATCAGTGTTCTGGCTGGAGGTGCTGGATTCTCTGATTTTGCCTCCTCACTCTGTGTCTGGCTTTGCTCCTGGGTCTTGGCCCTGGGCCATATGAGGGGCCAGGAAATGAACGACAAGGAGGATAAGAGTGTTCTTTCTTGAAAGCCGGGACTTCCCCTCAAGAACCTGGGCCTGGGGCCGGGACTCTGCATGACTGGGAGCAAGTCACTTAAACCTCCTGTGCCTCGATTTCCCCCTTCTACAAAGTGGGGCCAATGATTCTTGTGTGTCAGCACTGTTACTACCGAGTGCTGAGTAAGGGCAAAATAATACCCCTTTCTCTATGTATCTCTGTATGCACACGCACTATATATATATATATATATATATATACATTCATGTAATCACCACTTCTCGATGTCTATTTCAAATCAAGGCTCCTGAGTAGGGGGTGAAGTGAGCCAGCTTGCACCTCAGGCTAACACATAGGACTTTGCTCAGCCATGTCCCCTGGGATACAGGGGCACACCAGGACCAAGTGGCAGACCTGTGGGCTTCAGCCTCGGGGCCGGGGCATGCCTGCCACCCCCTGACAAAAACAGGTTCCACAGTGCTACCCTTGCTTCCTGCCCCTTGAGGTGGGCCAGGCTGGCTCCTGGCTATGCAGGGATCTCTGGTCCCCAGGAGACCTTGGGGGCCAGGCAGGTAAGGATCAGGGGTGATAGGGGAGAGCAATTACTTTGTTCACTGTATGCACCCGCGGGGGCCTGGGAGTCCCCATTTGCAGGTGGGTAGGGCCTCCAGCCCACACCACCCAGACCTAGGCTTCCCTCTTCTCAGGATCCACCACAGGGTTAGGGGACAGGAAGCCTGTTCTATTCTCAATAAATCTTACAAAATTCCAAAAAGACTTTCCTGTGTCCCTCTGTCCCCCTGGGGGGAAGGGACAATGGAGGAATATTCCCCAGGCCTGGGCGACTGTCCGCTGGTCAGAGGGAAGGCCCCGCTGCCTGCCCGGTGCACCTGTGAGCTGAGATTGTGGGGATCATTCAGTCATTCCTTTATTCAGTAGATCTGTACGGGGCTGGCTTTGTGCCAAGGCCTGCCCCGGGCACCTGGGATGTGGGGAACCAGGCATAGCAATCCCTGCTCTGGGACAGTCTACAAACGAGCAGCGAGAACAAAGACATACTCTGGTCATGACAGACACTACCCCGCACATTACTGATGGGGCAGTGTGGGCCTGCTGGGTTAGAGACGGCCTACTCCCTGATCTGTGCATGAAGGGCTGGGAAGAGGAGATGGGCCTTCGGGGCACAGGAAGGTGTGGGGGGACCAGAGCGGAGGCTGCTGAGGGCAGATGCAGGCATCTAGGGCCAGGAAGCTGGTGTGGTGGTGGGGAGAAGCAGGGTTGGGATGACTGAAAGCAGAGTGGACGACTCAATGAAAAACGACTTGGGAGACGGGGTGAGTGCAGTGTGAGGGCAAAGTGAACCGAGATGCCTCGCTTTCTTCATGGGACTGAGAAATGGGTATTGCAAATCGTGTGATCTGCTTAGCATAGTGCCTGGTTCATAGCATGGCTGAACACAATGTAGCTGTCATCCTGGTGTTTGGAGGCCGCCCTGTCCCCCATAACCTGCCCACCTCTCTGCCCCATTCCCACAGCTCACTGCATTTTGTCCCTGCTGCCAGTCGTGTGCCATGGGCTCTCCTGTGCTCCCCCGGGGTCTCATTTCCCCATCCGTGTAGGGCTGACGCCACTGGCCCCGCCCAGCCTGGGAGGATGGAGAGGGGGGACTTGAGGAGTGGCCAGTACTGGGTTTCGGCAGCAGGTGCAAATCCCAGGTGGGGACTGTGTTCCAGGGACTCCTGGACTCCTGTTAGGCCAGCAGGCTAAGGGGCAGACGGCATCCTGGGGTCTTCCTGGGACAGGGTCGTCGGGTCTGAGGGGACCCAGGCCCTAGCAGAAGCTGACTCCTGTCACGGTCACTTCCCAGCGGTGCTCAGCCCGCCTGACGGAAGCAGCTGGGCAGTGGGGCCTGTGACCAGCAGGCGGCGCTGGCGAGCTATAGCGCCCCTTTGGGCCCCCACCCCACCTTCTGGGCAGCTTCCCTGCAGACACCCCAGTTATGGGGGCTAGGGACCCAAAAGAGACATCCTTCTGCCACCCAGAGCTGCCCTGGCGAGGTGCACTATGGGGCCGCCGACAGCTGCGTGGCTGCCGAGGGCGGAAAGGAGAAACTGTCATGTCCCGATAGGGCCGCGCGAGGTCTCCATCCTCGACAACGCTAATAACAAAGACGTGTGCTCCTCTTTGCTTGGTTCCCCCCACTCCTTTAAATCACAGATTTCACTTCAGTTTATCTGTGTCGCTGTCACACGTGGGGTGGCTCCCAGTCAGCTGGTTTGGCAAAGTTTCTGGATGATTACGGAATAACATGTGTCCCCAACCCGCAGAGCAGGTTGTGGGGGCAATGTTGCATTGACCAGCGTCAGAGAACACACATCAGAGGCAAGGGTGGGTGTGCAGGAGGGAGAAGGCGCAGAAGGCAGGGCTTTAGCTCAGCACTCTCCCTCCTGCCATGCTCTGCCTGACCGTTCCCTCTCTGAGTCCCAAACAGCCAGGTAGAGGAGGAAGAAATGGGGCTGAGACCCCAGCACATCAGTGATTAAGTCAGGATCAGGTGCGGTTTCCTGCTCAGGTGCTGAGACAGCAGGCGGTGTCCTGCAAACAACAGGAGGCACCTGAAGCTAGCCTGGGGGGCCCACGCCCAGGTGCGGTGCATTCAGCAGCACAGCCAGAGACAGACCCCAATGACCCCGCCTCCCTGTCGGCAGCCAGTGCTCTGCACAGAGCCCTGAGCAGCCTCTGGACATTAGTCCCAGCCCCAGCACGGCCCGTCCCCCACGCTGATGTCACCGCACCCAGACCTTGGAGGCCCCCTCCGGCTCCGCCTCCTGGGAGAAGGCTCTGGAGTGAGGAGGGGAGGGCAGCAGTGCTGGCTGGACAGCTGCTCTGGGCAGGAGAGAGAGGGAGAGACAAGAGACACACACAGAGAGACGGCGAGGAAGGGAAAGACCCAGAGGGACGCCTAGAACGAGACTTGGAGCCAGACAGAGGAAGAGGGGACGTGTGTTTGCAGACTGGCTGGGCCCGTGACCCAGCTTCCTGAGTCCTCCGTGCAGGTGGCAGCTGTACCAGGCTGGCAGGTCACTGAGAGTGGGCAGCTGGGCCCCAGGTAAGGATGGGCTGCCCACTGTCCTGGGCATTGGGAGGGGTTTGGATGTGGAGGAGTCATGGACTTGAGCTACCTCTAGAGCCTCTGCCCCACAGCCACTTGCTCCTGGGACTGGGCTTCCTGCCACCCTTGAGGGCTCAGCCACCACAGCCACTGAATGAAACTGTCCCGAGCCTGGGAAGATGGATGTGTGTCCCCTGGAGGAGGGAAGAGCCAAGGAGCATGTTGTCCATCGAATCTTCTCTGAGCTGGGGCTGGGGTTAGTGGCATCCTGGGGCCAGGGGAATAGACATGCTGTGGTGGCAGAGAGAAGAGTCCGTTCTCTCTGTCTCCTTTGCTTTCTCTCTGACACTCTTTATCTCCGTTTTTGGATAAGTCACTTCCTTCCTCTATGCCCCAAATATCCCATCTGTGAAATGGGAGTATGAAGCCCCAACAGCCAGGGTTGTAGTGGGGAAGAGGTAAAATCAGGTATAGACATAGAAATACAAATACAGTCTATGCCCCCTGTTGTCAGTTGGAAAAGAAATTAACTTGAAGGTGGTCTAGTTCTCATTTTTAGAAATGAAATGTCTGTCTGGTCATTTTAAAATGTGGCCCTTAAATTTCACGCCCTCACCACTCTCCCCCATCCCTTGGAGCCCCATGTCTCTAGTGAAAGCACTGGCTCTGCCCCCAGCCCTCATGGCTCATGCTGGCATAGGGCGCCTGCTCCACAGCCTGGGCACCATCTTCAGACAAGTGCCCGGTGGCAACTGCCTGCTGGCCCTGTTGAATCCACATCTCCACCAGGCATCCAGACTAGTTCAGGTCTCTGGAAGGACTGTGGGTTTGCTGTGTCCCAGAGCTCCAGGGCAGGGGTCAGGGCTCGGATGTCGGGCAGTGTCATGGGCAGAGGATCGAATGCCCCGGCGGCTCTGAATGGGCCCTTGTGAAAAATTGATGCGCATTCTAGGAGACAGGTTGGGAGCCAGAGGGGCCTCATACCAGGGTCTGTAGGCTGGGGCTGCCTTTTAAGCTCCTTCCTGAGGCCGTCTCTGGGTCTGGCCCTGTGCTGGACAAGGCTGGAGACAAGGCAATGTCTCAGACCCTCTCCCATTGGCCACATCCTGCCCTGGATCAACTCGCCAACTTTGGGGGCAGAGGTGGGACTGACCCTTACCCTGACAACATAATGCATATAGTCAAAATGGGATAAAGGGGAATATAGAGGCTCTTGGCAGCTTGGGAGTGGTCAGGGAAGGCTTCCTGGAGGAGGTATCATCTGAACTGAGCCATGAACCATAAGTGGAAATTCACTAGTCAAAATTTCAGGTAGAAGGGCCAGTGTGTGAAGGCCAGGAGATGGCAAGAGCTGGCGTATTTCAGGAACAGTGAGTCACTGAGGATGTCCAAGTATAAGGGTAGGAAAGGGAGTGAGCAGTGAGAGAAAAGACCGAGGCATCAGCAGGGGCCAGATTGTGCTGGGCCTAGCGGGGCGGGCCCGGGCCCGGGCCCAGGCCCAGGTGCGGTGCATTCAGCAGCACAGCCAGAGACAGACCCCAATGACCCTGCCTCCCCGTCAGCAGCCAGTGCTCTGCACAGAGCCATCCTGAGGGCAGTGGGTGCTCTTGAGAGGTTTCAGGCAGGGTGTGCTGTGAGCAGGTCATGCCCAGCCCTTGACCTTCTGCTCAGTCAGGCTTGTCCTTGTCACCCACATTCCTGGGGCAGTCCCTAAGCTGAGTGCCGGAGATTAAGTCCTAGTCCTAAATTTGCTCTGGCTAGCTGTGTGACCCTGGGCAAGTCTTGGTCCCTCTCTGGGCCCCTTTGCCGTAGGTCCCTGGTGGGGCCAGACTTGCTACTTTCTAGGAGCCCTTTGGGAATCTCTGAATGACAGTGGCTGAGAGAAGAATTCAGCTGCTCTGGGCAGTGGTGCTGGTGACAGTGGCTGAGGCTCAGGTCACACAGGCTGGGCAGTGGTCAGAGGGAGAGAAGCCAAGGAGGGTTCCCTTGAGGGAGGAGGAGCTGGGGCTTTGGGAGGAGCCCAGGTGACCCCAGCCAGGCTCAAGGCTTCCAGGGCTGGCCTGCCCAGAAGCATGACATGGTCTCTCTCCCTGCAGAACTGTGCCTGGCCCAGTGGGCAGCAGGAGCTCCTGACTTGGGACCATGGTGATTCTTCAGCAGGTCAGTGTTCCCACCTCTTTGGGTGGCCTGTCCTCCCCAGGCCATATCCCCTCATCCATATGCTTACCCGTGGGACACCCTCCCCAGGGTGTTCTCTTGGAAAATTCCTGCCTAGGCTTCCAAACCCAGCCCTCCAGGCTGAGGCCTAGTCTGAAACCTGTTCCCTCTGCTGTGCCAGCTGGGGTTTCCTTCTCTCACTGGCTCACCCCACTGGGCAGAAATGAGTTTATTTACACACATCTCTGGATCCCAGGCAGTGGAACAGCATGTGCAAAGGCCCAGGTGTGGGAAGGTCCCTGGGGAAGAGGAGAGGAGGTTGGCAAGGCTCCCAAAGCCAGGCCAGGAAGGGCCCTGAGCCCAACTTATTCTTAGGGCCTTGGGGAGCAGTGACTGGAGGGCGGGGGGTGACAAGGCTTGAGCTGGAGCCCCCTGGGATTTTATGGGAAGAAGCAGAGGTGCTGGCCCGAGCTGAGTCCTCCAGCCCCCCTTCCTACTGAGGGCCACAGTGGCCTCTGACCCTCAGCCCTTCCCCGTGATCAGTCTGAGGCTCTAATGAGCTCCTGGCCTCCAGAGCAGGAGCCAGGAATGTGGGCCCTGAGCCAGGTGGGCCTGGCAGCAGGCCGTAGGGCTTGTGGGGCTGTGCATTATGGGGGCTTGGCCAGCAGCTTCTCGGTCTCCAGGGTCACCAGAGGCCAATGGCTCAGCCTTGCCTGGCCACCCTGAGGCTGCACGGACCAGCATGTTTGCATATGAGTGCGTGCGCGTGTGTGTGTCTGTGTGTGTGAGTGAGAGGCAGGCTTCAGGGCAGCATCAGGACAGACATTCTTCTATCCCAGGGGCTGGAGGAGACCCCCTTTAGAGCCCCTTGGCCTGAGAGCCTGTTCAAACGCCCATTAGAGATGGGCAGGATCTAGGAGAGGAAAAGTCCATTCGCTGAGTGTTTGCTGTGTGCCAGGGCCTGGGCCCCCATAGCCCTCCAGGGGCGTCCTCCCTCAGGGGGCCTCTGAGGCAGGCCTCTGGCTGATGGGACCTCCTCACCACCCCCTCCTCTCCTGCCCCTCTGAACGCTGACCCACCTCCAGCTGTGGGTGGCCTCTGTTGGGAGCAAGTGTCTTGTAGGTGAATGCCTGTTCTGCCTGCCCTCAAGCAGGAAGTACACTCAGCTCCTTCCTTGGTCCTGAAGAAAGCCCCAGCCCTGGGGAACCGGCCAGCTCTGCAGTTGCACAGGCCGGGCCTAATGGGCTCCAGCCCAGGCTTTGCTATTGATGAGTGGGAGGGCCTTGGGCACGTTACTCAGCCTTCCTGAGCCTCAGTTTCCTCATATGTAAAATGAAGATTAAAAGCCTCTTTTCCCACAGCTGCCGATGAGAGGCTAAAATGCCATGTGGAGCTCCATGAAAATGCTTCTTCCTTCCTCTGCTTCCCTGGTCTGCCCTCTCCTCCTCTCTTCCTGCCACATCCTTCCCGGTCCTGAAAGGTCCACGGAGTGCTTGGCTTCCCCTCTTGCCTGGCTGACTTCTGCTCAGGCTTCAGTGTAGCCTCTACTTCCTTCGGGAGGCTTCCCTGCTCTGCAAACCCCAGGGCCTGGTCCACAGTCCTCCTCCTTTCTCTGCCTACCTGGGGCTTCCTGATGAGCCCTGGACATGAGGGACAGCCTTCATCCCATTTCCCGTGGATCTTTCAGGATAGGGAAGGAACTGGCAGGAAGAGAGGAGGAGAGAGGCAGTCCAGGGAAGCAGATGAAGGAAGAAGCATTTTCATGGAGTCCCAAATGGCATTTTAGCTTCACAATGGCAGCTGTGGGAAAACAGGGGTTTTGTTTGTTTGTTTGTTTGTTTGTGTGTGTGTTTGTTTTGAGACAGAGTCTTGCTTTGTCACCAGGCTGAAGTGCTATGGCATGATTTTGGCTCACTGCAACCTTCGACTCCCTGGTTCAAGCAATTCTCCTGCCTCAGCCTCCTGAGTAGCTGGGATTACAGGCACCCGTCACCACGTCCAACTAATTTTTGTATTTTTAATAAAGACGGGGTTTCACCATGTTGGCCAGGATGGTCTTGATCTCCTGACCTCGTGATCCGCCCACCTCGGCCTCCCAAAGTACTGGGATTACAGGCGTGAGCCACCGCACCAGGTGGATAGAGGTTTTTAATCTGCATTTTGCATATGATGAAACAGGCTCAGGAAGGCTGAGTAATGTGCCCAAGGCCCTCTTACTCAACAGCAAAGCACAAGATGGAGCCCACTGGGCCCGGCCTGTGGAACTGCAGAGCGGGTCGGCTCCCGGGGCTCGGGTTCTTTTTAGGACCAAGGAAGCAGCTGAAGCATACTTCCTGCTTGAAGGCAGGAGGAGCAGGCATTCACCTACTATTCCCTGCCCTGGAGGAGTTCCCAGACCTATGTGGGGAGACAGCTTAGAAACCTAGGAAAGGCACTGTGACAGTGAGTCTCCAGGGGGCACGGGGATGAGAGGGCACCTGGGAATGGGAGAGCCTTCTGCCCTCCCTGGGAGAGGGTGGACAGGGAAGGCCATGAGACAGCTGCAGCAGCCTCTCATGAACATACAGGGACTGAGGTCTCTGGAAGAAGGACTAGCCCAGCTGACTAGTGGCGCACCTGTGTGGCACACCTGACTCACATCTTTAAGGACCACAAGGAGGGCTTTTGTGCTTCAGTATGTCATGATTCCCAGCTTCATGGTGGTGCCAGGGTAGGGACTCTGTGTACTTGGCCCAGATTTGTGGGCAGAGGGAGGTTTGAAGATAAATTTGTGGGCTGTTGATAACAGTTGGATTGATGCTTTTAGTAAAATATAATGTCCTTCTTTGTTTCTTGTAATGATTTTGACTTAACATCTATGTCTGATAGTGTAGTCATCTCAACTGTCTTTTGGTTACTATTTGCATGGAATACTATTTGCATGAAATCCTTCTACTTTTAACCTATTTGTGTCTTTGGATCTAAAGTGGATCTCTTGTAAGCAGCATATAGTTAGATCATGTGGTTGGTTTTTGTTTTGTTTTGTTTTTATCCATTCTGCCAGTCTTTACCTTTTGGTTGGAGAGTTTAATCTATTTACACATGAAGTAATTACTGTTAAGGAAGGACCTCTGCCATTTTGCTATGTTTTCTGTATGTCTTATATCTTTTCCTCCTCAATTCCTCATTACTGCTCTTTTGTGTTTAATTGACATTTTTTTCTAAAGTACTGTTTTGATTCTCATTTACTCTTCTGTGTATTTTAAAAGTTTTTTCCTCAATGATTATTCTTAGGTTTACAAATAACATCTTTTTTTTGAGATGGAGTTTCACTCTTGTAGCCCATGCTGGAGTGCAATGACACAATCTCGGCCCACTGCAACCTCTGCCTCCTGGGTTCAAGCAATTCTCCTGCCTCAGCCTCCCAAGTAGCTGGGATTACAAGCGTGCACCACCATACCTGGCTAATTTTTTTTATTTTTAGTAGAGACAGGGTTTCACCATGCTGGTCAGGCTGGTCTCAAACTCCTGACCTAAAGTGATCTGCCTGCCTCAGCCTCCCAAACTGCTGGGATTACAGGTGTTAGCCACTGCATCTGGCCTACAAATAACATCTTAAATCTGCATCAATATAGTTTAAGGCCAAATTAGCTTCAATAATAAATAAAAATTATGTTCCTTTATAGTTCTATCTCTCCCCCTTTATGTTATTTATTGTCCAAATTGCATCTTTATACATTGTGTGCCAGTTAACATAGATTTATCATTATGTTATACATTTGTCTTTTAAATCACACAGAAAAGAAAGTAGTTACAGACCAAAAATACAACATTTTTTTTTTTAAAGAGATGGAGTCTTACTGTGTTGCCCAAGCTGGTGTGCAGATGCTATTCACAAGTGCAATTGTGGTATACTACAGCTTTGAACTCCTGGGCTCAAGCAGCCCTCCTGCCTCAGCCTCCTAAGTGGCTGGGAGTACAGGCGCCTATCACTGTGCCTGGTTAAATATGACTTTTCTATTTATCTATGTAAGTGCCCTTACCAGTGTTCTTTAATTTTTTTGTATGGCTTTGCATCACTGTCTACTGTACTCTATTTTTTTTTCCAATTTTGTATTTTTTAAAATACATATAACAACATATACCACTTAACTTTTTTTTTTTTTTTTTTTGAGACAGAGTCTCACTCTGTCACCCAGGCTGGAGTGCAGTGGTGTGATTTCAGCTCACTCTGCAACTTCTGCCTCCCAGGTTTAAGTGATTCTCCTGCCTCAGCCTCCTGAGTACCTGGGATTACAGGTCCCTGCCACCATGCCCAGCTAATTTCTGTATTTTTAGTAGAGATGGGGTTTCACCATGTTGGCCAGGCTGGTCTTGAACCCCTGACCTCAGGTGATCTGCCCGCCTCAGCCTCCCAAAGTGCTGGAGTTACAGGAGTGAGCCCCATGGCTGGCCCCATTTAACCACTTTAAGTACATAGTTCAGTGGCATTAAATACATTCACAATGTTGTGTGACCATCACCACTATCAATTTCTGCAATTCTTTTCATCTTGTAAAATAAAGATTCTATCCATTAAACAATAACTCCCCATTCCCCTCTCCCCACCACCCTTGGCAACCACCATTCTGCTTTCTGGTTTTGATTTGACTATTCTAGGTGCCTCACATAAGTGGAATCATACACTATTTGTCTTTTTGTGATGGCTTACTTCACTTAGCATAATATCCTCAAGGTTCATCCATGTTGTATTAATAGCATGTGTCAGAATTTCCTTCCGTCTTAAGGCTGAGTAACGTTTTATTGTATGTTTATACCACATATTGTTTATTCATTCATCTATTGAGGAACACTTGGGTTGCTTCCATGTTTTAGCTATTATAATTAATACTGCTTTGAACATAGGTGTGCAAAGACCTCTTTGAGATTCTGCTTTTAATTCTTTTGAGTATATATCCAGAAGTAGAATTGCTGGGTCATATGGTAATTCTCATTTTAATTTTTTTAGGAACTGCCATAGTGTTTTTCACAACATTTGTATTATTTCACATTCCCACCAGCAGTGCATAAGGGTTCCATTTTCTCCACATCTTTACCAATACTTATTTTCTGTTTTGTTTTGTTTTGTTTTGTTTTGTAATAGCCATCCTAATGGGTGTGCAGTGGTATCTCATTGTGGTTTTGATTTGCATTATCCTAATGATGAATGATGTTGAGCATCTTTTCATGTGCCTTTGGTCGCTTTGTATATCTTTTTTGGAGAAATGTCTATTTCAGTCCTATGCCTATGTTTGTTTGTTTGTTTTGGAGACACAGTCTCACTCTGTCACCCAGGCTGGTGTACAGTAGTGCCATCAAACTCCTGCCTATGCCCACTTTTGAAATGGGTTGTTTGTTTTGTTGTTGTTCAATGTCTTTTAATCTTTAGCATTTCTTATAGGGCAGGTCAACTAGTGACAAACTCTCTCAGCTTTTGTTTACGTGGGAATGTCTTCATTTCTCCTTCCTTTGTGAGGGATAGTTATGCCAGATATAGAATTCTTTCTTGACAGTTTTTTTATTCTTTCATCATTTTAAATATGCCATCCTACTGCCCTCTGGCCGCCGTGGTTTCTGATGAGAAATCAGCCGAGACTCATACTAACGATTCGTTGTATAGAATGAGTCACCTCTCTGTTGCTGCTTTCAAGAGTCTCTGTCTTTGCCACTTGTGGAGAAGAGGCCTATTCCTCCAGCTCAAGGGTGGTCTCAGTAGTCGTTCTGGAACCAGGCAAGGTCAGGTTCTTAGCACCTTGCAGGGTCTCCCCCAGGGGACCTCTCTTTAGCCACCAGCCGCCAGACTTACTTTACAATCTCTTCCCTCTCTCCTCTGATTCTCTGAGTTTGCTGTTCCCTCTTCCTGGGATGCCCTTTCCCCTAATGTCTGCCTAAAAAAAAAATCTTAAAACCCAGCTGTCACCCCTAACACGACTCCCTTAGTTAACCATGGCTGGCACTCATATACATTTGGTCTAACAGGCACCAATCTAGGTGCATTACGCATCTTAACCTGTTAAATCCTCACGAGCACGTGGAAGCAGTGTCATTTTGTCACCTGACGGATGAGGAAAGAAAGGAACATAGAGGTTGAGGAACTTGCCCAAGGTAACACAGCTTGTGAGTGGCTGAGCTGGGATTGAAACTAAGCCATCTGACTCCAGGGTCCAAACTCTTAGTGGCCATGCTATCCTATGTCTCCGGGACTGATCTGCCTCTTATCTGGTGGTACCATCCTTATCTGTGCCTGGGTCTGTCCACCACACCAGGCTGGGAGCTCTGAGGACATGTCTTGTTAACAGTGTCCTCTGTACTTTAGTCTGAACCTGTACTCAGTGAAGGTCGGTTATATGAACTCGTGGTAGAATGCCTGGAAGCTCACCACCAGCACTTCCTTGTGTCTGAGGTCTGGGTCCTGTCCCAATGTACTGCTATAGATGGGCGGGGAGAGATAGGTGTGCCTGTTTTCGGCTTGACTGGGGGAAGGACCTCTCCTGAGAGCGGTGTCCCTGAGAGGTCACAGGAAGTGAGTGGGAATCACTGATCAGTCAGCTTCGTGCTGGACAGCAGAGCCCTGGGTTCCCAAGGCTGGGACAGGGAGTGGGGTAGAACTGGGCCCATCCTGGGTGGCTCTGAGCCCTGTGTGAGGCATCACCGTCTTTTTCGTTGCCATTCCCCCCACCCAGTCCCCCGCCCCCACTCTCTGCCGTTGTTCATTCGTTGGGGAGCAGTTGGCTTCCAGGATACTAGGCAATGCAGAGAGCCACAAATGCAGACTGGAGGCCTTGAAAAGAGAAGAGGAAGAAAAAGGAGGAAAGAGGGGAGGAGGACAAAGATAGGCAGGGCAAGGCGAGAAGGAGGGAATGGGAGAGGAGTCACAGGGCCTGGGCCTTCCGGACCCTCGGGATGGGACGGTGGCCTCTGGCTCACAGCCCAGCGTGGACCGACGCCTGGTGTCCAGCCCTGTGTGGCTGCTAGGACACAGGAGGCCAGCTTGGCCCATTGCAGGGAGAGCTCTGAGCCATCGAGGTGGTTCAGCTGTCCTGGGGAGTTCAGGGGACCCCACACCAGGCCTCCAAGGCCTCTTCTGCAGGATGGACGTGGGCTGCTATTTGACCTCGGGGGCTGCGGGAGGAGGACATAGCCTCTTCAGGGGCTTTCCCCCAAACTTACCCCAGAAGGAAACTGTATCTGCCCTCACTCCCCAGAGGCAGCCAGGGAGCCAGAAATATCTTCAATGCATCTCTCCTTTAGTCTTAAAAACCCCGGGAGTTTACCGCGTTCTAGTCCATAACATCCTCGTGTTTCCTTCCATGGAAAACATAGAAAAAAACATGACGATTTTTTCCAAAACTGCCGTCAGGTGCGGTGCCAGGTGCCACGTTTATCCCGGGCCTACCGCCGCGGTGCCAGTGAAGCCGCCTGGGATTCCGGGCAAAGTGGGGCTGTGGGGGGTTCGGCCGAGACGGAGGGGGCCGGGGTGGCGCGGGCGCCCCCTCGCCGTCCCGCCCGCGGGCGTCACCTAAGCCGCCGTTGCCATGGGCCCGCAGCAGATGGCCCGGTTTAGGGTTCCGGGGCGGGCGGCGCGCACGGGATTAGGTGAATTAGGGAGCCGGAGCAGTGCCGCCGTCGCCGTCGCAGCGCCATGGAGGACCCCGCCGACCCTGCCGACCCCGCGCGCATCCCGCAGCCCGGCAAGTGGGCGCTGGTGCGCAGCCTGAACCAGGCGTTCAAGACCTACGCCGTCCTGCCGGTGAGGCCCGGGCCAGGAGGGGAGAAGGGAGGGGGAGGGCGCCTCGCCCCGGGCCTCAGTTTCCCCGCCTGTTAGAAGCTGGGCGGGCCACAAACAGGGTCGCTAGGCTTCAGGGTGTGCATGGACTGCGGCCCTAGGATGCCACCTGCGGTCTCTGACCTCCCCCAGTGTGAACTTGGCCGCGGCTGCCCTTTCCTAGGAGGAGAGGTTTTGCATCTGGGAAACCCAAGCCAGGCAGGCCAGGTCTGGGCGGGGGTGTCCTGCATTTGCTGAGATCCAGAGCAGGGAGCACCTCCAGGTGCACAGAGGGACCCCCAGCCATAGTTTATGGACTGGCTGACCGCTGATGGAAGAGAAAGCTAGGCCCACTGGTCTCCTCTCCAAACTATGTTTAGCAACTAGACACTAGCAAGATGCTTGGCTCACGTTTCCCATCTGTGAAAATGGGGTGATAAAACCGGTGTCCCAGAGTGATCATGAAGATAACGAGCGGCAAAATGTCCTGAAACAGATTCCTTTTCACTCCACAAACAGGGACTGGCCCCAGGCCTGGTCCCAGAGGAAGGAAGAGGCAGAAAGGGCTAAGGCCCTGTGGGGAATTATTAATATTGGCTCGAGACCGGCTTGATGCCTGGGAGGAAGGAGGGTAGACAGAAAGAACAATGTGCATTTGCATGGGTCTCTCATCTTTACATGCACTGACTCCTTCCATTTCATGGCTGGTGGAAACTGAGGCCCAGAAAGATTGAGTGCCTCACCCAGAGAGACACAGCGTTAGTGGTGGAGCTGGGACTATAAGCCAGATCTCCTATGTGTTCACTGTGGATATGTGCTGGCTTTCCTGGGGGGAGGCCCCACAGGGGTTTTGGAGTACCCCTGAGAACATTCGAACAGACCCATTCTAGGAAGGCACGACTCGGGCTGGGAGCCTGCATAGCTGGCAGGGCCTGGGAAACCCTCTGCCCTGGTCATATATTTGATAGGAGAAAAGCTGGGACTTGCCCCACGTTACACAGCCACACTGAGGCATGTGTCGTGTCACAAACGAGATCTTCCATTCAAGGTGAGTACCAAGCAAGGCGCCCCATACAGTGTGTAAAGTTGTCACGGAACATGGTGTAGGAATGGGGCCAGATGCAGTGGTGGGGTGCCTGGGGCTAGCCATGGGGATGGGAGGGGGTGGTGGGGTCCTACCTGGAGCCTGGTTCCCCATTCTCACCTCCCTCCTGCCTCTCAATGAAGCTTCATCTTCTTTCATGGCTTCCTTCCTCCCTTCCTTCTCCCTCTGAGCCAGTGACTCCTGATCCACCCTGATTTTGGTCCTGGCTCTGTCCTCCAGATGCTAATAGTCCTGTCAGTCACTGATTTGATGAGTGACTGTGGCCAGGTTCCTTTCTCTCTTTGGCCCTCAGTTTCCTCGGCTGTAAAATGAGGATCCTTACAACCTGCCTGCCTTGCGATGCTTCAAGAACTTTCCCTAGGGCCACAGGAATATTCCCCTTCAGAAGTCCTAAGACCCCAGAATTCTCCCTGAAGCCTCTCCCCTGCCATCTGAAACTGTTTCCTCAAGTCTGGCCTAGAGCAAGATAGTTTGGTCACTGCCCTCTGTGACAGCCCTAAGTAAGAAGAGTTGTAGTCATGTCTGTTTGCTGTGTGGCCCCAAGAGCTTCACTCAGCCTCTCGGAATCTCCATTTCCTGCTCACATGAAGTTTTTTTTATTTTGGTTATTTTATCTTCTCCCAGGGGAAACAAACATTTTCTGTGTGCCAGGCCCTGTGCTGGGTTGAGGGATACAGGTGACTCAGAGAGACCCCTGCCTTCCAGCTGCCCTCAGCCTAAGTCTCCAGCTTGCCTTCAGGGCCCTTGAGCCATCTGGGCGGGGGAGGACTCTATCAGTGTTTCCTGTTTTGCTCAGTGAGCTGCATGTGGGACTGGGCCCAGGGAATGTCAGGAAAGAGCCCTGGATTTGGGGTTTGTCAGACCTGGGCTTCAGTCCTGGCTCTGCCACAAAACAGCTGTGTGACCTTGGGCACGTTTCTTGACCTCTTTGAGGAGAGAAATTGGAGACAGTCCCCTGGCCACATGCTGTTGCCCACAAGCGAACACGCTCCCCACCCCTTCTCTCTCACCGAGGCCCGCTCTGGGCTGGGCTCTGGGGAGCCACAGATGAGGGACTCAGACCCAGCCCCACCCTAGGGAGCTCCAGGCCAGTGGGGAAGGGGAGCAGACCCTGTGTGGGGTGGCTGTCAGGGGTAAGCCCAGGGTCAGGGAGTGCAGCTGGGGCTTGGACACAAGCAGCTGTGAGGATTATATGGGGCAGTTTACGGGATGCAGCCTGTGGAGCCCAGGCCCACAGTGAATGCTCAGTAAACAGTTCTCTTCCACGCCCAAGCCTCTCCAATTTTTCTTACTTTTTCTGGGAGGAAGTTTGGGTTTGGGACTAGCCTGACTCTATCATGTGCCAACCTCCCATTCACATGAAGAGAGGGTCCACAGGGGCAGCTGTGGCTGGAAAATAGCACATAGATGGCAGTGGTCCCATAAGACTATAATGCCATATTTTACTGTACCTTTTATGTGTATGTTTAGATATGTTTACATACACAAATACACACTATGGATTATGACTGCCTATAGTATTCAGTACAGTAGCAGGTTGTACAGGTTTGTAGTGTAGGAGCAAGAGGCTACCCCATCCAGCCTAGGTGTGTAGTGGGCTGTACCATCTAGGTTTGTGAAGTACACTCGATGACTTCATATGTTTGCATAGAACTTATCTCTGACATTAACAATGCATGACTGTAGCTGGTTCTGATGGGAACAAGAGGAGGCTGAAACAGTAATGAGTTGGTCTTGGACTCACTGAGTTCAGCCTTCACTGAGAAATGTGGAAATTGAGGCTCAGAGAGGTCAGCGACTCACCCAAGGCCGGGTAGGGCCTGAAACCCAGTCTTCTGACTCCTAGCCCAGAACAGATTCTGTCAGACCATTACCACGGTTTACTTCATTGTGAATCAGTTTTATAAGTTGTTACATTTTTTTTTACTTGATATTAAGTTATATTCTTATTAGAATGTCCCAACTCCTAGGGAGTTGGAGTACCACCCAAAAAAGAATACTTTTATTAGGATTAGAATAAAATCTAAGCTTGTATCCCAAGGCCAGCAAAGGGCCTATGTGTCCTGGACCCTGCCTACTTCTCTGAGCTCCCTCTCGCCCATCAGGTCCTACCTCCTGGCTGTTCCTTTCTGCCGCAGGGCCTTTGCATGTGCTGTTTCCTATGCTGGGATTACTGTCCCCTGCTTTTCCCTTGGCTGACTGCTTGTCACCCTTCAGGTGTCAGCTCAGCGATTCCCTCCATGGAGCGGCTCCATTGGCTACTGGGTCTAGGTTGGTTGGCTCTGTCATTCTCCACCATTGGCTTGTTTGTTTCCTTGACAGCACTCACCAGTATCCAAAGTGATCGTGCTGATCTATTTGCTCAGTTTTTTGTCACCACCTCTAACTAGAACGTAGACTCCATAATCACTGCTCAACCCCCAGCATTTAGATTAATCAGTGCTTTGCACTCAGTAGGTAATCAATACATGTTTGTTGAATCCATCAGTGCTGAATGTGGTTGTTCTTAGTCCATTTCTCTGACTTGGGATTTTACGTTTGGCTCTCACGATCCCTTGCTGAATGAGTAGTGCGAGTCAGGCCCTGGGCCAGATGCCGCAGGGGACACAAAGCGACATCCTCCCCCAGGATCAGGGCTCTCTCCACATGCCAGAAGACAATGTGGCTGAACCCTTCTCTAGTGCCCAGCACGGAGTGGTGTCCCTGTGAGGAACCTGTCATAATGATGATAAAAATCAGCCCTGGAGGTGAAGGAGGCTGCAGCATTCACCCACTGTCTGGGTGTCCTGTGGTGTCATGTTAGAGAGGAAGTGGTTTGAGTGGTCTGGTGTTTCTGTCTAGACCCCAGTGAATCTGTCATACACATGTAGGGTGTAGATCCATGGGGAGAGCTGGGCTTTGAGAGGCCTTGGCTCTCTCTGAGCCTCTGCTAAGTCATCCATAAAATGGGAATATGGCTGTTCTAGAGGGGGGATTGATGAGATTGCATAAATGCCCAGCCCAGGGCCTGCACTGCTCCAGAAGGTTGCTAGTAAGTGTGAGTCCCCTTCTCTTCCCCCTTGTGTGGTTGGCTCAGAGCCTCTGATTGTAGCAGAGGGATATAGGGCTGCCTGGAAGGGGCTCCAATCCCCCTCCCTGCTCACCTGGGCTGAGACTCTCTCTCGCCCATAGGGGGACCATGTGTGGATGGACCTGAGATTGGGGCAGGAGTTCGACGTGCCCATCGGGGCGGTGGTGAAGCTCTGCGACTCTGGGCAGGTCCAGGTGGTGGATGATGAAGACAATGTGAGTAGTCCCCTCCCTCCTCCTGCCCCATGCCTTGGGGTCAGACCTGGGCTGACAGCTGCCTTGATGCAGGGAGATGATCGAAAGGAGATGGAGGCCATGCCCATGCCCCCACTTCTGCCTCTCAGATGCCCCCTTCCATGAGCTTTCCCCAGCACCCCAACAAGAGGGAACCCCTGCCTGCCTCAGGCTACTTGTTCTGTTTCCACAAGCACTTCAGTCCACTCTGCATGGTGTTAGAGATGTGTGTGTGTGTGGTGGGGTTTGAGTGCAGGGGGAGCAGGCTAGGAGCTCCTCAGACACAGAGGTGCTTTGGGGGCAGACTGCATTCAAATCCTATCTCGTCCATTTGTTAGCTGCGCAAACTTGGCCTAGTCTCCTTCCCTCCTGACCCTCAGTTTCCTCTTTGTAAAATGAGGATAATAATACGTATCTCACAGGGCTGTTGACCCATACATGAGATCACACGTGCAGAACACCTCAGTGAAGTTAGTGCTAGTCTGAAAGTTAAATGAACGTCCACAGCCTCACTGTGTTGGGTTACTGACATCACATGAATCCACTGTCCACCTTGACACTGCTCTGGAAATTGGTCTCACAGATTAACCCTTTATCTGTGGCCCAGAAGGAAAGGGACCCCAGAAGTGTAAGTTTTCTAGGTAATGATAGTGGGGCCTTGGGGAGGGAAGGAGAGGTCTGAAGTCAGGGGCCTGCCCCGGAGAAGGTGGCTGGTTCACGTGAGGGCCCGGAGGGGAAGCCCTGGGGCCTCTGAGCATGCGTGCACATGTGTGTGTCACTGGGGGTATGCAGATGGGGTGCAGAGCACACAGGGGCAGCTTAGCAGGGATATGAAGAATCCAGGGAGATTCAGCTCTGCCATAATGTGGGCTGTGCCCTGCGGTGTGCCAGGGGCTGGGACACAGAATTGGACTGAGTCCCTCTTAGCCTCCTGGTCTGAGGGAGGAGAGTCAGGAGAAAGAGGGTGCAGGGACTTGAAACTGAGGCTCTGCTGGGGACGACGGGAGGGCTCAGGACCCTCGAGGCCAGGTGCTTGACAAGGAGTGGGCAGGAGCATCCCAGATATTCCTGCAGCCCTCAGGTGCATCCCCTCAGAGTTTGCAAGACCCTTTAACCCAAGTTCTGTCTTTGGACTCTCATGGCATCTGTGGAAGGCAGGGAGGGAAAGAATTGTCATCCCATGAGGAAACTGAGGCACATAGAGGGACCACACAGCCAGTCACACAGCTAGTAAGTGATGGTGCTGGGATTAGAACCCAGGACCTCTGTCTTCTATGCATGAGTTTCCCCTGTCAGCATTATCTCAGCGGCGACTTTGGAGCTCAGATTCTGCTAATCACATTTTTGGCCCTTGGGCCGTAGAACCCAAGGCCTGCAATATCATTCCAGAGGCTCCAGTTCTAGGACCCTCTAGGAACCTACTATGAGGGTGCAGCCACAGAAGGGGAGGCACAGGCTGGGTGGCAGCATAGACGGGCCTGCTAACCTGCCCAGAGCCCCCAGGGTGGGGACCAGGGACTCTGTCTGCAGGCTTGAGTTTCACCTGGGTCATGTTGCATGTCAGATGGTGTCCCGTAACTGCGTCACCGAATCCCAAAGGTCCCCTCCCGCTTCTCCTCCACCCAGGCCCTGAGAGTGGGGGCTGCAGGAGGGGTGGGCATGACTGGCTGGCAGGGGCAGTTCGGGAGGCTGGGGTTTGCATCTGTGGCATTGGACCCCCAGGGCTTCCAGACCGCTCCTTCACAAGCCTTTCCCACCCCCATTCCATCCCCTCCCTCCCAACTCCAGGCTGTCATCTCTTACCCCTCTGTCTGCCCACAGACTCCTAGCAACTTGAGAGCAGGGAACAGGCCAGTCCCATCTGGTTCCCCAGAGTTCATCAAGGGGTCTGCCCAGGGAAGGCTCTTGGCAAAGACTCGCTGAGTGATGAATGAAAGGTTATGGTTTCAGTCCCCACTGGAATCCCAGTGTCTTGCCTTTGTCCAAGCCATTTCTGTTGCCAGATACACCCCTCCTTCCCTTCCTCTAGGGAGCAAGCTGTCCCTGCTCAGTCCAGGCCAGCTCTTTCCCAAAGGCATCCCTGGTCCCTGGAATTGACCATGTTCCCTTCCCCCAGTTGCTGGCATTTCTTCAGGCCAGGCCTCAGCTACTGCCCTGGTTACACTTTGGCCCCCGGTAGGTACCTGTGGACCTTGACCTGCAGGGTGCTGGCCTCTGTTGGGACTCCTCCCACGCAGGAAACAGTGGGAGCGGTGCAGCTACTGGGCAAGTCATTTTACCTCTTGAGTCCGGCTCGTCACTGTTAAATGGGGTCAGTGATTCTCTGTTAGGGATGTTAGAGAAGCAAATGTAAATCACAAGGCAGTAGAGTGACAATGCCCAGCTCTGGATGAGCATTTACCAAGCAGCAGCACTCTACAGACCTGGCAGGAGAAAGCTGTCAACAAAGATGGATGTCGTGATCACATCCATCAGTCCTCCCAAAACCCCTGGGAAGAAGGGATTCTTACTCTCATTCCCATTTCACAGCTGAGGACATGGAGGCTCAGGAGGGCAAATTGATGTGCTCAGGGGTCCGGGGTCAGGCCGTGGCTGAGCACTGTCAACCTGTGTGCTGAACTGTCATGGGGAGGGATGTGGGGACCTGAGGCTGGGGTCAAGTGGCGACAGCAGACAGCCTGCCCAGGAGCCCTCTCCCCTCCTGTCCACACTGGGGCCTGGGACAGAGGCAGGGAGCGGGGACCGCATGGGGGGATTTTCCAACAGGATCAGCTTGTATAAGAAATAGGGTGCCTGGGAGAGAGGAATGTTCCACACGGGACTGGAAAGTCCAGGCAGGTTCCCTAACAGTACCCACCCCCTCGCCCTGGGGAGGCTGCGTGAGAGCCTGCCCTGCGTTGAAGTGCTGCTGGCCCAGAAGTGCCGTGGAGTATCAGGGAAACTGGGGTGGGGGGCTCTGTCCAGCGCAGCCCCTAATCCCCCTGAGGGCCTGGGCAGGCTGCCACCCTCCTCCGAGCCTGTTTTCTCATGTGAAGTGAGGGGGCTGGAATGGGGGACTTCTGGGGTCTGTCCATGACTGACTTCTGCCTCTCATTCAGACCTGGTCCCCCGCAGTCACCAGCCAGCCATCTGTCCCATCAGAGGCTCCCTGCCACATCATTTGTGCCCGGCCCCTGTGTGAGGCACCGTGGCCTGAGATGTGGCCCTGGAGGCAGGGGGATGGCACAGATGGAGCATGTGAGGGTGGCCAGCACTGTCAGGGGAGGCTTCAGAAACTGGGAAACCTCCGAGCCAAGCCTCGAAGGCTAAGGAGAAAGAAGGTAGAGGGAACAGTGGAGCGAAGTCACAGAGGCCTTTGGGGACATGAAACCCGTGTTCCCTGGCTAGGATGTACCGGGGGTAGCTGGGATGGAGGTTAGGGGTCCTTGTGTCTAGCGCATGCTGGCCCTTGATGCCAGGCTGAGGAGCCCAGGGGAGTCAGGGAAGGGCTGAGAGCCCCAGAGTGACAGGGTCAGGAGGGTGCCTCAGGAAAGGCCCAGGGGACGAGGGATTTGATGGAAGAGCTGGAGGTAAGATGGGGACAGCAAGAGGCCGGGGCCGGGCCAGTGAGAGACGGTGGTCTCAATCAGGGTATGGGCTTGAGGGTGGCAAGGAGGGTACTGCCCACTCAGCAGCCTTTTAGAGGGTTGAATGGGCAGGACTGGGTGACCTGTTGGACTGGGGTGGTGGTGGGGGGAGCTGATGTCCAGATTCCTGCTAGTGTCCAGCTGTTGGGGTTGACTATGCCAGAAGGGACCTGGAGGAGGAGCAGGTGGGGGAGGACATGGCATGTGCATCACATCTGCTCAGCGAGTCTCAGGGCCTGAGCTGGGAGGTGGCAGAGAGGTCCCCTTTCCCCCCAGAAGGCAGGTCCTGGGGCTACTGGGTCATGGCATTTGGGGATGGGAGGGCTGACGTACTCTCAGGCAATGGCCACACTTCCCTGAGAGTCTGGGATTTTGCAAAGGTGCTGGAGACCCTCTGGGGGCGGGGAGGGCCCCAGGGCCCTGAGGAAACCAGGGCTTTGCCAGCTTGTTGAAAGAGCTGGTGCACTTCCCAAATGCTCACCCATCTGCCACCACAAGGCAGCTGGGGAATATTGCGGAGTAAGGAGAGCTGGGCAGGCAGCCTGTGTCCTCCACTTCAGCTCACACGTCCCAAGAGTTCACACCTCTTGCTCCCACAGGTCATCAGCAAGCCCCAGGAAATATCTCCTGGGTGGGTCCCCTTCTCCCCATCACCACTGCTACTGCCCTGCCTTCCAGCTTTCCCCTGAACCTGCCAAGCCTTTGCCAGCCTGAGGAGTTGTTTTGCTGTTCCCTGGGCCTGGAGCCCTCTGCCCCCCTCCCCCTAATCTTTTTACAGTGGTCTCTTTCTCTTCCTTCATGCCTCAGCTCATATGCCACCTCCTCGGAGGGGCAGTCCCTGACCACCACATCTCAAGCAGCTCCCCCCATGACTCTCCACCACATACACCTGTTGAGGTATTCTTGGCACTATCTGAAATCACTTTTTAATGTTTTTCTTTCTTTCTTTCTTTCTTTTTTACCGGAGCCTGAATTTGAGACCAAGCTTGTCTACTTCTAATTATTACCCTTTCCACTCCATCCTGCAAAGGGCCTGAGGGAACTCTGATCCCCTTACTGACAACAGTCAGATGGGGCCAAAATCCCTGCCCTGCCCACCTCTTAGGTCTGCGGGAAAATCCCCTAAGAGAAGGAGCGGTCCTTGAGGGGTAGAGGTGGCTGGTACCATCCTGACTGAACCCTGTTAGAACTGACAGTGTCTGGCTGCCAGAGAGGTCGAGGCCCTTACCCGGGTTGGCACTCACCCCGCGCTCCCGCCCGTCCCGGCCCCTTCCCCTGAAGTGCGCAGCCTGGGCCCCAGGAGAGCACGCTGACGTTCTGGCTCCCCGCAGGAACACTGGATCTCTCCGCAGAACGCAACGCACATCAAGCCTATGCACCCCACGTCGGTCCACGGCGTGGAGGACATGATCCGCCTGGGGGACCTCAACGAGGCGGGCATCTTGCGCAACCTGCTTATCCGCTACCGGGACCACCTCATCTACGTGAGTGCCGCCCCGCCCGGTGCCCGTCCAGGCCCCCTCAGGCCCCGCCCCGCCCACCTCGCCCCACCCCGCCCGACTTGCCTCCGGCCCCGCCCTGCCGGGGCCCTGCCTCCTGAGACTTTGTCCGCTGTGCAGCTGGACCCCGGGGCCCCTGCTGGGGCCCATCTGCCGGCAGCCGCTCGGCGGGGTCTCATCCTCTTGGGCTGTGGCTTTTGTAGTCTGTGGTTGGGGTGGGGAGCGGTTTGTACTACGCAGTTTTCATGTGCCTCTCTAGGCCTTGAAACCAATGGGAGGCCAGGGTGGAGTCAGTGAGCGGCTTGGTGCTTTGCCCATGCACAGGAGGGCAGCTCTGCTGGGCGTTTGCTAAGGGACTAGGACCTGCCATCAGGCCGCAGGGCCAAGAGAGGATGGATAGGGATGGATGGATATCCTCAGGAGGGTGCTAAAGGAGGGAACATGCTCTGCTCCTCCACCCCTCAAACCTTGATATTAGAAACACACACACACACCACTCTCCTCCACCTTCAAATGGGGAGGACAAATAAAGATGTCTGCCCCAGCCAGGACAGAGCAGATTCCAAGAGGCTGAGCTCAGAGAAGAGCAGAGCAATAAGGGCCCGTGGAGATCATTTACTCTAGAGGTTCTCACACTTTTTGGTCACAGGGACCCTTTATGTTCTTAAAAATTATTGAGGATCCCAAAGGACTTTTGTGTACTGGGTTATATCTGTTGATATTTGCCATATTAGAAGTTAAAGCTGGGACATTTAGAAACGTATTAATTTTTGAAAAAGTAACCATAATAAATCTATTATAAGATAATATAAATAACATTTTTACTAAAAATGACATTTCCCAAAATAATAAAAATGGTGAGAAGAGTAGCATTGTTTTTACAGATTTTTTCAAATCTCTTTAATGTCTGGCTTAATAAAGCCAACTGGATTCTCATCTCTGCTTCACGTCCAGTCTGATGTGATATTTTGGCTGAAGTGTTTGAAGAAAATCTGGCCTCACAGATGTGTAGTTGGAAAAGAGATGGCTTTGCAGACTTCCTGCAAGGGTCTTGGACCCCCTAGGGGTCTTTGGTCCACACCCTGACAACTGCTGCTCTAGCCCAATAGCCCAGTTGCAGACAGGGAAACTGAGACTCCACAGGTTTAGCCAGGCCCAGAGCTGTGCCGTGCCCGGGTCACTGCCTGCTTCTGACCCAGCCCCATCCTCCCGCAGCCCAAGGGTAAAGGAAACCAAGGATGTGCAACCCCCAGCAGAGAGCAGGAGGGACCCCCCTGATGCAGGGCTGGCCTGATTATCTCGAGACCCAGGCCCAGGGAAGGCTGGTACTAGGGGCATTACTGGGGGAGGTGTGGGGTCTGCAGGAGTGATGTCACTCCCAGCTCAGAGGGGTGGTATTTGGGCTTCTGGAGGTGGGTGAGGTTGGCTGGTAGAGATGGCATTCAGGAGGGGGCATGGCATGAATAAATGCTGGAGGTAGGGCCATGCTGGCAAGCGATCGGCAGGCAGTGTCCCTCAGGTTGTCAGGACCATGAAGGGGTGCTAGGGCCCAGGGCTGGAAAAGTCTCAGGGAGCCCCAGGTGTTGTCACTGAAGAATCACGGCAAGGAGCTCTCAGGGCCAGGGGTCCAGTCCCTCTCAGGAGCCCTGGAATTACGGCCCTTCAGCTGCCAGAGAGGTCCTCAGCCACTGTCTGACTCTAGGTCCCTCTGCAGCTTCAGGCTCCAGAGGAGAGGCTGTGTATGGCTCCTTGCTGTCCATTTTTTGGGCATAGGAAGTGGCTTTCGCAGGGAGCCTTCTAGCACTGACAAAGCCCCTCTCACTCTGTCCCTCAGTCAGGCCTCACCTGCACTCAGAGAGGCAGGGCATGGGGGGCTCTTCCAGATGTCATCAGCATCACCCAGCCAGCAGGGAGGAGCTAGAACTCGAGCCCAGGGCACCCACCCGCCGTATCTCACAGGGACCCGCTGGTGTCCACACCCCAGTTCTTGGCAGCCCCCTCTTCCTCTCCCTGGAGGGCAAGTGGCTACTGGTGGGTCCTGGGGTTCTCTGTGGCCACTCACCCAGGCCTGGGCAGTCCCACCCTTAGGTGAGCAGGGAGCCTGTCCACCTGCCTGCAGGGTACTTCCAGGGCCAGTGTTTTGTCATTGTCCCTATGCTGAGGCTGGAACCCAAGGCCCACTCTCCTGTCAGGAGGAGGCGGAGGGCCCCGTCTCAGGGGAGGAGCTGGGTAAAATGGAAGTTTTCCCGCCGGGCCCCCTGCAGACCAGTGTCTCAGCATAGCTCAGGGGCATGAAGCATGTGGGTCAGCCACAGTGCAGGCAAGCCGGTCCTCATGCGAAGGAGTCGGTAGGTCAGCTGCATCAAGGAACAAAGGCAAAAACAGGATTCATAAGGGAGAGGGAGGAAAAAACTTCAGACACCATGGGCACAGTGAATCTTGTTTGTAAAATTAGGAGGGTGGTGAACTGATCCCTGGGTGGCCAGCAGAGGATAGCTTGGACATTACATCCTCCAGGAGGGTTTCAAAGAAAATAACTTCAGAGATTTATGGGTTCTCCAGAAAGGCCCCAAATCTGAACCATTTGCCTCATTTGAAGTTCTCACCATAACCTTTCTGACTTATTTTCTGGGCGAGAGGGAGGAGGCAGGGCCGTCCCCTGTGGAGGGACGGGGTGGGGGTCCAGGTAGGTGAATAAGCTGCCTTCTTGTCCAGGACCCCTGGCCGGGAAACCACGCTGTGGCACCTGGAAGGGCCTCAGCTCCAATAGTCCGCTGACCTTAGATTCTCAGTGTCTCTTGGACTGGGGATCCATGCTAAAGAACTGTGGGATTCAAAGAGGTTTCCTTGACTCGCTGAGTTCATGATTCTGTGACTTGGTGGATGAGGTAGGATTAGAGCAGGGCTTTGAAGAAGCAACTGGGCCATCGTCCCACCCGGAAACCAAACCTGTCCCTGACCATGGCAACCCCCCGTCCCTTCATGGATTGGGTTACCCTGGGCACAACACGTGCGCTCAGGATTTCCTCCGATTACCATGGCCAGCTCACAGCCTTGGGCCGGCGGATGCTCTGCTCTTGACTGTCTTGGGCTCGCCTGCCTCCAGCTTCCCTGTCCCCAGGAGCCTGAGAGAGCATCCCAGGGCCACACATCAGCCCCAGCCACTCCAGAATGAGGAAAGGCCCTCAGAGAACACTTAGCAACCCCTCACTGCATGGTCCTAGAGAGCAAGGACTGTCCCCGCATTGTGTGGAAGGGCTGGTGGGGACCCAGGGCTCCCTAACGCTGAGCAGAGGCTGGAGCCCTGATCTGGGAGGTGGGAGGCTGGTGTCCAGTCTTGGCGTGTGCCCTTGGGGACATCCCTATCCCTGTCTGGTCTCAGCCTTTCCTAGGCACAACAGGGAGACTGCATGGAGTGGGCACCTTTGTGGCTGTAGGAAGACTTGTGAGTCCCAGGATGTGTTCTTGGTCTCCATGGCCCGCTAAATGCTAACGAAGTCCCCAGAGCCGACAGGCCTGGGCACTTCCTGGAGGAGGTGAAATTGATTCCTGCTACATCTCTGTGGCCTCAGAGAGGCCCCCTGAGCTCCGCCTGGGGACCCCTAGGGACCACACGTGCTGTATCCCTGGTTTGGGAATAGTCCTCCTCTCTCCCCACCCAACCTGTGACTCCACAGGGCAGATTTTACTACTAGAGATTGGAACAAGAGGTCTGTGCTGGGCATTAATTCTCTGCCAACCTGAATCCTTAGAGAGATTGGCCAGAGGGCTCAGGGAGCAGTGCTAAGACCTTGGAGGACCGATGGGCACAGAAGCCCAGAGAGGGCCAGGGCCTCATTGCCAGTGGTGGCCAGCCTCCTCTTCCGGAGACCCCAGCTGCTGGCTCTGTCAGTCCCATGAGTGTGTTCCTGGGGTTTGGGGAAGCCCAGGTGGAGAGGCCAGAGCTGGGGCTCTGGTGCCAGGGTGTCTCGTTCACCCTACCCCCCACACATCTGCTGTGTGACCTTGGCAAGTCTCCCACTTCTTGGAGGCTCGCCTCTCTCATCTGCAAAGCGGGGATATGATCACACCTCCAGAGGCCTTCTGAGGAAGTAAAAGGGGTGATGGGGTGGGAGCTGCAAAGTCCTGAGCCCAACAGGGCTTGCTCTTGCCCTCTTACTGGAGAGAATCTGCCTCACCGAGGAAAGAGGCCTCATTTCTCTTATTTGTTTTGTAGATAGATAAGTAGTTAGGTAGATACATACATACATAAAAAATTATTCATTTTTTTCTGCACAGATGGTAGCATCCCTCCCACGCTGTTCTGTGGTTTTCCACTGGCCACATCCCGACCGCCTTTCCCGTCAGCATGGCTGGGGCTGCCTCAATGCTGCTGACAGGCCTGTCCCCTCGCTACCTTCCCTGCAGATTGCTGTGGCTGGCAGTGGCAAGGCTTCCTGTTGTGGCCTTGAGGCCCTGCCACAGGGGACAACAGCCTGGCCCTTCTGCCACCAGAGCAGGGTGAGGCACTCAGGGTTACTTCTCCCTCCTCCCACCCCACGTCTCAAACTTGAAAAGGTCAGGCAGGCCTAGACCATAATTGGCAGTGGATGTATTGATATCCGGGGCCTGGAGAGGCTGAAGAAAGATGTCCAGGGGAGGTGACAACCTGCCCTGTACTTCCCCGCCCATTGATCTAGTTGCTCTTTCGGCCGCTCAGCAAACGTTGCTGAGCATCTCTTATGTGCCGTGCATGGTGCCAGGCCCTGGGGGACAGAGGCCTTGAACGGGGACTGTAGAGGAGTCAGCTGGGCATGCTGAAGGAGACCTGTGGGTATGATGATTGTACAGGAAGGTGCCTGGCTTCCTGGAGGAGGCATCGTCTCCGCTTGAAACTGAAGGATGAGAAGGAATTATCTGGACGAAGGGGTAGGGGAAGCGTGTCCCTGGTCTGAGATGGCAGGGGATGGAGTGTGGTGCTTTTAACTGAAAGTTTCATATGAATGGAGCCTCTTGGTTGTGAGTTGAGGTTGACGAGGGTGGCAGGAGCCAGGGCTTGGGGCCTTGTGGACAGGGAGAGGATTTGGACTTTGTCCAGAAGCTGTGGGAAACAGCTGGAGGGTTTTCAGCAGGGATGATGTGGTTAGATTTTTTAAAAGCCTGCATGGCTCCGAGTGGAGGATAGATTGTTGGGGGGTTGAGTATGGAAGCCGGGAGTCCAGTGGGGAGGCACCTGCAGTGGGCTGTTGAGAAATGAGGGTGGCCTGGCCAGGGAGGCGGCATGCAGATGGAGAGTGGGAGTGGTGTGAGGGAGGGGTGTCCAGGGGCTCCCCAGTTTCCTGCCCTGGGTGAGGGATGTGATGGTGCTGTTGGTCGAGTTGGGAAGGCTGGAGAGAGCAGGGTTGGAGGGAAGGGGGAGCTCTGGTCTGGATGTGCTGGTGGCATTGAGTAGGGACATCAGGAGGCTCAGGGCTGAAGGGTTCATGTGCAGGAGGACCCTCTGGGCTGTGGGCAGAGTGGAGAAGGCCGTGGGTGCCATGGGTGGGAGAAAGCCTGGCCCCAGCCCTGGGCCAGCTTCTCACAGCGTCTCAGCATCCCCCATGTCCCTCTCTGGACTTCCCGTGCCTTGCACGTGGCCACAGAGCCTGCTCCCAGGGCCTCCCTCCATCGGGCTCTGACTGCCTTCTGGAAGCTGGTCCATTAGGTCTGAAACGGCCTCTGCCTCCAGCCTGGGTGACCACCATTCATCCTCCACAGCTGCCGGGGTGACCTTTCACCAGCAGACCTCCTAAATGTCACGCCCTTTCACGCCTCTGTGCTTGCTACCAGCGGCTGGGCCCCCTGGCTCTCCCTCCCCTACACCCCTATCTCATGAAATCTAGGGGCCTCCGTCAGGGCCCTCACACCCCAGCCTCCCCGTGTGTCTCAGTAAAGGGTTGTTGAATGGCTGCATGGCATCAGCCTGTGCTGTGTGGGGATCATGGGCCAGACGGCTGAGCATCACATTATTAAGAAGAAAGTTTAGCTGGGCATGGTGGCACATGCCTAGAACCCCAGCTACTCGAGACGTGGAGGCAGGAGAATCTCTTGAACCCAGGAGATGGAGGTTGCAGTGAGCTGAGATTGAGCCACTGCACCCAGCCTGGGCGACAGAGCGAGACTCTGCCTCAAAAGAGAGAAAGGAAGGTGGCGTTTATGTATCAGGCGCCTGGCAAAGGTTATGTCTTTGCCCTTTAGTCTTTACAACAGCCAAGGGAGGTGGGTGTTAACCTCCCCTTTTACAAATTAGCAAACTGAGGTTTGCCAAAGGGATGTTCTTTGGGGCTGGTTCCTAGTCTGATGCAGGTTTCCACCAGAATCTAGCCGGTTCCCATGGCTGGGCAGGGCTGAACTATAGGGGATGATGGCTGAGGGGTCTGAGAGCAGGGCCTGGTGGGCTGGGGGTCCACAGGTCCTGATCTGAGAATTCAGCAGCCCTGGGCCATGTGGGTGTCATTCGTGGAAAATGCTCTTGTAGCCCCTGTTCCCCACTGACCAGCTTCCTTTGCTTCTGCTCTGCACTTTGCAACCTCAGACCAACTGCGGAGGGCGGGTGAGTGTGGCACAGAGAGCCAGCTCCAGCTGGCGTCTTATTTGGCTGCCTGCCTGCTTGGCCTGGCTGCTCCCCTCCAGCCTCCCGCCCCCACCCCACCCCAGCTCTTCCTGCTTGGCTCTTGTGGTACGGTTAGTAGGTCAGCACAGTGAGGCTCAAGTGCTTCTCTCCATGGGTTGATTGGAGGAAGAGGCTTAGGTGGGAAAGGAAGGTCTTCCTGGGCCCAGGGGCCCAGAGAAGGGCAGTTTCTGGCCAGCCCTCCTGGTCCAGGCCAGCCAAGGCCAGGACTGGAGCCTGGGTCTTGGCCCCACCTGGCCCCAGGGTGGGCATTTCCCCTGGCATGCGGTGCCTGCATCCACACTCTCCCTGCGTGGCCACAGTAGGCTGAGGCTGCTGGGGCATAGCTGCGGCTCTGCTGTGATGCACTGAGCCCTGAATGGGAGGGGGAGGGCAGGTTGTCACCTCCCCTGGACATCTTTCTTCAGCCTCTCCAGGCCCCGGATATCAATACATCCACTGCCAATTATGGTCTAGGCCTGCCTGACCTTTTCAAGTTTGAGACGTGGGGTGGGAGGAGGGAGAAGTAACCCTGAGTGCCTCACCCTGCTCTGGTGGCAGAAGGGCCAGGCTGTTGTCCCCTGTGGCAGGACCTCAAGGCCACAACAGGAAGCCTTGCCTACAGACAGCTGATCTTTGCACTAACAGAGGAGCCCAAGTAGAGAACCTCCTTAAGGCTATCTGAGGTGCACCTGGCCCCTGCGCCTACGCTGCCCAGGATGGCTGGAGGTGCTCTGTCCCCTAGAGCACAGCATCTCCCTCTGTCCTGGGGCAGTGCTACAGAGAGTGGGGCCCACCCAGCCCCCAAGCCACTTACCCCAGCTCCTTCAGCTCTTTATGGCTAATTTCTCACGCCCCTCTTCCTCACCAACCTGGCCTCCCTCTGGACATGGTCCCGTTGATTAATTTCGCTCTAAAAGTTTGGGATACAGGGCCTGGAGGCGATGGTGGGAGACAGCATTTGCAGAGTACCTAGTGTGTGCCACGAATTTTAAAAGATACCACCTCCTTTAATCTTCACAAACAGTTACGCTCATTTTACAGATGAAGAGAAGGAAATCTAGGCTTAGAGACTCCACCTCCCTCTTCATCAAATGTCACTGAGCACTAACTCCGAGCCAGACCCAGTGCTGGACAGAAGGCCCTGCCCCAGCTCCTAAGGAGGCCCGATTCTGGCTCCAGGTCCACCCACATGACTCCAAAGCCAGGACTCTTCCCTCCAGGGTGCTGGAGCAGGGCAGAGCCCAAGAGCTTTCTAGAGTCAGAGTCTCCCACATGGAATCAGCGAGCTCCCCATCTCTTGCTGCCCGCAGACGTATACGGGCTCCATCCTGGTGGCTGTGAACCCCTACCAGCTGCTCTCCATCTACTCGCCAGAGCACATCCGCCAGTATACCAACAAGAAGATTGGGGAGATGCCCCCCCACATCTTTGCCATTGCTGACAACTGCTACTTCAACATGAAACGCAACAGCCGAGACCAGTGCTGCATCATCAGGTGGGCGGCCCAGCACCTGTGTGGAGCTCCAGGCTTAGGACCTAGAGCTCCAACTGTGCGCTCCTGCTGATACCTCTAGGAATTGCCCCCGCTGTCGGAAATGCCATCAAGCTCTTCAGGAACCAGACCTATGTACTCTGTGCTGTGTAACAATGTAGAAAATCACCTCCCCTTTCTGGGGTCTTATATCTCTGTGCTACCAAAGCTCACATTAGCTTTTGAGGCCAGCCTTGTTTACTGCTGGTTCCTGTTAAGTTATGGTCAGTTGACATCTCAGGCTCCTATTTTCTTTTGGGCAGAGGGCAAAAGACAAAGCATTGACTGAGCATCTAATATGTGTTGTGCTCTATGACAAGTATGGATGCAGGTGTATTTGTATCTGAACGAAGGTGAAGGAGAGTGCGGTGGAGCACTGGGCCCTTGAGCCCTGCCCCAGCCCTGGAGGGTCCGTATTGTCAGCTGATATTACAGATGGGGGAGCTGGTGGATGGTGCAGCCTGGGCTGAGTTCCAGTTGGTGGGGAGTCCCTGTGGGTTGTGACAGGTCCTGCCACTCCCTCCCTCTGCAGTGGGGAATCTGGGGCCGGGAAGACGGAGAGCACAAAGCTGATCCTGCAGTTCCTGGCAGCCATCAGTGGGCAGCACTCGTGGATTGAGCAGCAGGTCTTGGAGGCCACCCCCATTCTGGAAGGTAGGACCAGAGTTCCGAGGGTGGGACCAGGCAGTGGGGCGGGAGCGGGCTTTGCCAGTGACACCCTACTCACTCCGCAGCATTTGGGAATGCCAAGACCATCCGCAATGACAACTCAAGCCGTTTCGGAAAGTACATCGACATCCACTTCAACAAGCGGGGCGCCATCGAGGGCGCGAAGATTGAGCAGTACCTGCTGGAAAAGTCACGTGTCTGTCGCCAGGTGGGCCTGAGCCCCAGGGATGCAGGAATAGACCCAGGCCCCTGGCCTCAGGGGTCTGCGTGGCCCACCTGCCCGTATTGCTGCCCGTATTGCTCCCCCACCTGCCCGTATTGCTGCCTGCTTCCCTCTGTGCTGGAAATCCCACCATGAAACCCACCGATGGGCTTCTCCACAAGCCATTTGTTAAAATAGTAAACCATCATCCCAGGCTAGTTCCTGATGGCCTCCTCTGGCCCTCCTCCCCTGGCCCCCAGCACTGTGCCCACATTTTCAGGCCCTGGATGAAAGGAACTACCACGTGTTCTACTGCATGCTGGAGGGTATGAGTGAGGATCAGAAGAAGAAGCTGGGCTTGGGCCAGGCCTCTGACTACAACTACTTGGCCATGGTGAGGCCCAGGTGGGCCCCTGGGTAGGGGGGCACCCACCCTAGGATTGTAGGGAGCTGGCTACTGCAGACTCAGCCTTGAGGTCTCACTGGTCACAGGGCTCAGGTGCCAGCTTCTTGCTGGCTTGTCTGGACACCAAGGAGAAGTGGGCTCCTGGCCATTGCTGCCACCAAGCAAAGGGTGGGGGACCTTGGGGCACGCACACGGCAGGCTGGCTTGGGAAGCACCACTCCTTTAGCCATGGGGAGAGCCCATGTCTGGTTGCCTGGGCTGGGCTGGGGTGGGCCAGGCCACATGGACGTAAGTGTGGGCTATGGCACCTGAAGCGTATATGTGTGTGTGCATGTGTGTGTTGTAGGTGTGACAGGTGTCCCTGGACACTTTCTGTAGCTGGCTGGCACACACGTGCACACACACACACTCTTGTAGACACACAGAGAATGGGGTGTGCCCACTGTTGAAACCCTGCTCGTATGCAGTTACCTCTCCTCTGTCTACACCAGGCAGTACCTGCCTAGGGGGTCGAGTCCCTGATAGTGGGTATCCCCGGGGGGCTGCAGGAGCCTAGTAGGGCCTAAGTGCTGTGACTGCCAGGTGGGCAACAGGGGCTGGCCTGGCATCAGTGACCTGCCTGCTCTTCATGGGAAGAAGGGGCACCAGCACCCCCAGATGTGGAGAATGAGTTCCTGGGAAGCCCAGGCTTTCTAGACCCTCCAGACTTTCTGGAGGAGTTGTGGTGCTCACCGGGTGAGGTCAGCGCCTGGGGCCCCGGGCTGGCCTGGCCTGTCAGGCAGAAAGGGCCTTTTGGGCAGGCAGCCAGGCACTGCCCCTCTGGGGGTACACTGACGTCCTCTTGCACCCCACTCTCCCACCCTGCCCACCAGGGTAACTGCATAACCTGTGAGGGCCGGGTGGACAGCCAGGAGTACGCCAACATCCGCTCCGCCATGAAGGTGCTCATGTTCACTGACACCGAGAACTGGGAGATCTCGAAGCTCCTGGCTGCCATCCTGCACCTGGGCAACCTGCAGTATGAGGGTGAGGCTGCGCCACACTCGCCCTGCCCCACCCCTGCGCCAAGGGCAGTGCAGTGCCTTGCTGCCCACGTGGTATTGGCAGCTCAGTTTCTGTCCTAGCACGTGCCCTCTTTGGGATGGAAGCTGGGAAGAATTCGCCTGTGGGTAGATTTGAACAGGTCTGCTAGATTGAAATCAGCGGTGGGTGTGGTGTCGCTGTGCTGACAGTCCACCACGGAGAGGTACAGTTAAAGTATATTGGGAGTTGTCTATGGACACTTTAAGACTCACTTCAAATTTGGTTTCTTCTTTAAAGTCACATGTCTTAGAGAGAGGGTAAATCTTTGAACTAATTCACTCTAAGGTGTGAGTGACTGGATAGCCATCTTTGGAAAGGGAGAAGGCTAGGGAAGGGAACGTGTTCACTCATCTAACATTCTTGGACACCCACTATGTGCCAGGCTGGGAGGTGATCCCCTGAGGCAGGTGGCAGGTCCCACTCTGCTCTTGCCCCTGATTCCCAGCATGGTCCCCAGGCAGAGTAGGAGCCCCAGGAAATGTGCCCAAGGAATGAATGATCCCAGCACTAAGGAGATCACAGTCTAGGCATCTTGAAAGACTAAGAGACACAGGGAAGGGTAAGCTGACAGCAGGAAGAGCTTGTGCAAAGGTCCTGAGAACAGAGCACATGTCGGGGAGGGGATCCAAAGCTTGTCTAACAGGAGCCAGGGCTGCTGCCAAGAGCCCTGGGAGTGGGGAGAGAGCTGCAATGGCCAGTGTCTATTCCTCGAATGCCAGGCATGGTGCCATGTGCAGGGCATACGTGGTCCCTACCCTCATGCTGCCTGCAGACTCATGGTGAGAACATTAATCAAATACACCTTGACCTGGGGAAGCATTTAGTCACAATGCTGATGCCCTCCCTGGACAGGGCAGGACCCCGGCAGCAGGAGTGGCAGCCTAGTCCTCTTAGGACTGTCCCCTTGCCCCTGTTGCCCACCCTCCCTCCCCTGATGCTGTGCCCCTTGCTGCCAACAGCACGCACATTTGAAAACCTGGATGCCTGTGAGGTTCTCTTCTCCCCATCGCTGGCCACAGCTGCATCCCTGCTTGAGGTCAGTGCCTGGCCTCTCTCCCCTCCATGACTTCTGTCCCTCTGAAGGGTTGAGTTTAAGCTCATTGGGGGCTGGGATGTAGGAACCACATTGCTGGGACCCTCTGGTTTGGAGAGTTCTGTTCAATATGGAGAAGCAACCATGTGCAGGTCCTGTGCTAGGCACAGGTCCTGAAGGAGCTTCTGTGGGTATGGCAGGGCAGGTGGGGGCCCTGTGATGCTCTGGGCTATGTGACCCTGGGTGAGTCATCCCTGCCCTCTGGGCCTCAGTCTCCACATCTGGGCAAAGGGCACTGGTGTCCCTGGGTCAAATGCATTGAGTCTGTCTGTCTTTTAGCAAACACTTATTAGGGTTGGAAAACTGAGATGAATAAAGCCAGAGTCAGGGCTGGTCCTAGAAGGGACAGGTGACATGCTGGAGGGAGTTAAGCGGGGCTGTCAAGGAGAGAGAAGTTCCTTCCAGGCAGCACTGGGGCAGGTTTCCATGGCTAGGGAGGATTTGGCCGTGGGCCCTGGGGCAGGCGTGCTTAGTGGAGGCAGTGGTCTGGGCCAGGCCAGTGCCGGAAAGTGGAGGGATCCGGGTGTGGGTGGAGGGAGGGGCAGGCTGGCAGGTGAGCACCTGGGGTGTTGCCTGTACCAGGTGAACCCCCCAGACCTGATGAGCTGCCTGACTAGCCGCACCCTCATCACCCGCGGGGAGACGGTGTCCACCCCACTGAGCAGGGAACAGGCACTGGACGTGCGCGACGCCTTCGTAAAGGTGGGCTGGAGGGAAGGGGCCGCTTGCTCGCCCTACCCCTTGGGAAGTTGGGCTCTTGATGGGCAGGTGCCAAGGAGTCCTGGGAGGTGGGTAGACATCTGGGTCGCCACCCCTGCCTGCCCCGGGGCTGCAGTCGGCCTTCCTTGAGTCCCAGGTGCCCATGCTCCTCTGGGGCCTTCCCAGCTCTGGCCGCCCCAGGCCCTTGGCTTTTGGCCTGCTTTGGTCAGCCATGTTGTTCCCAGCCCAGGGATACTCTCTTTGGTCTCTTTGCAGAAGACACAGAAGAGGGGATCTAGGTCAGGTCCTGTTTCTACAACCACACGTTTGCCATTCATCGAGCCTTCACCCACCACACCAGGCCCTGGGCTGGGTTCGGGGACCTCAGAGATAAACAGGGTTGGACATAGAGATGAGAGCCCCAAGGAGGGCTCCTTCCCCTGCTGCATGGTCAGGGAAGGCTTCTCCAAGAGGAGCTGTTATCTCAACAGAGCCTTGAAAAATGTGTAGGAACTGTTCAAGCAGGAAAAGGGGTCTCCAGGCAGAGGGAACAGCTCAAGTAAAGGGTTGGGGGTTTCACACGGCACTTTGTTCCACACAAGGGCTGGAGCGACACCACGAAGGGTCCAGGAGCCTGGCCTGTCCCCCGGGGGAGGGTGTGGCTGGTGCCAGTGGCTGATCACTGCCTTTCAGGGGATCTACGGGCGGCTGTTCGTGTGGATTGTGGACAAGATCAACGCAGCAATTTACAAGCCTCCCTCCCAGGATGTGAAGAACTCTCGCAGGTCCATCGGCCTCCTGGACATCTTTGGGTTTGAGAACTTTGCTGTGAACAGGTACCGCGTGGGGCTCTGCTCATGGGAATTTCCTTCCCCAATATGGAAATAAGAAATATCACGTCTCTCCCTTGCGAAGCACATTTAGTTGGCTCCTGGCACACTCTGCCAGGCTGTTCCGTCATCACGGTGGACCCTCTCCCTTTCCTTCCCATCCCCTCGTGTCCCTCACCTCCTCAAGGTCAGCTGAGCCTGGCTGGGGTTGTCAGGAGGCTGTACGCATCCTGAACACTTGGGGAGGAAACCTCTGGTCTCCAGGACCCACTGGCCACTGCCGATCTGCCCAGATCCATGCTGCAAGGCGCCTCAAAGCAGGGAGGCCAGGCCTGTGCCACGCTTGTGTTGGGGTCTCCGCCACCCTTGGGATTCTGTGCCTTTTAGGGGCCGTGTGAGGGACTGATGGGTGGTGTCACATACAGGCGGGTCCTGGAGCCCCACTTCCTGCTGGAAAGTCAGGACCTGGCAAGTCATATCAGTTCCCTTGCTGTTTGGATGTCTCAAAGCCCTCCAGCACCAAAACACCCACACTCAACATACTGGGCTGTGTCCGTGGCTCGGCCATGTCTGCAGCCAGGGCTCTGTTTCCCAAGTCTTGTCAACCCCCTTCCCACCTCCCAAGGCCACTTTTGATGTCCCTGTATGGCCCACCAGCCAGCCTCTGGGGTCTTTCTCTCCCAGGCATCTGCCTGGGGTTTGGGTGCCCACCTGCCAATCCCCAGCCCTCCCCAGGGCTTGATCATGCCAGGGAAAGAGTCCTGAAAAGCCTTAGCTCTCCTTCTGGCTCACAGAGTGACCCTAGGCAAGTCCTTTGCCCTTGCTGGGCCTCCGTGTCCTCCTCTGCACCTGGAGGGAGGTGGACTTGACAATTCCCCTCGCCTCTGAGTTTGGAGTCCATGATGGGGATAGCTTGCTAATGGCCATGCTGCAGGTGGAGGCAGAGCCAGGCCCTGAACAGCATGGTGGGGCCTGAACAACACCCTTACCCCATCCCTGTGCCCCTGCAGCTTTGAGCAGCTCTGCATCAACTTCGCCAATGAGCACCTGCAGCAGTTCTTTGTGCGGCACGTGTTCAAGCTGGAGCAGGAGGAATATGACCTGGAGAGCATTGACTGGCTGCACATCGAGTTCACTGACAACCAGGATGCCCTGGACATGATTGCCAACAAGCCCATGAACATCATCTCCCTCATCGATGAGGAGAGCAAGTTCCCCAAGGTGGGCCGGTCCTGCTGCCGCCTCCCAGGGTCTTGGGTGCGCACAGCTTCCTTCCCTGCTTTGAGCCCCGGCTTTCCTCATCTGCAAAATAGGACTAATGATACCCACCTCTCAAGTTGGCTCAGGGGCCAATTCAAGTATAGGCATCTGCCATTTGGGAATCACCTACAGTCCATGGGGTTCTGGGCCAGGCCATGAAGATCCATGCATGCAGTTGGCATGGAATGGGTACTCAGGACACAGTGTATATCTCAGAGTTGGGGAGGGGGAGAGGGGATTGCACCCATGATTTTAATCTTGGGAAATCGATTGTCTAAACTGGAATGCACTTTCAAAGTTGTGTAGTTCCAATTCATCCACTTAACAGATGGGGAAATGGGGTTCCAGAGAGCGCCTATGTGAGGTAGAAATAAAAGGAGGGGAAGCTCCTGAAGAAGAGACAGGGGGCAAAGACATGGGCAGGGAGGGGAGTGGGGCCCATGGAGGAGAGGGTGGGCTCACAGCTGCCCCTCCACTCCCCAGGGCACAGACACCACCATGTTACACAAGCTGAACTCCCAGCACAAGCTCAACGCCAACTACATCCCCCCCAAGAACAACCATGAGACCCAGTTTGGCATCAACCATTTTGCAGGCATCGTCTACTATGAGACCCAAGGTACAGAGGGCTGCCGGCTGTCTGTCACTCCCTGCCCGTGGCCCTGCCTTCCCCTGCTCCAGCCCAGGAATAAGATATCCGGAATTTTAAAGATTTTTAAAAATTGTGATTATTCATATATATATATATATGAACTTGACTAAAATGGCCAAGTGTTGGATTCAGTGGCACTAAGTACTTCACAGTGCTGTGCATCCAGTACTGCTATCTATTTCCAGGGCTTTCTCACCGCCCCAAACAGAGGCTCTGCAAGCATGGGGCAGTAACTCCTTCCCCTACCCCCGGCCCCCTGTAACCTGTGTTCTACTTTCTGTCTGTGAGTTTGACTATTCTAGGTACCTCATATAAGTGGAATCATATGCTATGGCCATACATCGTTTAACGTCATTTCTGAGAATGTGTCGTTAGGCAATTTGGTCATTGTCAATCATTGTAGAGTGTAGTTATACACCTAGATGGTCCAGCCTACTACATAGCTAGGTTATCTGGTATGGCCTATTGCCCTCAGGCTACAGACCTGTACAGCATGTTCTTGTACTAAATACTGTAGGCAGTTGTGACAGAATGGTAAGTATTTGTGCATTTAAACATAGAAAAGGTAAAGTAAAAATACGTCATTACCATCTTAGCCACCACTATTGTATCTGCAGTTGGCTGAGATGTCATTCTGTGGTGAAGACGTGACTGTATTTGTCCTTTTGTGTCTGGCTTGTTTCATTCAGCGTAATGTCTTTAATTTTCATCCACGTTGTAGCATGTATCAATTGCCCTCATTTTTATGGCTGAATAGTATTTCGTTGTGTGGATAAACCTTTTGTTTATCCATTTATCTGCTAATGGACTTTTGGGGTTGTTTCTACCTTTTGACTTTTGTGAATAGTGCTGCTCTGAACACTTGTGTACAAATATCTGTTCGAGTCCCTGCTTTCAATTCTTTTGGATGGGCTCAATGCTTGTTTGCACATTTAGGGAAACTGAGGCTCAGAACAAGGTGGGGGGGGCTTGACTGTCCTTACCTGATACAACATAGCCCATTAGGCTCAAAGTCAGGCCTCGAACCAGCCCAGTTACCCCCTAAGACTCTCAGCAACAAGACCAAGCATGAGCTTTGAAGACCGTGCATCTTCTTTTCCCCTGGGGACAGGCAATTGGGTTCACGTTAAAGCTGGAAGTTAAGAAGAGTGGTCAGAACACAGGCTTATCTCACCTGGAATTCTTAAGGGTTTGTCAAAAGACTGCAGACTGCCCTTGCCAATCCCTCCCCACCCACCCTGGTGTAAAGGGCCAACCACAAATTGGCATTAGTTATGGGCTGTGTCTACCCTGAGCCCTGCCATACAGCCTCAAGGGGTCCCATGCATAGTCAAAGGCCAATTAACCCATAAATATCTATACCTACTATGTACCACAAAAAATTAAAAATTAATTTTTTTTTAAAAAAGGCCAAAGATATCCAAACATGCTATAACCCATCCGTTTCTTACTCCGTTGCTGAACTGGTCCAGAAGTCAGCAGTGTATCAGTGAGCCAGGCTGCAGTGGTAGAATCTGATGGCGGCTCAGATTCCCTTACAATATTGGACTGTGAGATCCAACCTTATTGTTGGAAGAAGGAAGCAGACATTAAGTTTGAAGGACTGTCACGCAAACAAATTGGTCTTTCATTTGGAGTAATAGAGGATTGTATTTCTCAGTTCAGTTCAACCAATATGCTCTTAGCATCTATTATGTACCAGGCTTCATGACGTTGCTGAGGATACAGAAGTGAAAATTGAATAATCTCTATGCTGAGTTGTAAAACTATAGAACGCCAGGTCTGGAGGGAACATAAGGGTCATCTACCTTAATAGAATTGGTAACTGAAGCCCAGAAAGGGAAATGGCTTGCCTAAGGTTGTTAAACAAGACTAAATGACTGGAAAGAATTCTACCAGCATTTTCTAGTTCACAAAGAACCTTTTCAATACAGCGTCTTATTTATGATGTGGATTTATGAAGTGGGTGGTATTAGGTGTTCTGAAGAGAAGCAAGCTTGTAGGCACTATCCTTCCCATCCAACAGTTAAGGAAACTGGAGTCCCAGAATGGGGGTCTTTCTAGGATAACATAGTGAGTCTGTCAGAGCTTTAGTGAGAACCCAATTACATCCCAACTGCAAAGCCCACCCTCCATTCCTGTGTGTCCCCTGCAACTCGCCCCTCCCCAGGTGCCAGGCGGGCAGCCTAGCACTGGATCTCTGTGCTGTCCGCCATTCATGGGCAGCCTATGTCCTGCTCTGTGCAGTGGCACTCCCCCTCTGGCATCTGCAGTCCTTGGACACCCCGTCTCTTGCCCCACTCTACAACCCCCTCCCCATTAACCAGTTTCCAACTCCTCGGTCCCTGTGAGTGGCAGCCTCCTCTGGGGTCTGTGTGGTGCAGGGGAATCTCCCTAGGCTCCTGGGGATCCTGGGTTCTGGGTGCAGAGAATCTCCTTTGCACCAGCGTCCTGGGTTCAAGTCTTAACTCTGCCCATGGCTTACTGTGTGACATTAGACAACTCACTTAGCTTCTCTGAACATCAGTTTTCTCCCTTTGGGGGCAGAGGAGGTAATCCCTACCTGTCCCACATAGAAGGAGCTGTGAGGGGTCTTCATAAAACATAACACACTGTCCAACCACAAGGTGGTTTTAATGAATTCCTTTAATATTAGCTTGTACCAGATCAACATGCATTCTCTCCCAGGTGACACACTTACTTAACAAGGCCTTTTGATATCTTAGTTCAAAAGACTCATGGTAGCTTTGGGGTGGTTGGTCAGGAAGGAGGCCTGCTTTCTCCTGGAGACTGAGACCCCCCTGCCCTTCTTGAACAGGCCTGGAAGAGGGGAGCTGTGTCACTGGGGAGATGGCCCCTCACTTTCTCTATGATCTTGGGCAAGTCTCTGTCCCCTCCAGGCCTCAGGGCCCCCGTCATGAAATGGATGTGGTGGAACTAGGTGGATTTTGAGGGTCCTCCTGGCTCAGATGTTATGGGTTTGGGGAGGGCCTGCCAGAGCTGGTGAGAGGTGACTGCTGTTTGCTGCTTGCAGGCTTCCTGGAGAAGAACCGAGACACCCTGCATGGGGACATTATCCAGCTGGTCCACTCCTCCAGGAACAAGTTCATCAAGCAGATCTTCCAGGCCGATGTCGCCATGGTAAGCCGGGTGCGGTTTCTGTTGTTCGGGAAGGGCCCCCACGGGCCAGGCCTGAGTCTAAGCCCTGCCCTTGTCCAACAGCTTCAGCTGAGCCCCCTGGCCACATAATGGGTATGGAGCTTTGCTGTGGCTCCAGGAGGGGCCTGGAGGGGCCTCAAAGGTGTTCCCATCTGGTCCTCTTATTGTACTAACTGGGGATATGGCTGGGGTGCAAGGCCCAGAGAAGGGTCACCTGAGAGGTCACAGAGCAGAACCGGTCAGGGATCGGTTTACTGTGGGGGTTCACCCCCTGGAATCCAGCTGCTAAAGAGAGCATGGGCAGAAAGAGCACATCCAGCTTGAAGGATGTGGGGTGGGTGTGGATACTCAGAGAAGCTGGCACAGAGGGCATGTCTGTGCCAGCCCCAGACCCCATCAGACAGTGGGAGAACAGCCCCCTCCGCCTTTCCTTAGGCCCTAGGGTGAGGGTCTAGTGGATTTTTTCCTGCTGGGTTGCATGCCTTTTTATTTCATATTTTCCTCCTGTCCCATGGCTTCCTGGAGGGTGCATGAAGTCCTCACGCAGAAGACAGTCCTTGCCCCTTCCATGCCTGTCTAGGTGCCTGGCTGTCCCCTGCCCTCAGGACCACCAAGGCATCACAGAGCTTCCAGGACCCCAGACCTCTCCCTGAGGGTCCCCCTCTCTCCATGGTGGATTTTGAGTGGTTTTGTGACCCACCACATTCTCCTTGCCCCTCCTCTCCCCATCTCACCCTGCACCGTGGTTCCTGTTGTAGTTTCTCTGTGGTTATTCATCGGGTACTCTGCGCCACTCAGCAGCTGCTGCGAAGGTAAAAGACCCCAGCCCGGGGCTGAGGATGGCGGGAGAGGCCTCAGCGGCCTGGGTGGGGCTTGGTCCCGAGCTCCCACTGTGCTGAGACTCGGGAAAAGGGCTGGGCTTTTTCTCCTTTTTTTTGGAGTGTGTTTTTGTGTGGAGTGGTTTGTGGAGTGATTTTTGTGTTTGGTTTTTGAGTTGTGTGTGCTGCAGGCATTTCTTTCTTCAAGGAGGAAACTGAGTCCTAGGAGAGGGGCAAGGCTTGCCCAGGGTCCTCTGGGAACCGGGGACAGAGTGGGGACTCGAACGCAGGTCTCCTAAGGCCCCTTGGAGGCGTCAATCCCCGGTCCTTCCACCAGGCCCTGGTGGGCGCCTATGGCCATGCCTTGACCAGATCCTCAGATAACCTTGCAAGGCAGGAGGGACAGGTAGCATTTTCTGCATTTTGCAGATGAGAGACTGAGGCTGAGAGAGGGGATATGACTCATTCCAGGTAACAGCATTCTGACAGGGAGCTGGGACTAGGAGACACCATTCCCCGGACCTCCTTAGGTCTGAAACAGCAGCCCTGTTGCATCCTGAACTCTGGTTCAGGCCGTGGCTCCCACGGTGCTCTAGACCCCAAAGGTGCTGGGTACCCCTTAGCAACAGCATGGTGCTGCCAACCCCTTTGCCTCCTTTTCTCTCCTCAGCCCTCCATTTCCTCTCTGCCAAATACTGACATCCTTCCACTTTGGCCTGGTGCTGAGTCCTTCTTCCTTCCTGCCTGCCTGGCAGAGTTCTGAAACAATCCACACACCCCCAGCAGTAGACAGGGCATGTCAGGAGCAAGGAGCTTGTCTGGATGGTGGCCTCTCCCCTCTGCCCACAGATCAGCCCTGGAAGAACCTCCCGCCCCCACTCACCCTGACAGACCAACACTGTAGGCTGGCCGACTGCTGGGGTGCACACAAGGCCAACCTGAGAGAGGGGAGTCCCAGGCACTCGAAGCACTGGCACCCAGGAGAGTCCCCACCCGAAAGCCCTGTGCTGTAAGGTGGCTGTACTGCTGAGACGGGCGTAGCTCTGGCCTCTCCCACTCTTTCCTCTTCTCCTGTAGCCCTGCTGGCCCCTCGCTGGGCCCATCCATTCCTCCTGGTCTTGGGCATACTCTGGTTAAACCCCATCTTCCCCTCCTACCCGTTCTTCTCTCTCCTCTGTCTTTTCAAAGCTCCTTGAGGCATCTGGGAACACTCCATGATATTTCCTGCTCGAGTTTCCTACTCCTGGGATTAGAACCCACTTACTGAGAAATCATGGAGAGGTCAAAGTGCAGGAGCCCAGAGTCTCCAGAAATGGCCCCCTCCAGAAGAAGTTTTAGGAACAGAGAATTAGGATACAACAGTGACCAATCTGATACCAGTTACATCTACTGGGCACCTCTTCTGAGCCAGGCTATGAGCTAAGCACTTATATTTATCACCTCATTCACTCCCCACTGCAACCTGGCGAGTAATTACTATTACTCCCACTTTACAGGTGAAGAACTGGGGCCCAGGCTGGGTGTGGTGGCTCACACCTATGATCCCAGCACTTTGGGAGGCCAAGGCAGGAGGATTGCTTAAGGCCAGGAGTTCAAGACCAGCCTGGGCAACATAGTGAGACCCTGTGTCTACAAAAAAATTTAAAATTAGCTGAACATGGGGGTGAGCACTTGTAGTCACAGCTACTTGGAGTGGGGGCTGAGAAAAGACAATTCCTTGAGCCCAGGAGTTGGAGGCCGCAGTGAGTTGTGACTGTGCCACTGCACTCCAGCGTGGGTGACAGAGTGAGATCCTGTCTCTAAAATTTAAAAAAAGAAAGAAACTGGGGCCCAGAGAGGCCAAGGTGCTCACTGAGGTCACATACCTTGTGACACAACAGGGATTCGAGTGCAGGCCTGCCTCAGGGACTTGTCTAAGGCCATATACAAGCGAGGGCTAAAGTGAAGTTTTCCAAGTCCCTGCTTTTTAAAAAATAATTTTAATTTTTAAAAATTTACTGTGCTGTCTCCATAAACGTCACATCTTAGGAAAGAAAACATACTTCGTAACTGCTAGAAACACGATGGCTTTTTAAAAGGAAGATGAAAATCAGCTTGGTTAATTGTGAGACATTAAGTCACAGTTTATTCAATGACAGTGTACTAGTGTGGCAATGCTCCCATCAGGATGGAAGCCCACGCCACCTCTTGCAGTGAGTGATCTGCACTCCCATCATCGGCAGATCCCCGAGCCCTGAGTTTTCAGCCTTTGACTCCTACATCTGCCTCCCTGGGGCAGCCGTGGGCAGCCCCACCACAGCCCTTGCTGGTGAAGGGCCCAGCCCAGCTGTGATAAAGGCAGCTCTTCTAGGATATTGAGTAGCCCCTGATTAATGCCTAAGCCCAGTCATATGTCCTGGGGCCCTGAGCCCAAGAGACACCTATTCACTCTATGCAGGTGGCCTCCTGCCTGAGACTTCCCAGCCCCTTTCATGTCACGCTCTGGGGTCTTCCTCTCAGATCCTTTCTGGGGAGCATTTGACATTGGCCTTTGAACTTTTCACTTCCACCTTTACCCCATCCCCATCTGCAGATTATCCCAGAAAACAGCAAATACCAGGAAGGACAGCCTTTCCCCCCAATGAAATAAAACCAAATCAGAAACCCAGATGGCTACCTACAAACCTTTATTGAGTACCTACTATATGCCAGGCATTGTCATGGGTCTTGGGGACGTAGCAGTGAATAAAACAGAAAAAGTCTCTGTCCTTATGGAACTTAAGTTCCAGCAGAAGAGTGGATAGTTAGAAAGCCAAGGCCAGGTGAAGTGGCTCACACCTGTAATTCCAAAACTTTGGGAGGCCGAGGTGGGCAGATTGCTTGAGCTCAGGAGTTCAAGACCAGCCTTGGCAAAATGGCAAAATCCCATCTCTACAAAAAATATAAAAATTAGCTAGGCACAGTGGTACACACCTGTAGTCCCAGCTATTCAGGAGGCTGAGACAGGAGGCCGAGTCTGGGAGGTCGAGGCTGCAATGAGCCAAGATCGTACCACTGTGCTCCAGCCTGGGCGACAGAGTGAGACCTTGCTTCAAAAATAATAGTAAATAGATAGAAAGCCAATAAATAAGTAAAACCTGCAGTGTATCAGATGGTGAGATGTAGTATGGGGAAAGATTAAGGAGGGAGGAATGCGGCGGTGGGACTCTGTGATTTTCAGTGGTGTGGTGGGTGCGGTCAGGAAAGGCCTGCCTGAGAAGCTGAGCAGGAGGTGAGGAAGAATGTGCCCAGCCACATTCCAGAGGAAGGGCTTTGCAGGGAGAGGGGACAGCAAGCACAGATGCCCTGAGGTGCTTTGCAAGCCTATGCCTGCATCCCAGGTGCACCTCAGGCAGGGCAAGGAGGCTGGAGGGGCTGGAGGGGAGGGAACAGGTGTTACAAAGACCAGAGGCCCCTGGGACTAGCTCCTTTGGGGCACTGTGGGTCCCTACAAGGACCTGTGCCTTCATGCGAGTGAATCAAGGAGGCGGTGGAGGGTTCTGGGTGGGGAAAGGATGTGATTTTGTTCCTCACTTGGACTGCTGTGTTGAGAGTGTAAGGGTCCCAGGCACTCAAAGCTCCAGCACCCAGAAGAGTCCCTGTCTGAAGGCCCTGTGCTGTAGGGTGGCCACGCTGGTGAGACAGGTGTGGCTCTCGGCTGTCCCACTCTTTCCTCTTCACTAACTCCCCAGTCCCAGGGGAGGTTGGCCTGGAATGTGGGGGATGGAAGCAAAGAGACGAGTTGGGGGGTTGCTGCAGGAATTTGAGAGCAATGCTGGTGGCTGGGACCAGGCTGACGGTGGAGGAAGTGGTGAGGGGTCAGGTTCTGGAGATATTTTGAAAGTAGAGCCTGTAGGATTTGCGGATATATTAGATGTGACAGAAGAGGCACTGAGGACAGTTGCTAGATGTTTGGCTGGAGCAACGGGAAGGTGGGCAATTTCTGTGAACCCATGGATGTCACTAGGAACCAGTTCAACAGCACTTCAGTAGATCAAAGTGTTGACTGTTACTTGTGTCATGTAGGCCCTGGCCATGCAGCAATAAAGAGGCAGACGCATCCTGTCCTCATGGGGCTCCCAGCCCAGCAGGGAGGACGGGCAGAAAGCAGTCGTTTTATTGTGATGACCAAGACCAAAGAAGGGTGTGCGTGCGCGTGTGTGTACACGCGGTGGTATGCGTGTGCTCCTAGTGGCGTGTGTATGTGCATGCTGAGGTTGTGTGTGTGTTGTGTGTGTGTGTGTGTGCATGCGTATGCGTGTACTCATGTCAGGGGCCCTAATGCAGGCTGGGTACAGCCCAACTTGGACAGCTCCCCTCCAGTGACCGGGGTCACCCGGTGCTGCTGCTGGATCAAATTGAGGACAACGCCAGGGGCCACAGATCTGACCACCACCCTACCGCATTGCAAATACTCCCCAGCTTCTCTGGGCAAAGTCCTAGAATATATTCCAAATACAATGCAGTTGGAAAGCATTGCAGATTTCAGAATCGCAGGCACTGGCTCTTTCTCGGAAGGCCTCATCACAGTCTGGTGGCATAGTACCTAAATTGAGTATGAGCACAACACCTTTGTCCCCCCAAATACCTCACATATCTACATCTACACCCCTGGTTTTTGATGCTACAGGATATCAGATGAAATGATGACTCTAAAAATATAAAAATCTTGCAATATTAATCAAATGAAGTCAAGTAAAATAAGAAATTCTCAACCAAATGAAAATTGCCAGGAAAACACTAATCAAGATGCTTTGGAACAAAACCTAAGCTCTGTGTCCAGTTCCCATCAGTCCTGCCATTTGGCTTCCTGTTTGTTTGCGGCTCAGGGCTTCCCCCACCTCATTTCACAGTATTCTCAGAGGGGACCCCAGTAGGGCAGGGAGGCGCAGGGGGCTCGCTGGCTGCCAGGATCGCCCAGGTGTGGCTGGTGGAGCACAGAACCCCTGGCTGCGTCGGAGCCACAGTGCGGGGGGTTAGGAGGAGGCTGCTTGTGTGCCTTCTTAGGAGGATTAGCCAGGCCTGCCCCGCCCCCAGCCTGCTGCTGCCGGCTAAGCCTGGGAGGGGAGAGGTCACCGGCAGCTCCCGCCCCTCCTCCTCGCGCTTGCCCACAGGTTTCCAGAAGGCGGCACCACCTTTCTAGGTTGCTGTTTACTGAAATATGCCCTGACCTCTGACCCTTGTCACAGCCTGGTCAGATGGATAGATGGCATCACCTCCACTTAGGAAACTGAGGCTCTGCAACATTTAGTGACCTGCCCAAGGGCACACAGCTAGGAAGTGGTGGGCCAGGGCTTGAATCTAGGTTCGTCTAACCCCTGTCTCTAGAGATGACCTCAGTGTCCTGAGGTGACCAAGTCCGATTACTCCTTTATACAGGGAAGGGAGGGATGAGACTCAGGGGCTGCCCCTTGCTCAGAGTTATCCAGCGCACCAGGTGCAGGGGCAGGCTTGAGACTCCCAGTGCGGAGATCTTCCTGTAGGGTTCACTTCCCCCTCGCCCAGAGGTGGTAACTTTGGAAGTCCTGGGAGGCTTCCTGGAGGAGGTATCTGGAGTCCAGGCTCCAGCTCAGAAGGTGGGGAGAGGCAGTTTGCAGGAAAACTTCAAATACCGCCCTGTCCCTCAAACCCTGACCCCGCTGACCTCCCCTCCCGCTTCCTACTGGGCGGCTCCTGGGACACTGGATGGGGCAGGCACAGCCCCTCCCATCGCTGCCGTCCGTCCCCCCAGGGCGCCGAGACCAGGAAGCGCTCGCCCACACTTAGCAGCCAGTTCAAGCGGTCACTGGAGCTGCTGATGCGCACGCTGGGTGCCTGCCAGCCCTTCTTTGTGCGATGCATCAAGCCCAATGAGTTCAAGAAGCCCATGGTGAGTGGCCCTGGCCTGGGGTTGGCGGGTGGCGGCTAGGGTGACGTGGAGGAGCTAGGTCAAGAATAAGGTAGGGTGGGAGTGAAGGATGTGAGACTTTGTCCCTTTGGGGAATGGGGGGCACCCCGGGAGCTTACAAAACAAGGCCCCCTATTTATTGGAGGCAGCAGGTGCCTTGGAAAGAGCCTAGACTCTGCGGGGGGTTGCAGCAGGTTCAGATCCTGCCTCTACCATGTACAAGTGGGCGACTGCAGACAAAGCAGTTTCTTCTCTTATGCCTCAGTTTCCTCATAGATGGAAACGGGACTGACCGTATCTACCTCCTAAGGCTATTCCATGCAGTAATGCTTGCAGATGCCCACACCCAGCAAGTGCCCAGTGATTGGCAGCTGTGGTTCTTGCTGGGGCTGCTTCTTTGAAAGTCCCCTTCTCCTTTGGCCCAGCTCAACCACCACCTCCTCCTGGAAGCCTCCCCCATCTCTTCAGCTGGTTGGGATATCCTCATTCTTGACTTTTCTGAATAACATTTGTTGGGCCCTTTCTGTGTGCCCAGCATAGGCTGGATGGTCAGTCCACAGCCTCCTTCAACCTTCTCAAACAGCCCGTGAGAAAGGGACTGTGCTGGTCCCAGGTTAGAGATGCGGGACTGGGGGCTCAGGGAGGTTAAGGGGCTCAGGCTGGGGCCACCTCGCTGCGAGCCCTCTCCTTTCGCAGCACAGGCTCTGGGAGGGTTGTTTACCCAGAGGCCTGCAGGGAGGCACAGGGGGAAGCTGGGGCCTCGGGATCTGGGGAGGGAAGGAAGGCCGGGGAAAGTGGCCCGGAGAGAGAGGAAACAGTCTCCGGAAGCTGACAGGCTGCAAGACCGTCCCCTCCTGCTGCCTCCTGCCTGGAAAACATGTCCCAGAGTGGATGAGGCCTGTCCCCTTTAGGACTCAGGTCTGCAGGGGCCTGAGGGTCGCAGAGGGCTCCAGTGAGCTCTCCCTCTAATGCAGGGGGTGCAGGGGACTGACACCAGGGCAGTCGGGCACAGTCTTCCCTGGCTCTGAAGTGGGACCCTTCCCTCGGCCCAGTCCTCAGCATCTGTGGACTGGGCCTTGGCAATAGCCTCCTCAAGGGTCTCCTGCCTCCCTTGCCTCCTGTCCTGCCTCCCCTGGCCCCCAGTGACATTGTTCTCAAATGCAGACCTGGCCCAGTCTCTCCCTGCTCTAAAACTTCCCTGGCTTCCAGCATCCATGGATGAGGCCCTCACAGAGCCCCACAGCCTCACAGCCCAGCACCTGCCTTCTACTCTTTCTCCCCAGCCCCTCCACCAACCAAACCCCAGGGCCCTTTGAAAAATGTGCCTCTTCCTTAAGGCAGCTAGAAAGTTGTCTGAATAACCGCAGATCTACAATACCTGCAACGTGAAAGGTCCTCCCTGGGGCTGTGCAGAGCACCCCTCACCTGCACAGCCATAACTTGGCCTGGACGAGCCTCTCTAGCTCCCTCAAGATTCCCAGCAAAGTCCTGCGCTTTCAGGCTTCCAAACCTTTGCACAGGCTCACCCCCTCCAGCCTTGGAATACTCCCCCTCCTGTCAGGGTTAGGGTGATAAAGACGCCTCCTCCATGAAGCTCCCCACTTGGGTGTCCCAAGGGGAATTAATCTGTCTTCTCTGTGCTCCCAAAGCACACAGCTCCACCACGACAGGCCTCACTTTATGCTCTTTTGTGGATTTGAGCTGCAGATCCCGGTGCCTGTCCCAGCTTTGCTCCTCCCATGCCGTGTGGACTTGGCCTTTCTGAGCCTTTGTCTGGGTTGGTCAAGTGCACAGCAGGGCTGCCTCCCAGCAGGAGCCTTGGCCCTGATGCCCTTGGCTGTGTGCCTGGCAGCTGTTCGACCGGCACCTGTGCGTGCGCCAGCTGCGGTACTCAGGAATGATGGAGACCATCCGAATCCGCCGAGCTGGCTACCCCATCCGCTACAGCTTCGTAGAGTTTGTGGAGCGGTACCGTGTGCTGCTGCCAGGTGTGAAGCCGGCCTACAAGCAGGTACAGGGCTGAGTGCACAGAGGGCAGGAGGGGAGGGTCCCAGCTTTGGCTGGGCAAGGGTCCCAATTTTCTTATCAGGACCATGGGCGGGGCTTGACATCTGCTTGACCTCTCAGGTGCAGCACGGAAAATTGGGGTTCAGGTATTGGAATGCATCAGTGGGCTTCAGTTGCCATGTTCAGCTGGTGAGGACTTCACACATGGTGGTGTAAGGAACAAGACCAGGGCTGCCACGCGGGCCCTGGATGTCAGTTGTGAGAAAGGGTTTTGCAATCATACCATCCAGCTGAGCTAAGGAGAAAACTGGGGCTCAGAGAAGGCAGGACCCAGCTGAGGTCACACTTCGAGTCAGGGGCAGAGCTCGGGAAGAGCCCTGCCTCTCAGCCTCGGGGACACTCCGGAGGCCTTCCCACTGGAGAGGCTGTCCATTCCCTTGTGTTCCCCATCCTCACTCCAGGGCGACCTCCGCGGGACTTGCCAGCGCATGGCTGAGGCTGTGCTGGGCACCCACGATGACTGGCAGATAGGCAAAACCAAGATCTTTCTGAAGGTGAGCACAGATGCCTTCCCTGGGCTGCCCTGGGGGGGCTGTAAATTCCCATGATGTGGGCTGGGGTGCTCGGGAGAGGGAGGCAGTGCTGGGGCTTTGAGATCCTTTCTGCCGGGCTGTGGTGTGGCTGGAGGAGCAGGTGGGATCTGGCCTCTCTGGTGGGGAAGGGTAATTTGGTGTTTGAGATCATCTACAACCTGGGAGTGGGGTCAGAGCACTGACCACAGGTTACAAAGCACATGCCAGGGGCGGGCTGGCTGTTAGGCCCACAGCAGGGAGGCAGGGGTGCTGCTTGCCTTGGGGCCCTTTCTGAGCCTCATTTTCCCATCTGTAAATTGGGGTGTGCCTGTGTGGGGTCTCTTGAGTGTATCTTTAGGTTCCTTCCTGTGGTTTCCTGCCTGGCAGGGCCCATCCCGTGCTGGGGTCCGCAGCATGCCACCTGTCCGTCACTCTGTAGGGAGCTCAGCTCCCATTGCTGCCTGGGCAGCTGGGGAAGGAAGCAGGAAGCAAGGCCTGCGGGAGTCGCGGAGTCACAGCCTTGGAGACATGGCTGGGAGCTGGCAGTGGCAGGGCAGCCGCAGCAGGGACAGTGCGAGCTCCCAGTGCTGGGCTTCCCCATTTGCATTTCCGCTGTGCTAGATTTCTGGCTGTCCCGGATGACAGGGCTCCTTCCTCTGGTGTGGGGGGTGGGGCCTGGGCACTCCAAGGACAGCTGCAGGAGGGACAAGAACCAGCTCCGAACTGGAGGGAGCCTGCGGCCTCTTCTAATTCCTCTCCAGCCAAGGGGCTTCAGGCTAGGCCCTTTCTCTCCTTGCACCTGCATTTCCTCATCAGCAAGATGTGATGAATGTTCCCTGCCTGTGCCTCCCACAGCTGTCAGCCAGAAAGCACATTCCATGTGCCAGGCCCTGGGTGGGTGCTTTTCATCCATGAGCTCATTTAATCCTTGAAACAGTCCTGTGGAGAAGGAAATATTATACCCATTTCACAGGCTCAGAGAGAAGTGAGTTGCCTGAAACCAGGCAGCTAGGAAGCAGGGAGCAGGACTTCTAGTCTGGGAAGGTCTGATGCCCAGCCCCTGTGTGGGCAAAGTGGGGAAGGCAGGAATCATGATGGCATCTAGTACCAGGGAACTCGGAGGAGCTCCATCAGCCCCTGACTTACACTGCTAGGCTCTTCCGATATGGCCTTGGTTTTGAGAGGCCAAACATGCTCATTCATCCATTCATTCATTCAGAATGCCTCGGCTGAGCATCTCCTCTGTCAGGGCCCTGTGTGTCTGTGATTATCTGATGGATTTGGCTCCCTCATGAGACTCTACCCTCCCCAAGGGCAGGGGCCATGTCTCCCTGGTTCATTGTGGCAGCCCCTCCCCTCCCCAGCATCTAGCACAGTGCCAGCACATGGAGGTGTTCAATTCATATATATTAAGTGAACCAATGAAGTTTTGTCCAACTACAGTGAGGGTTGGGGTCTTGGATGAGGAGGAGAGAGGGCTGAAAAAGTTGGCAGACACCCTGGATCATGGGTGGCCTTGAATGCCAGGGTGAGGAACCCAGGCTCGACGTGGGGAACCATGAGGTGTCACTGTAGGGTCACCATCCAGGTTGTGTTGAGGAGGGTCCCTCTGGCTGCTTGTGAAGGAGCGCCAGAGAGGGAGCCAGGAGGCCGCGAGACCTTTAGTTAGGAGGCTGCTGCCAAGGTTCGGGAGAAGAATGGCAACAGCCCAGCCCAGGTGAGGGACTGATGTGACAGGGACGTCTAGAAGCAGGGGGCTTGGGCAGATTGACGATAGGGAAGAAGCTGGTGTGTGTGCATACTGGGCCTTCCGACCCCATCCAGAGAGATTAGGCACCTTCTGCTCCATTTGTCCTGCCTGGACCTCTGGGAAACAGCCACAACCCCTGTCTGTCCTGGTGGCTGTGGGAGGCTGCCCCAGGGGCCAGAGCCAGCTGGGAGCTCATGGGGCCCAACTGAGTTCTTGACCTGTGCTCCCAGTGAAGGAAGAGCAGCCCCCACTGGGACTGAGCAGGTGGTCCTAGAGGAGACCTTGTGGGGCGCTGCTCAGGAGCTCTGCCTCCTAGGACCACCATGACATGCTGCTGGAAGTGGAGCGGGACAAAGCCATCACCGACAGAGTCATCCTCCTTCAGAAAGTCATCCGGGGATTCAAAGACAGGTGCGTGTTCCCACCAGCTCCTCCCCTCCTCAGCCCACATACAGGTGTACGTGTGGTGTTTGGCTCTCCTCTGCTCTGCCCGCATGAACACTAGGAAAAAAACGTGTTCACCTATGAAACAAGTGCACACATGCATGGCATGCACACATGATCATGTAAACACAGAGGAACATAGATACATGATTTACATGGACCCATTGTGCCACGTAAGCCAAATAATGCAATACATTCACCTACATATGCACATGCACACGTAGATACATGAGACTCACATGTGGACCCACTGTTCATGTCAGATGCTGATGAAATTTTGCAAAGAGGAAATTTGAGATTTTATAAATTATTAATACAAAATGTGTCTCATATTCTATCTAAGGGATATGTGTACACGTGACAATTCACAAATGTGCAGGACTGACTCCAAAGTGTGATTAAAGCTCTGCAAAAATTCCACAATGCACCCCTTTGCAGTTCATATGGTCACTCTCTCCCTTCTTCCACTCGTCCACCCACCTACCTATCCATCCGTCCGTTCACCCACCCACCTACCCATCCATCCATCCATCCATCTGCCCACCTATTCACCCATCCATCCATCCATCCATCCACCCGCCCACACACCCACCTAGTCACTCATCCATCCACCTATCCACCCACACATTCATCCATCAATTCACCCACCAACCCATCCACCATCCATCCATCCACCCACCCACCCATCCATTCACTCATCAGTCCACCCACCCATCCACCTACCCATTCATTCCTCCATTCATCCATTCACCCACCCACTCCCACAGTTGCTCATTTGCTTATGTGTGTCTCCAAGCATTGACTTATTGGCTCACTTGCATACTTGCACACCCATCCTTCGCTCTTCCTTTATTTATTTCTACATTCAGCAGACCCCTGCTGTCTGTGCATGGTCTCTGTCCTCTATCAGGCTGAAGATGACTGTTCTCCTATAGAAGCAGCCTGCTGTGTGCAGGGGGAACAGCACTGGGCTCACTTAGGGTCAGTCAGAAGACATGGGCTCTAGTCCCAACCTATCAAGTCTCAGTTGCCTCATGTATAAACTGAGGAAGTTAGACTGTTCAAAGCTTTTGATCTTTATATTATTTTAATTACTTATTTTTTCATACATTTATTCATTCAACAAATACCTTTTGAATGTCTACCTTCATGGGCTTATGTGACAGGCCTGTGGGGCAGGCAGGGCAGGCATTATTCTACACATTGTACGGATGAGGAAGCTGAGGCACAGAAGTTATGTGCCTTGCCCAAGGTCATATAGCTAGGAAGTCACAGAGCTGGGACTCAGCGTGCCCTCCTGATCCCAAACCCACCTGTACCCTGGCTGCCTCTGGACACTGCTCACCCGCGCCACTACTGCTGTTTCAGGTCTAACTTTCTGAAGCTGAAGAACGCTGCCACACTGATCCAGAGGCACTGGCGGGGTCACAACTGTAGGAAGAACTACGGGCTGGTGAGCCTCCCCATGGGCTGCTCTTGCCCAAACAGGCCTTTGAACCCAGCCTTGCTGCCATGGCAGTGGGACTGGCCTGCACCCAGGCAGCACAGCCTGGCCTCGTTGGCCTCCTGCCACTGCCCTGGCCAGCCACTACCATTCCTCCAGACCGAAGTCTGGATCTGGCTCTTGTGGCTTCTTCCAACTGGCCAGCAATGTTTGTTGCTCTCCTTCTGGAGTGTTTTTGGGGGTTGGGAGCACTCTGGGATTATTAGAGATCTCAGACAGGGTGAGAGTGGCTGGGTCACATGGACCTCTGTGCAGCAGCTGGGCTTAGGACTTGTTGGGGCTGGATGGGAAGCAGACTGGTTGGTTGCAGCTCCTGATCTAGGATTCTCTTGGGGGCCCCAACTCAGGGAGAGTCAAGGTCACCTAAAAATATGTTGCCTGAGAGGAAACAGAACTTTCTAACGATGGGGGGGCACTAATCTGAGAGGAGACTGGGCCACGCCTTCTGGGGGTGCCTGTCTGAGAGTGGAGGCCGGTGCCATGGAAGCTCCTGCAGGCAGGGTCAGTCTGGAATGGGACAGCAGGCTCTGAGCATGGGGTGGCTGTCCTTGCAGATGCGTCTGGGCTTCCTGCGGCTGCAGGCCCTGCACCGCTCCCGGAAGCTGCACCAGCAGTACCGCCTGGCCCGCCAGCGCATCATCCAGTTCCAGGCCCGCTGCCGCGCCTATCTGGTGCGCAAGGCCTTCCGCCACCGCCTCTGGGCTGTGCTCACCGTGCAGGCCTATGCCCGGGGCATGATCGCCCGCAGGCTGCACCAACGCCTCAGGGCTGAGGTGAGGGAGCAAGTCCATAGCACCCACAGCTCTGACCCCTGGGCGAGGAGTGTCCATGCATCACCCTCAGGTGTTGGCCAGGAAGTGGGACCTATAGGGGGGACCTGCAGTTATGCCTGCTCTGAGGAGTGCACATACCTGGGACCAGACCCTCATTTCCATCCTCTCAGCCAAGGGCAGGGCTGGGACCTCAGTCACTCTTGGGAATCTCTGGGAGACCGACGCAGATCTGGCCGGGCTTTAGGATCAGTGGTGCCTCCAGCCCGCTGGGTGACCTAGAGAATTTCTTGATTACCTCACTTGTCCTATCAAAGTCATGCCCAGTTCCAGAACTCAGAGTTGGGTGGGTGGAGCTGGTGGGAATCCCTGCAACAACAGCTACACACATTTCCATGCCCTCTGGATGCCCCCTTCCCTCAGTATCTGTGGCGCCTCGAGGCTGAGAAAATGCGGCTGGCGGAGGAAGAGAAGCTTCGGAAGGAGATGAGCGCCAAGAAGGCCAAGGAGGAGGCCGAGCGCAAGCATCAGGTGAGCTGAGAGCCTCCAGGCACCTTAGGTGTCCACTTGCTGGCTTGTCCCCTCCCCGAGGCTGGCTTCTCATCTGTCACCCGGTGCTGCAGCCTTCCTTCCATCCTTCAGAATGGCCACACTAGACCCACTCAGCCAGCATTGCCTGAGCTCTCGCTGGGCACCTGGTCCTGTGCCATGCAAAAGGATGAAGGGCTGTGGTGGCTCCAGAGGAAGAGGCCCAGGCCCTCAGCAGCCCCTTTCTAGTTGTTGAGATAACACCCTGGTAAAAGCACAAGCCAGCTGACGGCACGAGGGTGCTACACTGCCCAATAGAGAGCCACCAGCCACAGTGGCAACTGAACACTTGCAGTGTGGCCTGTCCGAATGACACAGTGCTTTAAGTGTGAAATACTAGATTTTGAAGATTTGGTGGGGGAAAAATGAATATAAAATATCTCAGTATTATTTTTATAATATGGATTACATGCTAAGTTAATATTTGGGAAATATTGAGTTAAATATACTGCTAAGACTAATCCCACCTATTCCTTTTTGCTTTTTAAAACGTGGCTACTATATGGGTGGCTCACATTGTATTCCTATTGGGCAACACTGGTCTAGAGCCTCAAGCCAATGGCCGTGGGATGTCTGGGTTGGTGTGGTCCCCATGGAGCAGGCTCCTGGAGGAGGTGGCTCCCTGAGAGCCCTGAAGGACGGGCAGGATTGTTATTTGGCTTGTTGAGAGGCCTCTGAGTGGTCCAGAGGTGGGGAAGTCAGAGGCTCCATTCTTCCCAGCGGTCAGGAGGTGGGGACTGAGGCCCTGGCTGCTGCAGGGGCTCCCCAGGGAGAGCTTGTTCCCTGAGGCTGTGGCACCGGGGGCTGACCCCGTGTCTTCTGTGTCACCCCAATTGCCCAGGAGCGCCTGGCCCAGCTGGCTCGTGAGGACGCTGAGCGGGAGCTGAAGGAGAAGGAGGCCGCTCGGCGGAAGAAGGAGCTCCTGGAGCAGATGGAAAGGGCCCGCCATGAGCCTGTCAATCACTCAGACATGGTGGACAAGATGTTTGGCTTCCTGGGGACTTCAGGTGGCCTGCCAGGCCAGGAGGGCCAGGCACCTAGTGGCTTTGAGGTACCAGGCTAGGGACAGGGGCTCCAGAGGCCCACACACACCGCTTGTGTTGATCCTCCCTCCTTCTGTGCCCTTGGCCTTAAAGCCCACCCAGTCCCTCTGAACAGTGGGGAGCAGAGATGAACTGGGTCCGGGCTGCAGGTCCCAGGTCCTGTCCCTCTCCAACGCCCTTCTCAAGTTTTTTTTTTTGTTTTTTTTTTTTTTTTTTTTTTTGAGATGGGGTCGTACCCTGTTGCTCAGGCTGGAGTGCAGTAGCGTGATCACAGCTCACTGCAGCCTTGAACTTCTGGGCTCAGGCGATCCTCCCACCTGAGCTTCCTGAGTAGCTGGGACTCCAGGGCATACCTCTTGTCTCCTTCAGGACCTGGAGCGAGGGCGGAGGGAGATGGTGGAGGAGGACCTGGATGCAGCCCTGCCCCTGCCTGACGAGGATGAGGAGGACCTCTCTGAGTATAAATTTGCCAAGTTCGCGGCCACCTACTTCCAGGGGACAACCACGCACTCCTACACCCGGCGGCCACTCAAACAGCCACTGCTCTACCATGACGACGAGGGTGACCAGCTGGTAAGGCCTGCCTGTCACTAGGTCACTGCTGGGTGGGGCCAGGGCTGGGGCTATGGACTCTGCTGCTGGTGGTGGCCGTAGGTGATGAGGGTGGTGGGTCCCTGGGGGCCAGGGACCAGGTCTGACTATAGTCTTCACTGCGGTGCCCAGCCTGAGGGCTGACCATGCGGGAGGGGGTGTCTCCAGCCCACTCCCCAAACCGCCAGGTCATTTTGACAGCTTTAGCAATGTCCTCCGCTCTGGCCTCTGACATGCGCGCTCTGCCCCAGGCAGCCCTGGCGGTCTGGATCACCATCCTCCGCTTCATGGGGGACCTCCCTGAGCCCAAGTACCACACAGCCATGAGTGATGGCAGTGAGAAGATCCCTGTGATGACCAAGATTTATGAGACCCTGGGCAAGAAGACGTACAAGAGGGAGCTGCAGGCCCTGCAGGGCGAGGGCGAGGTGAGGCCAAGGTGCCCTCTGGATGATGTCCCTCCCAGGCCGACAAGGAGGGCCGCTGGCATCACCAGCCTTGGGCTCCTCTGCAGAAAAAGGATCCTATAATTCATCTCTGCCTCACCGACCCCTGCCTGCCACCCTCCTTTGTCTACTTGTGGGAACAAATGTGTGCAACTTTTATAAACTGTAAAGTGCTGACCATAACTGAGGGGCCTCATGGCAGAGCAGACAGGGGCTTTGCAGTTGGAGCCAGCTCCCGTACTATGTTTTTCTGAGTCTCAGTTTTCCTGACTGCCAGTTGGCTAGTGGGGGTGCAAGGGTAGGGGTGAGCAGGTGGACGGTGGCAGTGTGGGGGACACCCTGTAAGCTTCACGTGGAAGCGAGACGGTTCCCCGCAAAGTCTTGCTGTCGGGGGTCTCGACATTGCTTTCTGCTCAGCCACTTGACCCTGATCCCTGCTGGTCCTGCAGGCCCAGCTCCCCGAGGGCCAGAAGAAGAGCAGTGTGAGGCACAAGCTGGTGCATTTGACTCTGAAAAAGAAGTCCAAGCTCACAGAGGAGGTGAGGGCAGACGCTGGGGGTCTGGCAGCCCAGGGGTGGCTGCCTTAGGTGGCCTAGGCTGGAGCACAGCTGAGCTGGGGGCCCACGGAAGCAGGAGCAGGAGTGGACACTGTCTGTCCTCAGGGGTCTTGGCTGGCCAGGGACAGGACAACATGAGTGGGTTGGTGGGCGATCAGGCAGACAGGAGTGTCTGAAGAGGGTGGGATCTCAGGCCGGGGGTGGGAAGGGCTTCCTAGCAGAGGGCACTGAGCAGGGGAGGCCGGTAGCGGCACAGCTGAGAGGGAATACACTTCTAGCCGGGCACAGACCCGAGGCACTTGGTCCAAGGACCTTTGAGGCATGGGAGCTTTCTGTGGAACAAGAGTGCTCATGGAGCATGAACAGGATTAATTTATTTGAATTCATTCTTCAGTCACTTTGCCTTTTCTGGGCACTGTCCCAGCCCTTGTGCTCTGGGGTTGTCCAGGCTGGTGTGTGTGTGGCAGGGGAGGATACACTGGAGAGGCAGACACAAACCAAGGCATTCACAGCCTTGGGGGCCAGGCCCCCATCCCCACATTTGCACATGCCAGTCCCTCTGCCTGAAACTCCTCCTTTCTCTGCCTGGGGTCACCTCCTCCAGGAAGCCTCCCCAGCTCCTCCACTGCAGAGTCAGGGGCTCCCACTTCACCTCTGCCCTTGTCCTGTCCCCACCTGAGGCACAAATCCAGCCTTGCAGGTGTGTGGCCTCAGATTTGAATCCCACCTCTGCCGCTTAGTATTCAAGGGACCCAGGGAAGAAAATGCCCACTCCGTGGGGTCCTGGGAAGAAGGCAGAAATGGCAGCCGAGGGTGTTCAGTGGTGCTCCCTGTCTGCACCACCCACTCCTGCCGCTCGCCTCTCACTCACCCTACATCCTCTGGGCAGAGCTCGGGGCTTGTGCTGTGGGCTGTGTGGGATGAGAGAGGAGAAACATCTCATAAGAACTGGTGTGAGGCTGGTCACATCGGGGCTAAGGGTGTTGGTGACAGAGTGGTGGTGACTGGTGGTTGGAACCTGGAGTATACTCCAGGTGCCACAGTTATGTTGGCGGGGGCACCCCAGAGAGATAGGGGTCCCGCTTGGAGTCAGAGGATCATGTCCCTGTCCTGGCTGAGAGGACCTCCCTGGGGTGGGGTGTGGGGTGCAGGGTATCGAGGAGGTGGCCAGAGGAGCTCTGTCCCCAGAAGTGGGTGGCACCGGGCCAGTGTGCCCCTGCTGTGTGGGCCAGTTATTGGCCCAGCATCTGCTGTGCACGTGGCAGGGGTAATGACAGTGATGGGGAGCCCAGTTCTTCTGCTCACTCCTTAGATTCTGTTTTCTGGGGAGCAGGCAGCCTCGGGTGCTGGTGCCCTGGCTGGCAGGGGAACACCCCTAACTTTACCTGCCCTGTCCTCTCCCTCTGGCCCAGGTGACCAAGAGGCTGCATGACGGGGAGTCCACAGTGCAGGGCAACAGCATGCTGGAGGACCGGCCCACCTCCAACCTGGAGAAGCTGCACTTCATCATCGGCAATGGCATCCTGCGGCCAGCACTCCGGTCAGTGCCGGGAGGCGGGGACACCAGGGCCTGAAAGTCTTTTGGTGGCTGAGTGGTGCCTCTGTCAACCTAGCAAGAGATTAAGCCAAGCAGGCCTGGGTTTGGCTTCGCTGCTAGCTAGTTGGTGGAGTTAGGACCTTGGTGGAGTTATTTCATCTTTCTAAGCCTCTGATTCCTTGTCTGTAAAGGGGGAATCCTAAAACAGGCATCCCTTGGAGATATTGCAGGTTCAGTTGAAGGCCACAGAAATAAATATCACAATAAAGAGAGCTGCAGAAATATTTTGGTTTCCCAGTGCATATAAAAGTCATATTTATACTATACTATAGTCTATGAAGTATGAAATAGCATTATGTCTAAAAAATGTAGACATCTTGATTAGAAATTAATGCCAAAAATGCTAATGGTCATCTGAAAGTTGTATCTATTTGCTGGAGGGTCTTGCCTTGATGTTGATGGCTGCTGACTGATCAGAGTGGTGGTTGCTGAAGGTCGAGGTGGCTGCGACAATTTATTAAGATAAGACAACAGTGAGATTTGCTTTCACACAAAATTTCTCTGTAGCATGCAATGCTGTTTGACAGCATTTTACCCACAGTAGAACTTCTTTCAAAATTGGAGTCGATCCTCTCAAACCCTGCTGCTGCTTTATCAATTAAGTTGATGCAATATTCTAAATCCTTTGTTGTCATTTCAACAATGTTCACAGCATCTTCACCAATAGATTCCATCTCAAGAAACCACTTTCTTTGCTCCTCCATAAGAGGCAACTCCTCATCCACTGAAATTTGATCATGACATTGCAGCAACTCAGTTCCATCCTCAGGCCCCACTTCTCATTCTAGTTCTCTTGCTATTTATTTCCACCACATCTGCAGTTACTTCCTCTTGAAGTCTTGAGCCCCTCAGTCATTCATGAAGTTTGGAATCCACTTCTTCTAAACTCCTATTGATGTTAATAATTTGACCTCCTTCTACGAATCATGAATGTTCTGAATGGCACTGAGAATAGTGAATACTTTCCAGAAGCTTTTCCATTGATTTTGCCCAGATCCACCAGAGGAATCACTATCTATGGCAGCAATAGTCTTATAAAATGTATTTCTTAAATAAGACTTGAAAGCCAAAATTACTCCTTGATCCATAGGTTGCAGAATGGATGTTGCATTAGCAGGCATGAAAATAACATTCGTCTCCTTGTACATCATTTTTTTTTTTTTTTTTGGAGACAGAGTCTCACTCTGTTGCCCAGGCTGGAGTGCAGTGGCGCCATCTCAGCTCACTGCAACCTCTGCCTCCCGGGTTCAAGCAATTCTCCTGCCTCAGCCTCCCGAGTGGCTGGGACTACAGGTGCCCACCACCACATCCAGCTAATTTTTGTATTTTTAGTAGAGACGGGGTTTCACCATGTTGCCAGGCTGGTCTTGAACTCCTGACCCTGTGATCCACCCACCTCAGCCTCCCAAAATGCTGGGATTCCAGGTGTAAGCCCCTGCAGCCAGCCTCTTGTACATAATTTTTAAGAGCCCCAGAATTTTTGGAATGGTCACTGAGCATTGGCTTCAATTGAAAGTCAGCAGTGCATTAGCTCCTGACAGGAGAGTCAGCCTGTCTTTTGAAGCCTTGAAGCCAGCCATTGACTTCTCTCTAGCTATGAAAGTCCTAGATGACATCTTCTTCCAATAGAAGGCTGGTTCATCTACATGGAAAATCTGCTGTTGAGTGTAATCACCTTCATCAATGATTCTAGCTAGACCTTCTGGAAAACTTGTTGCAGCTTCTCCACCAGCACTTGTTGCTTCACCTTGCACTTTTATATTTTGGAGACAGCTTCTTGCTTTGAACCTCATGAGGCGATCTCTGTGAGCCTCCAACTTACCTTCTGCAACTTCCTTACCTCTCTCAGCCTTCATAGAATTGAAGAGACAGTCTTCCTCTAGATTAGGCTTTGGCTTAAGGGAATGTTGTGGCTGGTTTGATCTATTCAGACCCCTAAAATTTTCTCCATATCAGCAAATAAGGCTGTTTCACTTTCCTATCATTTGCATGTTCACTGGAGTAGCATTTTTGATGTCCTTCAGGAACTATTCCTTTGCATTCACAAGTTGGTTAACTGCTTTGCACAAGAGGCCCAGCTTTTGGTCTATCTCGGCTTTCAACATGCTTTCCTCTCTAATCATTTCTAGCTTTTGATTAAAAGTGAAAAATGTGCGACGCTTCCTTTCACTTGAACACTTAGAGGCCATTTTAGGGTTATTAATTGGCCTAATTTCAATATGAATGTGTCTCAGGGAATCAGGAGGCGTGAGGAGAGGGAGTGAGATGGGGGAATGGCTGGTTGGTAGAGCAGTCAGAACACATCTAACATTTATCAGTTAGGTTTGCCATATTCTATGGGCACGATTCATGGTGCACAAAACAATTACAATAGTAACGTTAAAGATTAGTGATCACAGATCACAGCAAATATAATAATAAAGTTTGAGATATTTCTAGTATTGCCAAAATGTGACAGAAACGGGAAGTGAGCACATGCTGTTGGAGAAATGGTGCTGGTAGACTTGCTCCATGCAGAGTCGTCATAAACCAATTTGTAAAAAATGCAATGTCTGCAAAGTGTAATAAAGTGAAGTACAGTAAAATGAGGTGTGCCTGCAGTAGCTACCTCATACATAGGCTTGTGGGAAGATAAAGCTATGAAAACTGTGTAGCACCAGACCTGGAGCATAGTAAGCGCCCCGTAGATGGTAGCTTTGATCATCATCATCCAACATGCATTTCCTGCTTTAACCCCGCTGCCGCCAGCTCACCTCCAGTCACCCACCCTAGGCCCACGGTTAAGGTTACTGTGCCTGGGAATCCTGCAAGTACCTCCTTCCCCACAGGGCCAGGAGAGGCCTTTACCCAGGTCCCTGGGGTTTTGGGGAGTTGAAGGGAAGACCCAGGAGTCACCAGGAGCCACCAAAAAATCAACTCAGCTGATGAGAGGAGGGCTAGGACTTTTCTGAGAACAGTCTCTGCATAGGACAGGTCTGTCGGGAGAGCTGATGCCATGAATGTGTGCATGCTGGTTGGGAGGACAGCAGGATGAGGCAGGGACCAAGCCCCACTTTCCTGATGGGGAAACTGAGGTCCAGAGTAGGGAAGAGATTTGCCCAGGGGTCACTAGGCCTCCTGCCTCCTATCAGGCCCCCGTTTTTATCTCCCCAAGGCTAGTCACTACCTCACCGGGGTGGCCACACTGCCCAGGGCCACCTGCCAACAGGAGGAAAAGGCAGCTGCTGCAGGCGTGTCTCAGGGGCAAGAATTTGCCTCCAAATTATCTCACCATCATACCTAAAGCTGACACTTCTAGGAAACACGGTGCCAGGAGCCCTGAACCAAGAGTCCAAAGGCTGGGGTGTCAACTCCTTGAGGGGCCTCACACGGCTAATCCCTCCCTGCTCTCAGCCTCTGTCTCCCCATCTGTAAAGTGAGTGGAGACTCCCAGCTGCAGGTGATAATATCTCACTAGTCTGTGGCAAGGTGGGAAAAGGAGGGATGTTTCTGAAGCTAAACTTGTTTTCTTTAAAGGACTGCTCTGAGACTTTGCCCTCCTACTGTTTGGAAATTTAAAATTACCTTTGTTTTATGAGATAATTGGGATCTAGATAGTGGGCAGGTTGTGTGTGTTATAAATGTTCTCATTTATCATGATAAAAAAATGGGTAACTTCAGAATTTTCTTTGAAATTATAAACTCTCAAAACTGTTGAGCCACTGAATTAGGTAATCCCAGCCATCCTTTGGGAGAGAAGAGCAGCAGTGAGTGCCCCCTGGCGGACACTGCATCGTCATGTGTCCTGCCCTTGTCCTTGAACAGGCAGGCTGCAGTCTTAGAGTACTCAGTTTGCAGAAGAGAAGAACAAGCCCAGCAATAATTGCAGCTGGCATTTATGAGGGGTTCACTGTGCCTGGCACTGTGCTAGGTGTGTCATAAGCCTTGGCTCATTCATCTTCACAGCAATCTTGTAAGGATTCCTTTAAAATGAACACCAAAAAATTACCTTAATTGTTTTCATCCCATTACAAAAGTCATACATGGCCCCTTAAGTATTCACACATTACAGAAATATACCAGAGACAAAGTCCCTACTCATTCCATCCCCCAGTGACACCCCAGGATGCTTTTCCTGTTTCCGCTTTGTCCGTTGCCATGGGTAGAAGTTGCACCTGCTGCCGTGACTATGGGCTGGGATCAGAGAGGCGAACTCACCTGCCTGGGCCACCAGCTGGTTAGGAACGAGGCAGAGGCGGGGACTGTGCTTCTCATTAGCATGGTCACCTGTGGCTGTGGCTGCGGCTGCTGAGCCCAGAGCAGGATACGCACCACCCTGGATGGTGGGGCCCTGGCTGTGGGAACTGGATTGGAGTTGGGGAGGTGCTTTATGCCCGATGATCCTGTCTCCAAAGCCAGACCCCAGCCCTTGGCTCAGCCCTGCCACCCAGCCTCACTCTGCCTCCTCCCGGGTGGTCTTGGCAAGTTGGAGAGGACAGCTGTGTGGCGTCCCACTGGCTGCTAGGAGGAGGTGGGGACCGGGGCTGTTCCTGTGGGGTGATTCCCCCTCCCTTGCCCTGCTGCCTGCCCAGGGACGAGATCTACTGCCAGATCAGCAAGCAGCTGACCCACAACCCCTCCAAGAGCAGCTATGCCCGGGGCTGGATTCTCGTGTCTCTCTGCGTGGGCTGTTTCGCCCCCTCCGAGAAGTTTGTCAAGGTAGGAAGGTGCCTGGCCTCCTGGAGTGGGAAGGGGAGCTAGGCCCTGTCCCAGCACTGTGGGGAGAGCAATAGCCAGGGGCTCCAAAGGGCCTGGTCACAAGGCCCACCCGGCCACTCCTTACTGAGCCCCATCTTCCTGGCACCCCCTCCTCTCAGGCAGCCACCTCTTTTCCCCACACTCCCCTCAGCCCCATTCTACTTAGGAGGGGGCTGAGTCTGACAGGAGCGTGTCCCAGGCCCTCTGCACCCTCGTCTTGGGGCAGGCCCTGGGCGCTGGGGTCAGAGTGGAGCAGGTCATGGCAGGACCGACCCGACTGGCTGGTGCTGTGAAGGGGTATGGGGAGGAGCCACTAGGCTAAGCTAGCGGGAGGTGGGGGAGGCCACAGACGTGGCTGGAAATAGATGGTGGAGCTGAGAGGGTAGGGAAGCCACAGAAAGCAACCTGGCCTGGAGGAGCGGCCTCCAAGTGCCGGGAGGGCCTGGCGGCTGCCCTCAAAATCCACATGGGGAGCCCCAGGGGCCGCCTCAGCGGGTACTCTGGCTGCAGTACCTGCGGAACTTCATCCACGGGGGCCCGCCCGGCTACGCCCCGTACTGTGAGGAGCGCCTGAGAAGGACCTTTGTCAATGGGACACGGACACAGCCGCCCAGCTGGCTGGAGCTGCAGGTTCGTGCGTGTGTATGCACGTGCTCGTGTGCATGTGTGCGCACGTGTGTAAATGCGTGTGTGTGTGTGTCCAGTGCACTCGAGTGCCCCAGAAACATTCCCTGCTTTGAGATTCTGTGGTTCCTCAGACACCTACCCTCAAGTTCTGGAACCCCAGGCCCATCGGAACAGAAAAGCCCCCAAAGGATGAGGGACTCCATTTGCTGGCCTTACGGTCAAGACGACTTGGGCAAAGGAGATTCCCTCTGTGTCTCAATGCCTTTACCTGCCACATGGTGAAGGTTATATGAAGTGATAGCAGAGACCCCTGGCCTGTGGCAGTGCCTGACCTCTCAGCCCCAGGCCCTGGCTCAGGGGTCCTAAAGGTCCCATTGGGGTGGGGTGCACAGCAGGGCTCCCTGGACACCTGTGACAGGGACAAGCAGTGTCCCAGTGAGGTACTGGGGCCTGGGGTGCTGGGGCACCTCCAACCCCACAGAAAGCAGAGAGCCAAAGTCCAGAGGGGCAGGCAGGTCTGAAGGGAAGGGACCCCACAAACCCTCTTGGGGCACTTCCAGGCCACCAAGTCCAAGAAGCCAATCATGTTGCCCGTGACATTCATGGATGGGACCACCAAGACCCTGCTGACGGACTCGGCAACCACGGCCAAGGAGCTCTGCAACGCGCTGGCCGACAAGATCTCTCTCAAGGACCGGTTCGGGTTCTCCCTCTACATTGCCCTGTTTGACAAGGTATGGCCGCCCGGAAGCACCTCCTCCCGGAAGCACCTCCTCCCGGCCCCACTCCGGGCTGCCAGTGCTGCCACCTACTTGCCGGGGCTATTCACCCTTGAGCACCTCGGTTTCCCCCTGAGCCTGTGCTAATTGGCTCTGCCTGACTCCTCAGGACTGCCGAGAACTCGGCCAGGTGCGGTGGTTCACACCTGTAATCCCAGCACTTTGGGAGGCTGAGGCGGGCAGATCACAAAGTCAGGAGTTCGAGACCAGCCTGGCTAATGTAGTGAAACCTCGTCTCTACTAAAAATACAAAAATTAGTGGAGCACGGTGGCGCACGCCTGTAGTCCCAGCTACTCGGGAGGCTGAGGTAGGAGAATCACTTGAACCCAGGAGGTGGAGGTTGTGGTGAGCTGAGATCGCACCACTGCACTCCAGCCTGGGCGACAGAGCGAGACTCCATCTCAAAAAAACAAACAAACAAAAAACTGCTGAGTGCTCTTCAGCACCTGAGGGAAAACCCAGCAGTAGGATGTCCTCAGTCCTGTGTCCTCAGGCCCAGTGAATCCTCTCCTGGTGCTGAAGGAAGAGCATGGCACAGGCTGATGGGAGGGCTGCGCAGCCCTTGTGTGCAGATGGGAATGGAATTCCCTCTCAGGTTGCCACGGCATCTGATGGAGAAACTCCTCAGCAAACAGGAGTTCCTTCACACTTGCCCTGAAGCAGCTGGAGTGTGGGCGTCCCGCAGACTCACCTCGGAGGCTGGAGCCTCCTCGGCTGAGCGGGACCTGGGGCTTGGGTGATTTTGCCTCCACCCCCAGCAACGTCATGCTCAGCAGAGGGGCCCCCGCCCACAAGCCCAGGGGAGGTACCGTGTTGCTGGACACAGTTTGCCTGGATTTTTCTCACCGATGCTCTTATGTTTCCAGGTACTGTCTGTTCAGTTTCCCAAAAAGCTTCCACTAGAAAATGGGAATTCCCACGTCACCGTGCCCAGAACTGAGGCTAGGAAGGCAATGGTGGGGGTGCGGCTTAGAGCCCAGGGCTAGAATCTGGTCTGCCTCCTGGGGGCCTTGGACGTGTCCCTGCCCCTCGCTGGGCCTCCGTTTTCTGTCTGAACTGACCGTTGGCCCCGTTGAGGCTCCTCATAGTCCTTCCCTGACTCTGTGCCTGCTCCCCTCCCCTCTGTGCCCACAGGTGTCCTCCCTGGGCAGCGGCAGTGACCACGTCATGGACGCCATCTCCCAGTGCGAGCAGTACGCCAAGGAGCAGGGCGCCCAGGAGCGCAACGCCCCCTGGAGGCTCTTCTTCCGCAAAGAGGTCTTCACGCCCTGGCACAGCCCCTCCGAGGACAACGTGGCCACCAACCTCATCTACCAGCAGGTGGTGCGAGGAGTCAAGTTTGGGGAGTACAGGTGTGAGAAGGTGAGTGGGAGGGAATCTTCCGCCAGGCTGGCTTGGCTCACAGCCTCCTGCTTTCCACGTTTGGGCTGAGTGCTCCTCTGTGAGCCATCATTAGCTCAGGCTGGGGTGAGCCTGACTGCAACCAGGCACTCTTCAGGCTCCTGGATGGACACCGCCTACTTCAGGGGGCTCGTGAGGAGAGGCGAGATGGCGGGAGCAAGGGCTTCTGAGGATGTCCTGAATTCCACCAGTGGAGGAGGCCCCCACACTGCTGTAGTGACTGTGCGTGCTACAGAGGACGTGCCGCAGGACCTGCTGCACCATTCTGAGTATATCTAGTAAGCGCTGCATTAAATGAGAAATACAGCCATTCCTTGAGATCAGAATTTGCAAATGTGTATTCTTTTTTCTCCTTCTGAGGACAGGAGTTATGTGGTTGTTTTGTTTTCGATAATGGTAATGGTAGCTATGGTTCTGTTGGTGATTGTGATGGAGGGATGAGAAAGGAGGTGGTGGAAATGAAGAGGATAGTTGGTGGTAGTAACGTTGGTGGAGGTAGTGATGATGGTTGGTGGTGATGGTGGAGGTAGTGATGGTGTTGGTAATGATGATGGTGGTGATGGTGGAGGAGGTAGTGATGGTGTTGGTGATGGTGGAGGGTAGTGATGGTGTTGTTTGTGATGGTGGAGGTAGTGATGGTGTTGGTGATGGTGGAGGTAGTTGTGATGGTGGAGGTAGTGATGCTGTTGGTGATGGTGGAGGTAGCGATGGTGTTGTTGGTGATGGTGGAGGTGGTGATGGTGTTGGTGATGGTGGAGGTAGTTGTTTGTGATGGTGGAGGTAGTGATGCTGTTGGTGATGGTGGAGGTAGCGATGCTGTTGGTGATCGTGGAGGTAGCGATGGTGTTGGTGATGGTGGAGGTAGTGATGTTAGTGATGAGGTATTGTTGGTACTGATGACTATGGTAATATTGGAGGTAGGGATGATGTTAGTGATGGTGGTGGTGGTGGTGATGGTGGAGGTAGTGATGGTGTTGGTGGTGATGACAGTGTTGTGGGTAGTGATGATAGTGGTGATGGTAAAGGTAGTGATGGTGGTGTTGACAATGACAGTGTTGTTGGTAATGATGGTGATGGTGGAGGCAGTGATGGTGTTGGTGATGACAGTGTTGTTGGTAGTGATAATGATGGTGATGGTGGAGGCATAGTGTTGGTAGTGATGATGGTGGTGATGGTGGAGGCAGTAATGATGTTGGTGATAGTGTTGGCAGTGATGGTGGTGATGGTGGAGGTAGTGGTGGTAGTTTTGTTGGTGATAGTGGTGATGATAATGGTGGTATTGGTGGTAAGCAAATATTCAGGCGGAGTGCATTAGTATAGCCACATCAGTTGCTAAAATTCTGAAATATTTCAAACTGGTTGGAAAATATCTATTGCCTCCAAGGCCCCCAAGAGCCTTTCTCTATGCCCTTGCTGCTGGAGCCCTGGGGAGCTCTAGGTAGGCATCACTGGGGCTGCTGTGCACCAGGCCAGGCAGAGAAGGGGCAAATGCCCAGTGGCCACTTGGCTCTCTGAACCCTCTGCAGTAGATCCTGCCAGCTGTTAACCACTTTAACTGTCCCCCAAGTGCTTAACGGTGGTAATGGTGATGGAGGCAGTCACAGTGATGCACTTCCCTCACTCTGACCCTGCCAGCAGACCCTAGGTGTCTCCCATTCTCCAGGGCAGACACTTCCTCTTCTGCTGTTTGTCAGCTCTGGTCGCTGTCTCACAGGGCTGAGTGTGCAGTGGCTGCTCGATGGGCTGGCTTGTTTCTTTGCATCACTTCATGTGCCCCTGGGCAGAGTCCAGCTCCATGCCAGTGCCAGAGGGATCCAGGAGAAGGTGAGGGTGTGGCCCTGCCCTTGGGGAGCTCATGGTTCCTCTGAGCAGACAAGAATTCCCTGGTGAATCAGTGAGAAGCCTGGGTCCCAAAGGCCAGGCTCTGAGAGCTACAGGAGGCAGGGCCAGGAGAGGGGCCTGGAGCCTTTGGTGGTGTGGAAGGGCTTCCTGGAGGGGCCTGGGCCAATGCATGACCGAGGCCTCCCCCCACCTAGGAGGACGACCTGGCTGAGCTGGCCTCCCAGCAGTACTTTGTAGACTATGGCTCTGAGATGATCCTGGAGCGCCTCCTGAACCTCGTGCCCACCTACATCCCCGACCGCGAGATCACGCCCCTGAAGACGCTGGAGAAGTGGGCCCAGCTGGCCATCGCCGCCCACAAGAAGGTAGAAGGGCTGAGAGGAGTCCTAGAGAAGGGATGTGGACCTGAACAACCAAGGAGGTCCCAGGCCTCATCTGAACCTCTCTGTTGGGGCTGCGGGGGATGGGATGGCACCTTCCAGTGGCCCTTCCTTCATTGGACATCAGCTCACTCATTCTCCTTCCATCTGTGTGCCAGGCACACAGAGGGAATCAGACTTAACCTTGCAGCCTCTGTGGGGCCATGGGTATTGGGGCCCCTTTCCTGGTCTTGTGCCAGCCCCTCATTGGTGTTATAGCTTCCAGAGCTGCAGCTCAGGAGTGGCGGTGGATGCTAGACAGAGCTTTAGGAATTGTACCTCCTTTTTCCTAAAAGAACTCCAGCCCAACTTCCCGCCTGGGGAGCTTTAGGGACAGGCCCCCTTGACCCTCTTGCTTGGAGCCCAGGCCCATGACCAGCCATGAGTGGTTCCCTCCCAAGCTAAGAGCCTGGCCAGGTAGAGCAGGGGTATCCAGATGGGGAGAAGGTGGGAGCACTGGCTGCTGGTAGGGGACCCAAGGCCGCCTCATCTCCATGGCCCTGGCTGTGCAAGAGAATTGCCCCCGTACATAAGTCGAGGGCTCCATAGTCTGAGGGCACCACAGACCCGGATCTCACCCCTCCACCTCGTGGCCTCCGTCCTCACCCGGGAGCCCTGTGCCACCCTCCACCTGACCGTGTGCCTTCTCTGGTCAGCTCCCCGCCAGCCTCTGCCTCTCCCTGAGTCCTGAGTGCTCCCTGCGCCAGCCTGCTTCCCCCGAGGCCCGAACCCCCCCGAACCCCACTTCAGAGGAGGAGCGTCTCCTCCCTGCCACCCCTCTGTCCCTCAAGTGAGAGCCCTGCCCTTCATCCTCAGGCACCTCCTCTCCCTTGGCCCTCACATGCCGGCAGCCACTGCAGCCTGTCCAGCTAACTCCCAAACAGCTGCAGCCTCCACCCCCACCTCCCTGAGGGCCTCCTCGGGGCTCACTGCCATTGTGGCATATGGTACGTCCTGGGTGGGGTGCTATTATTATGCATTCATTTTATTTTGGGCATTTGTCATGTGCTGGGCACCATACCAGGACCTGGAGACACAGCCCTTTGTGGGACAGACATGGTTTCTGCCCTTTGGAGCCCACAGCTGAGCTGGGTCTCTCCTGGACTGGAGCTCCTCAGAGTGTCTGTCCCAGAGCCCTGGGCCAGGCCCCACATAGAATGGACAGTTGTGAATCACAGTTTTTGTAGGGTGGGAGGGTGCATTGTTCATTTTCTAGGTCTGCCATAACAAAGTGCCACAGACTAGGTAGTTTCAACAACAGAAATAAATGTATTTCCTTCTAGTTCTGGAGCCTGGAGCTCCGAGATCAAGGTGTCAGCAGGGGCTTTCTCCTGAGGCTTCTCCTCTCGGCCTGCAGATGGCTGTCTTCTCCATCTGTCACCACACAGTGATGTGTGCACATGCACGTCTGAGTCCAAATATCCTGCTCTTAAAAGGGCACGGGACATATTGGATTACAGCCCACCCAAGATATCTCATTAGTGACCTCTTTAAAGACCTTATCTCTGGGCCAGGCGCGGTGGCTCACGCCTGTAATCCCAGCACTTTGGGAGGCCAAGGCGGGCGGATCATGAGGTCAGGAGTTTGAGACGAGCCTGGCCAACATGGCAAAACCCCGTCTCTACTAAAAATGCAAAAATTCACCAGGCGTGGTGGTGGGTGCCTGTGATCCTAGCTACTCGGAGACTGAGGCAGGAGAATCACTTGAACTCGGGAGGCGGAGGTTGCAGTGAGCCAAGATCCTGCCATTGCACTCCAGCCTGGGGGACAAGAGCAAGACTCCTTCTCAAAAAAAAAAAAAAGGAGCTTATCTCCAAATAGGGTTACATTCTGAGTTGCTGGGGGTGAGGACTTTAATACGCAAATATGGTAGGTTGGGGAAGGAAGCACACAATTCAGTCCATAACAGGTGTTTTGAAAACATCTTATTTTGAAATAATTTCAAAGTTATGGAGAAATTGCACGTTCAAAAAAGTAGGACTGCTATGTGCACTTCACTTCCCAGATTCACTGGGTGATAGCCACACTTGCTCAGTGATTTGTCTCTCTGCCTACATATGTATTTTCTCTGAGTCATTTGAGCTTGGGTTGGTGACATTGAGCTCTTTGCCTCTGAATTCTCACCGCTCTCAGGATGGCACCCCTCATGGGCTCTCATGGGTGGAGATGGGGCCGTCTGTGAGCTGGCATACACATCCACCCTTACCTATGCCTGTGTCTACATTCTATAAAAACCAGGATTTCACTCTGACCCCTCCAATGCTACCCCAGAACCCCAGAGTTCTCACTAGGGCTTGGGGGAATATTTTTAGAGAAACACAATGCCGGTGCTTTTGTATCTTACCAAGAGCACAGCAGCACCCCTCACGGATCACCTCACCTCCAGGCTCCAGTTCTCCCTTGACACACTGATCTTTCTAACTCCCAGATTCACCAGATCAGTTTCTTGCAGTTGTGGCTGCACTCACAGTCCCCCAGGACCTGGCTCCGCACGCTGTGTCCCCATTCCCTCTCTTCCCCGTCTGCCCTGCCCACGCCTCTGCTGCACCAGCACACGCCTCCTACTGACCCCAGGGCCTTGGGCCTCCCACATGCTCTGCCTGGAATCCTTGCTTCCCTGTCTCTGCTGAACTGGGAACTCCCTGGAGGGGCAGCTATGCTTTCTCTGACTTTGGGCCCCAGCACCTGCATAGAGCTGGCACTCAAAAGTGCTCGCCGATGTTGACGAATGAGAAAGGTGGGGACAGGGTGGCTGCAGACAGATGGGAGCAGGGCAAGGCCACGATGCACAGGAGGTGCAGGAGCCCCAGGCTGCTCCTGGCTAGAAGGCAGCAGCAGCTGATTTTTAGAGCAAACTCACTCGTATGTTGTCTTCTGTCCCTCTGTCCCTCTCTCCTTCCAGGGGATTTATGCCCAGAGGAGAACTGATGCCCAGAAGGTCAAAGAGGATGTGGTCAGTTATGCCCGCTTCAAGTGGCCCTTGCTCTTCTCCAGGTTTTATGAAGCCTACAAATTCTCAGGTACCCCGCAGCCTGCAATGCTCCCAGTCCCTTGCTCTGTAGCTCCAGCCCACAGCCTACAAATTCTCAGGTACCCCGCAGCCTGCAATGCTCCCAGTCCCTTGCTCTGTAGCTCCAGCCCACAGCCTACAAATTCTCAGGTACCCCACAGCCTGCAATGCTCCCAGTCCCTTGCTCTGTAGCTCCAGCCCACAGCAGGGGAGGGAAACGTCTTGAGCCAGGGGCCCCCGTCAGTGGACCTCTTGCCTGCGGGATGCTTGGTCTGCTCTGGTCAATGCTGCTGAGTGGGTCCTGCCTCCCCAACACCCGGTAGCGACTCCATGGCACATCTTCTGTGCTCAGTGGTGCACGGGATTGAAAAACTGAGTGAGGATTGATTCATTAAGGCACATACTATGTATACAACAGGGTGGCCCAGGGTTCAGACAGGGCCAGCCCTGCTGGGCCGACTCTGTGAAGTCGAGAGTAGCAGATAAAAACCCACACAGGCCACTGGCTCAGCCATCCTCGGGCCATCGTTACTGGGCACCTGCTGTGTGCCAGGCCCTGTGCTGATGCTGCTGTTCACAGAACCACCGAGCACCAGGGCCGGAGGGAACCCTGGGCCTCAGTCCAACCCCTCCCCAGATCCCGCCTTAGTGCAGGGCAGGGGCTTGTCCAAAGCTGCACAAAGACCAGTGGCAGGAGTGGGACCCAAACCAATTTCCCAATTGAACACTCTCTTCCTACTGCACTTTGGGTTTTGGCACGTAGCGAGTTTGTGCTCTCTGAGCCTCAGTTTCCATATCTATAAAATAGAAATCAGTGTATTGCCACCTGCCTGGCCGTTATGAGATTGAGAAGGGCTGGGCCTGGGTGTGGGAGGCCTGCCTCTCAGTGCCTTGGTCTCGTCCCAGGCCCCAGTCTCCCCAAGAACGACGTCATCGTGGCCGTCAACTGGACGGGTGTGTACTTTGTGGATGAGCAGGAGCAGGTACTTCTGGAGCTGTCCTTCCCAGAGATCATGGCCGTGTCCAGCAGCAGGTGAGGAGGCCCGCATGGAGATGCAGACAGACAGAGGGGAAGGAGAGGGGCTGGAGCTTCCCTGCGGGTCACAGGAAGTGAAGAGGCATGAAGTGGCCTGCCTGGTTGCACGTGATTGGGCAGTTTGTGCCGCACTGTGCAGACCCCTCTGGCACCTCCTAGTGGAGGGATGGGCTTGGGCTTTACAGCACATTAAGGCTGTTCTGAGACAGGAATGGGCTGTCAGGACAGGCAGGGGCAGGTGAGTGTGTACAAAAGAGCTTGACCTGGGGGTTCAGGGGACTGAGTAGCACTCACTCTATGTCTTCATTCCTAAAACAGGAGTCTTAATACTTTTCTCGCATAACAGTGGTGGGGAATGAATGCAATAATAGATGGGAGAGCTCTTTATAAACTGCAAAGTGCAGTGCACATAGGTGGAATGGTGGGGTGGGTTGCTGGGATTGACTGGCTTTCCCAGCAGTGCAGTGGCTCCCTCCTCCACCATCTGGGGCTTGTAGCAGTGTCTTTGGGTTGTGTCTGATATGGGCTGGAGTCAGACTGTGTCCAGCACTGACCAGACACATGCCAGGCACACAGGATGCAGTAGTGACAAGATAGTCCTTGTCCTCTTGGATCTTCAGTCAAGAGAGGAGACAGACATTGAATAGGCCATTTTAAAGCATGGTATGATCAGGGCTGTGGGAGGGCAGGGAGGACTTCCTGGAGGAAGTGGCATGTAGGTTGAGATTTAAAGGGTGAGTAGGAATTAGACAGGCAAAGGAGAAGTAGGCCGGGCCACTGTGGGTCTCCCTCTGGGCCATGCCTGACTCTGGCCAGGCCAGCTCTGACTTAGCCTGAGATGTGTCTGAGCTGGGCCACGTCTCCCACTGGTTGGGGCATGACTGACTCAACTGGCCTTGATCTCCTTCAGGGAGTGCCGTGTCTGGCTCTCACTGGGCTGCTCTGATCTTGGCTGTGCTGCGCCTCACTCAGGCTGGGCAGGACTGACCCCGGCGGGGCCCTGTTCTCCGTGTTGGTCCTGCAGGGGAGCGAAAACGACGGCCCCCAGCTTCACGCTGGCCACCATCAAGGGGGACGAATACACCTTCACCTCCAGCAATGCTGAGGACATTCGTGACCTGGTGGTCACCTTCCTAGAGGGGCTCCGGAAGAGATCTAAGTATGTTGTGGCCCTGCAGGATAACCCCAACCCCGGTGAGTGGCTGCTGGTATGGACTGCCTGGCACTGGGGGTCAGGGTGTTATGCAGACTGTCTTAGTCCATTTGTGTTGCTATAATGGAACACTGGAGGCTGGGAGATTTATGAAGAAAAGAGGTTTATTTGGCTCACAGTTCTGCAGGCACTACAAGAAGCATGGTGCTGGCTGGGCACGGTGGCTTATGCCTGCAATCCCAGAGCTTTGGGAGGCTGAGATGGGAGGATCACTTGAGGCCAGGAGTTCAAGACCAGCCTGGGCAACATAGTGAGACCCTCGTCTCTACAAAAGGTTAAATAAATTAGCTGGGTGTGGTGGCATGTGCCTGTAGTCATAGCTCTTCAGGAGGCTGAGGTAGAAGGATTACTTGAGTCCAGGAGGTGGAGGCTGCAGTGAGCCATGATTGTGCCACTGCAGTCCAGCCTGGACAAGAGTGAGACCTCCTCTCTTAAAAAAAAAAAAGAAAAGAAACAAAGAGAAAAAAGATGGCACCAGCATCTGCTTCTGATGAAGGCCCCAGGAAGCTTCCACTCATGGCAGAAGGAGAAGGGGTGCCTGCATCAGAAGGAAGGAAGAGAGCAGGGGGTGCCAGGCTCTTTTTAAACAATCAGTTCTCACAGAGACTATATAGAGTGAGAACTCACTCATTACCGTGAGCACGGCACCACACTGTTCATGAGGGACCCACTCCCATGACCCAAACACCTCACACTAGGCCACTGCCAACACTGGGAGATCAAGTTTCAACAGAGAGATTTGGAGGGGACAAATATCTAAACCATATCACAGACCATGCCCCGTGGCCTTGGCCTTGGCACTCAAGGCTGCTAGGATCTTGTTCCCATCTTTCCCCTGAAGCTAGACCAAATAGCAGAAGCCTGTGCCTTTAATCTGTAGCCTGTGGGGAACCTCTTCTCCCTCCCTTCTTCTGGCTCTTCAATACTCATCTCCTGTCAGCTCTCCAAGTTAGATCAGGGTCCTCCTCAGTGTTCCCAAAAGACCCACCATCTTCAAGTGATAACAGCAGTAACAACTACTCTGCCTGAGGCTACCGAGGCCCTGGCCAAGTGTGGGAAAGACAAAGATGAAATGGACCCCACCCTGTCCTCAGTGGGGAGGGGGGTGGGAAGAAGACAGTGACAGGCCTGTGACAGTGCAGTGAGCAGGGAAGCCCAGAGCCACAGGAGCCCAGAGGAGAGGCCCCATGCCGACTGGGGTCCAGGGAGGAAGCCCGTGTGACCAGAGCACAGGGGGCAGAGAGCTAAGCGTGATGCCAGCACAGAGGCGGGAGAAAGCTGGCCTGTCCAGGGAACTGCGAACAGCTTGGTTTGGCTGGGAACAGGCACAGTGAGGGAGGAGAGGCGAGGTGGAAGGAGTCTGGGAGGCCCGCTCACAACAGGCCCAGGAGTGTGGGGCTTCCTCCCAAGGGCAATGAGGAGCCGTGGAAGGCTTTTGAGCAGGAGAGTAGCCCACTCTGGTGATGGTCTCTGTATGGAGAGTTGTGACAAGGTGGAGGCAGAGTGGCAAGTGGGCAGACATGAGTGATAACACCTCAGTTCTTCTGTGGGAAGATGTTCCAACTCAGCCTGTCTCTGCCCCCATGGTCCCACTCACCTCTGCTCTACAGCAGGCGAGGAGTCAGGCTTCCTCAGCTTTGCCAAGGGAGACCTCATCATCCTGGACCATGACACGGGCGAGCAGGTCATGAACTCGGGCTGGGCCAACGGCATCAATGAGAGGACCAAGCAGCGTGGGGACTTCCCCACCGACAGTGTGTACGTCATGCCCACTGTCACCATGCCACCGCGGGAGATTGTGGTATGTGGCCTGGGGGTGGCAGATGGGTGGGAGGTGCCATTAGACCCCTCTTTGTCCACTTCCCACAGCTGTACAATAGGTTAACGGTCTAGTGCATCTGTGAAGATGATCTTGGGATCTTATGGGACACACATTTAAAGTTGGGGCAGTGCTCAAACCTGTGCCAGGTGGGGAGGGGCCTAGAAATGGCATCAGATGAGGAACTGCCAAGGGGTGGGGCCGGGGGTGGGGATTGGAGAGAGGTGTATCACCCGCACTGTCTGAACAGGCAGTGGGGGCACAGCTGGGAAGGGGGCCCTGCTTCTTCTGGAGCCCCCTTGAGAGCAGCTCTGAGGACTCACAGCCCAGCTTCCCTAGTGGCTCCTGAGCCAGGCTCAGTGGACGAGGCAGCTCTCATACCATGTCCCGCTGCCTTGTCCAGGCTTTCTGACTGACCCAACCTGATCAGACACCTGGGGAAGGGCCCTGAGCTCAGCACAAAGGAGGCAGCAGGGACCTCAGAGACCCCAAGGAGGAACGGGGCTCCCAGGGTCAGAATGGGGCATGGGGTCCATACCCCTGAAGAGTCTCCCAGAGTCCAGAAGGCTTCAGGGTATACCATGTTGATCCTGGTGGCCACAGGTAGAGAGCTGACCTGAGCCCCCTGTCTCTTGGTCCCTAGGCCCTGGTCACCATGACTCCCGATCAGAGGCAGGACGTTGTCCGGCTCTTGCAGCTGCGAACGGCGGAGCCCGAGGTGCGTGCCAAGCCCTACACGCTGGAGGAGTTTTCCTATGACTACTTCAGGTGATGCCTCCTGGGGAAGGATGGGAGCCACAGGGCTAGGAGCTGCAGGCTTCCGCTACTGTCTGGTCGTGTGCTGGGGCTGCTTTGTGAAGCCCCCACCTGTGAGCAGGGCCTGGGTCAGAGGGAGCTGGAGGGCTGTTTCTGTCTGCCAGGATGACCCGTCCTATGTGTCTCATCTTATCTTCCTTCCTTCAAGAGATGTCACTGCACCCACCCCAGGCTGGGCATTCGAGACTGAGTCCTGGTGGGGATGCGGGCTGGAAGCAGGCAGCTGGGATTCGGCGTGCCCAGCACTGTGATGAGGATGCTTCTGGGGCGGGGGGTGGGGGGCAGTGAGAAGCTTCCTGATGGAGGCGTTGTGCACTGAGCTCTACAGGGGGCGCAGGGTGGTGGGGGAGGCTGGGGCACAGCCCGTGGTGTTCTCGCCGCTGGGGTTTCACAGCTGAGAAAGAAAGGCCCAGTGACTGCCAGTGACTCGCCTCGGGTCACATGCAGGGCAGGGAAGAGCAGGGCCTGGTGCCCACTCTCAGCCTCTGGACACAGGGATGGGTGGGGGTGGGGGTCTCACAACCTGGGGGTTTCTCCCCGGGGCTGCCAGCGATGGGGCGTTGCTGACGGTCCCTGTGCTGCGGCAGGCCCCCACCCAAGCACACGCTGAGCCGTGTCATGGTGTCCAAGGCCCGAGGCAAGGACCGGCTGTGGAGCCACACGCGGGAACCGCTCAAGCAGGCGCTGCTCAAGAAGCTCCTGGGCAGTGAGGAGCTCTCGCAGGAGGCCTGCCTGGCCTTCATTGATATCCGTGCCACTGGGCTGTGCCCAGGGGAGCCAGGGACCGGGCAGGGCCTTCGTCTGCACACTGCCTTCCTCCTGAGGGCCTGCTGCGACCCGGGCACACATGGGGAGGGTTGATGGAGTACCCCCTCCCTTGCACCTTTTGATATGCAAGGGGCTGCCTCGCCCACTGTTTTCTCTGACCCTGTCATTTGGGTGCCAGGTGGATTTGGTGCCTTGTGCTGGGCCAGGCATGCAGGTAGAGCAGGGACCAGCCCAGCCCCTGGCCTCATGGGACCATACACACATCCAGATCAATGTTGAGATGGGACCCGGCAGCACTGTGACCTGACCCATGTGACCTGGAGGGGGCAGAGAGGACTTCCTGGAGGAAGTGGTATCTAGGCTGAGCCCTGAAGGCTAAGTACGACTTAGCCAGGCAAAGGGGAGGGAGGGGGAGTGTTCCAGAGAGAGGGAGCAGCAGCAAGGCCCCGAGGCACACAGAGCAGGGCTGTTCCAGGGCTCCGGGGCTTCAGCACAGACAGGATGGGAAGACTGGGCTTAGGCAGGGTTCCCAAGCCCTGTGAGGAAGCTTGGGCCGTGTCCTAAGGCCAGGGTGAACCACTGGGCAGGGGGTGGCATGGTCAGATTCACCATCTGGGAAGTCCATCCCAGCTGCTGTGAGGGCTTGGGATGTGGGGCTGGTGACTGTGAGGAGGCGGAGAGAGGGTGGGGCAGATCATGCCCATTTTGTGAGTGTGCAGCCTGAGGGCCCAGGGTCACAGCTTCAGGTGATGCAGGCCCTGTGGGAAGTGGGGCCTCCGGACCCCAGGCCAGTGCTCCCTCTATTCGGCACAAGCCCTTCCTTGACAGTCCCCAGCTGTGCTCAAGTACATGGGCGACTACCCGTCCAAGAGGACACGCTCCGTCAACGAGCTCACCGACCAGATCTTTGAGGGTCCCCTGAAAGCCGAGCCCCTGAAGGACGAGGCATATGTGCAGATCCTGAAGCAGCTGACCGACAACCACATCAGGTGAGCCAGGCACAGTGGGCGGATGAGGGGCAGACCTCACCTGCTGTGACGGGCAGCTCTTACCCTCCTGAGGCAGCTGCTGGCTCTGCCTGGATGCAGTCCTTCCTCACACAGAGCCGGGAGCTGCTCATGGGCCCCCTCACATCCTAGCTTGGCCCCAACGCCCAAGGAGGGCCTAGCAGGAACTGGGAGGTGGTGGATGTCTTCCTTTGAGTCTGTCCTCTAAGGGTAACAGCCCCAGCTCCTCCTAACGTTTGGCTGGAGCCTCGTCTGGATGCCCCTTCCCTGCCTAGACCCTGCTGTCTGCCTGCAGGTCCAGCTCAGTCAAGTGTCCCCTCCCTGGTGCAGGCTGGGCCGGCTGTCAGCTGGAAGCACTGGCTGAAAACTCTCATGGGTTTGAGTGTTGGTCCCAATGCCCAAAGGGTGCCACCTTCTCCTCCCGCTGGGACAGCCCAAGACAGGAGTAGAAAGTCAGGCACAGGCTCCTCTCAGAGTCTGAGAGAAGCTCCACCCTCTCTCCTTACACCCAGCCCCCCGCCTTCCTCCCCAGCTGTGTCACCCTCTACATCTCTTCCACAAATCCATCCTCAAACTACACATCAGCTCTTTTGACAGTGCCAAACCTTTGTACATACTGTGCCCACAGCCAGGAAAACTTTTCAGCCCCTTCTCTGCATGCCGTAATTTGCTTCATCCTTCAAAGCCTAGTTCAAATGCCACCTCCTCCTAGAAGCCCTCCAAACTTCCCACTGTCAGGCCCAAGAAGCTCAGAGTGGTGGCTGAAGGAGCCTGGGGTGGGACTGGTCTAACTCGTTGCCACTCAAAGTAGAGGTGAATTAAAGAGCTTCTGCGAAAATATAAATCACACTGCTTCCTTCATGGAGAAAGTCTTGCTATGGAAACAAACAAAAAGCCTCAGCTGAAGCAGAGTGCATGGTAACCCGGTGGCTTTTCATTGTGGCATAAGCCCCTTATCTCCACGTGGACTGGTAGCAGTGTGTGGCCTGGCGCGGTGGGCCAGGCACACTTTGGGTAGCACTAGTTGCATCTGGCTGTCAGGGAGAGGGGTCTGTAGGTAGGGTGAGGGGTCCTGAGATAGGGTAAAGGTCAGGAGGGACGGTGCTGCTGTGATGAGCAGCTGAGGGGTACATGGCCCCCTCACCCGGGGGTGCACAGGTCCTGTGACTCCCGATGGCAGCTGCCCCTGCTGGAGCCCACGCCTCCTCCTGCAGGTACAGCGAGGAGCGGGGTTGGGAGCTGCTCTGGCTGTGCACGGGCCTTTTCCCACCCAGCAACATCCTCCTGCCCCACGTGCAGCGCTTCCTGCAGTCCCGAAAGCACTGCCCACTCGCCATCGACTGCCTGCAACGGCTCCAGAAAGCCCTGAGGTACAGCGGCCACCAGGGGCAGGGACAGACACTGGGGCGGGCTCCTGGCCACGCGGGGCTTGTGGGATGAGCCCCTTGGGGATGAGGACCACATAGCAGTTGGGCCCACCCCTGGGGTACCTCAACTGCCAGCTAGACGGAGGTGCGGATCCTGCAGCTGCTCAGGATGCAGCTGGAGAGTCCGGCTGCTCGGGAGTGCTCAGCCCAGAGCTCCCAGGCTATCGGGTGGGCACAGACACCTGGGCCCACTTCATACTCTCCGAGGGCACTTGTGTTCTTCACTTTGCTGGGCCTCTCCACACCCATCGTCCCATTTTACAGATGAGGAGCTCAAGGCTCTGGGAGACTCAGTGGCCGGTCACATCATAGGAAGTGGCAGGCGGGGATCAGAACTGGGGTTGTCTGCCTCCAAGTGTCCCGGTCCCCTGGTCTCCACAGTCCCACGCACATGCCCCCTGCTGCCCCTGCTGCCTTTTCAGAAACGGGTCCCGGAAGTACCCTCCGCACCTGGTGGAGGTGGAGGCCATCCAGCACAAGACCACCCAGATTTTCCACAAAGTCTACTTCCCTGATGACACTGACGAGGTGAGGGTCACCGGCTTCTAGGTCTGCAGTGCCCAGGACAGGGCCGGGCTTCCTGGGTGGACACCAAAGGTGGCCTTAAGCCTCTCCCCCATCACCTGACATTTGCCGCCTCGTCCTCCTGCCCCGTAGTGGAGTCGGGGCTCAGGACGAAGGCCATCGACTCCCCAGGTCAGGGGCCCTTGGTTCCTGATCCAACCCCTGCTTCCTGGAGCAGCTTCCTTCAGAAGGGCGCCCCTCCCTCCCTGTCTCTGAGGAGGACTTGCCTTGGAGAAAAGCGCTTCTCCCTCTGAGCTGGCTTTGCACTGGCTTTGCACCTCCCTGATGTAGGGCCCCACTGGCCCCCAGGTCCAGACCTCCCCTGTCGACTGAGCCCACTTTCCTGCAGGCAGAACCTCAACACCCCTTCCTCCCTCTCCACCTGAGGTGGTTGAGGTTCCCTCCATCCAGGTCCTGTCTGCCAAAGGTCCTGTCTGTCATGCCTGTAGTCACGCTGCCCCTCATGGTCCCCAGCCCCTGCCTGTCTCAACACAGTGTCTCATTCAGATAAGCTTTTCATTTGAAGAGTCATTTATGAAACTTGTCTGAGGCTGGAGACTCAGAAATGCCATAACAGGATTTCATTTGCAAGGACCAAAGACTTCCTCAAATCCTTTCCTGTCCCTCCAGACATCTCTCCTGCCATTAAACTTCCCCAGACGCTCAAACCCTCCCATCTGTCCGGGCTGCTTTCCCCTCCGCTTTTGGGTTTGCTTTTCCTCTACCTCAAGTCTCCTCCTTCTAATCACCCTTCCAGTCATCCTGCTGTGCTCCCTGGACCCCTCACTGTCACTCAGGCTTGTACACCCTGGCCCAGGACTCTGGACGCCAAGGCCACCTTCTGCTTGGAGAGTCGGGAGGAGGAGACCTGGGAAGACCCAGACAGGAGTAGCCCTTTCCTTTTGTTAAATGCCATGCCCAGCTCTGTGCCCACAGGAGGGTGTCTGGCACGGGAGGGGGCTCAGTATAGGAGGCATAGCCAGAGGGGCCCGGGAGGACCAGGTCCCGGGAAAGGCCCTGCAGGAGCCCAGTGCTCACTGCCCCTCCCAGGCCTTCGAAGTGGAGTCCAGCACCAAGGCCAAGGACTTCTGCCAGAACATCGCCACCAGGCTGCTCCTCAAGTCCTCAGAGGGATTCAGCCTCTTTGTCAAAATTGCAGACAAGGTGGGTCCTTTGCCACCTTCGCCAAGGTGGGAGATTTGCTGGGGCCATAGGAACTTACGGACAGCAGACGGAAGAGAGAGGAACTGGGGGAGAGAGGGGAAGAGGGCACTGGCATCTGGCCATCTTCTTCCATCCCTGCAGCCTCCCCTTACATGGAGTGGCTGCCCCCAGCTCTCTCTCTTCTGAGGCACTGCACATGGCTCAAACCCTCTTAGGGGCATGTGCCCAGGTGCTCTGTGTTCTAAAAACACCAGACCCTCACCCTGCCCCAACACACATGTTCTTTCCATATTTGCTTTGACTGGCCCTTAATTGCCATGCTGGGGCAAATTAACCCTTGAAAGAATGTGTGATCATCCCCACTTGATAGATCACATAACTAGGGCTCAGAGAGGTTAGGTAACTTGTCCAAGGTCACACAGCAGGGACTGAGCTCCAGGTGGGTCTGGCTCTAAAGCCCACGCCCCTGCCACCATTTCACATCACGCTCCCCCAGCACCTCTGTCCCTGGAAGTCTTCCAGGCCCAGCTAAAGACCCCTCCACGGGAAGGCCTCCCTGACCGAGTTGGGTGCCCCATCCTGTTGCCTGCTGATGGCTCTGTGTGCCTCTGTGTCTGTTTCCTCACTTCATGCCTGTCTCTGTGCCAGACGCTGGGACCCAGAGGTGACCCCAATGAGGTCCTAGACCCAGGGGAGCCCAGAGCTGCAGGAGGAGCTGGACATGGATGCCAGAGAATGTCCAAGCCAGGGGCTGGGCCGCATTCTTGGCCAGTTTCCCTTGAGTCTAAGGCAGCGTTCAGTGTCCCAGGCACTGAATGGAATGACCATCGCTCCCGGCAAGAAGTGGGCTCTTCCGGGGACACTCAGCAGGCACATGGGGCAGGGTGGGGCTGACACACAGAAACCCCTTCCGGCTGGGAGTGGAGTCTTCCCTGAGAAGGAGCAGCTGCCAGACAGGCCTTAGGTGGGAAGGTCAGAAAATGCAGTGTTGCTTAAACTGAGTGTGCTTCGATGGCCCTGACCCCAGGTCCTCAGCGTTCCTGAGAATGACTTCTTCTTTGACTTTGTTCGACACTTGACAGACTGGATAAAGAAAGCTCGGCCCATCAAGGACGGTAATGAGGCCGGGTCCTGGGATCATCTGAGGCCCAGAGCAGGGAAGTGTGGGCTCGGGGCTGTGCCGTGAGGCCCACCTAGGCGGGCCTGAGTGAGGGCCTCCTCTGGGTCTGGGCTCGGGACGTGAGCACTCCTCTGTGCAGGGACCCTCTGGGTGACCGACTGCCCTGTGCTGCAGGAATTGTGCCCTCACTCACCTACCAGGTGTTCTTCATGAAGAAGCTGTGGACCACCACGGTGCCAGGGAAGGATCCCATGGCCGATTCCATCTTCCACTATTACCAGGTGGGCACCTCTGCACTCTAGTTGCCTTCGTGCACAGCTAGCGTTGCTGTACTTTGGCCCTGAAAGCAGAGACCCACTGACCTTGCCAGGTGTGGGGCCCGTACCAGCCTGGCCTCAAAGGGATTCCTGCCAAGACCACTGGAGCCCCAAGGGATGGCCCAACCCCTGATCCTTGTATCTTCTGATTCTTCAGCCCTTAGGGGCTTGACAGTTCCTCCTCTGAGCTTCCGATCCCTACCTGTTCAGGCCCCTCCTTCAGTGCGGGGCTATCCTCTGACTTCGAGATTCTGCTGTTGTAACTGGGTAATTCCAAGGCCTCTGTGCAAACATTTTCTAGCATAGGCACCTGCAGGAAGCCGGGAGGGAAGCTTGCATGTTGAGCCTCTATTATGTGTCTGGCACTCTTCTCTCATTCTGTCCTCCCAACTAACCCCAAGAAGCAGGCATGTTGTCCCCATTTGACAGAGGGACAAAGAGACTCAGGCCGCGTGCTGTGATTAGGATCACACAGCTGATGGAACTGGGGTTTGATTCCAGGTCTTCATGACTGCAGGTTGGTGCTCTTTTCTGGGCTCAGCCTGCTTACCATTCTGTGGGAGAAAAACCATGATGCTGGGAAGGGCAGAGGAGGCAGGGACGGTGGCTGCTGTGGCAGAGAGGACACTGGCCTGGGAGTGAGAAGGACTGCCCTCATCCAAACCTGGGATCTACCTTTCCTCATGCCCCTCCCCACCCACCCCATGCTGCCCACTGAGTGCATGGCCCCTGGACTACCAGTTCCCCCAGAGTCAGCCTTGACATCTGCTCCTCCTGTCCCACGTCCCAAATCACTTACCTGATGACTGTACCTCCTGGATATCTCTAAAGTCCCCCATGTCTCTCCATCACCACCTTCCCAACCTGGGTCAGTCTACCATCATCTCTGATCCAGAATGGAGGCAGTGACCTTCTCCCTGTTCTCCTCATCCATTTTGGTCCTTTCAATCCTTTCTCCACAGGGTGGTCATCCTGCTTTCCAGATTCCCCCAGTGGATTCCCCTTGCTCGTAGGGCATAACCCCCGTCCTGGCCGTGGCCCTGCCTGGTGGTGCCACTAACTGCTCCTGCTGCCTTGCCTTGTACCTGGCTCTCCTTCAGCTCAGCTGGATTGTTTCCGCTTCTCAAGTGTGCCACAGGGCCTTTGTAATGTTGGGATGCTCTTCCCTCAGTTCCTTCCCTCACCTACTGAGCTTTTAGATGTCAGTCAGCCATTTTATCTTAAAGGAAGTCTGCCCTGTCCTCAAGCCTAGATTAGGTCACCTTGTTATATTCTCTTACAGCACTGTGGACAATTCCTTCAAAGGTTGTCATTATATATCTGTTTGGTATGATTTTTAATGTCTGTCCTTGCCCTGAGACTACAAGTTCCATGGAAGTAGGGAGGGTAGGCATTGTTGCTTAAAGGGCCTGGCTCATAGATGTTCAATGCATGCTTGTTGGATTGACAGATGGGTGAGTAGGTAAACTGGTGGCTCAATGAACATAGAGATGGGAGGATGAATGCTGAGTGAATTGATGGGTGGATATTGGTAAGTGAATTGGTGAGTTAGGTAGGTGAGTGGGTGGATGGGTGGGTAGATGGATGGACAGATAGGGAGATGGATGGAGGTAGATGTGTAGGTAGATAGACCCATAACCACATGGATGGGTGGGTAGGATGGATAATGATTGACTCAGATCTCTGACTGACAATGTATCCTCAGGCCAGCCTCAGTTTCTCTACCTTTCAAATTGTGTATAAGATGACCATAAGGCTCTAGGAGTCTGTGGGCAGCGCCAGCCCTTCAGAGGCTTCATCTCTGCTCTGGGCCCATTCCCCAGCCTAAGTTCCTCTGGTTTTGGGTCTGGAAGTTCAAGGGGGTGGGAGGGCCTCTGCTACTGCTAATGAAAGCAGCTGGTCTCAAGAGAACCCAATGCAAGGAGGCCAGACTGAGAGGCTCTTCCAGAGGAGGATGGGCCCAGGAGGTGAGGGGTATGGAACAGTCTCAGGGTTGCCAGCTGGTCACTCTGAGTTTCTTCATCTTGAAATGGGGCTGCTCATCTCACTGGACTGTTATGGGGGGACATGAGGTAACAGACATGGCCATGCACTCCAACTGCCAACTGCTGAGTCTGTGCAGGCAGACTTGCTCTGTCCCTGTCCTGTGCCGTATCCCCTGGGGGAGCAGTGTCAGCTGAGGCTGGAGAGGTGGGTGGGCCCATGTGCGGGGTAAGGTGGTAGACCCCGGCGTTGGGGGTCTTGGTGTGGTGGGAAAGGAGCCCACTTCTGCCAGGTCCCTGCACGCCTGTGACCTGCTCTGTCTCTGACAGGAGTTGCCCAAGTATCTCCGAGGCTACCACAAGTGCACGCGGGAGGAGGTGCTGCAGCTGGGGGCGCTGATCTACAGGGTCAAGTTCGAGGAGGACAAGTCCTACTTCCCCAGCATCCCCAAGCTGCTGCGGGAGCTGGTGCCCCAGGACCTTATCCGGCAGGTCTCACCTGATGACTGGAAGCGGGTGAGCATGGGGTGGGCATCGGGAATGGTGGGGCCCTGAATGGGCCTCGGGGCACCCCAGGGGCCAAGGGGGCAGACACTGGCCAGCAGCCCAGGGAGGTGCATCTTGTGGTTCTTGTACTTGATGAGGCCGCCCACCCTTGTTCCTCCACCTGCCTTATCCTTCAGTCCTCCATGCCAAGGACTCAGTGGCCACTTGGCAGTCATTTATCCTGTCCTGGTTACCATGGTGACCTGTTTGTCCTTGATACCCTTTGGTCTGCCTGCCTGGGGGTGAGAAGGGAGGTCGGGAGTCCATTAGCTGAAATATGGGGAGAGCCCTTCACAGTCCCCAGGTCTGCTGTCCTAGTCCTGGCCCTGAGGGTGCAGACGGGGCTGGAGTGGGCAGGGGTGGTGTGGGGAGGACTCTGAGCTCTGAGCTGGCCTGCCCTGAGCAGGCCTGTCCCCAGGACTGAGCCCAGCCCTGACCGCCCTGTCCCCATAGTCCATCGTCGCCTACTTCAACAAGCACGCAGGGAAGTCCAAGGAGGAGGCCAAGCTGGCCTTCCTGAAGCTCATCTTCAAGTGGCCCACCTTTGGCTCAGCCTTCTTCGAGGTGAAGGTACACCATGGGCTTCTCAGAGCAGAGGAGGAGGGGAACAGGGCATTGATAAAGCACAGAGACTCCTCCCTAGGACTGTGGGAAAGAGCCATGGCCTTGGACACCTGCCCTGGTGAGGGAAGGAGGGCAGCACCCTCAGCCTTGTCCCAGCTTAGCGTCTTAGCTGGGGTAAGTCCTGGGGACAGAGGGACCAGAAGAAGCTCAGCCTGGCAGTGGAGGCAGACATGTAAACAGGCTGGGGTAATGGAGGATGGCCTGTGTTCTGACACTGGGGAGCCCTCGCCCAGGTGGCAGAGCTCGGGAGGCTCTGCCGGGTGTGAGAAGGCCTCTTAGAGGAGGTGATATCTGAGCTTTCCAGGCAGACCCTGGAAAGAGTGCTCCTGGCAGGGGTCCCACATAGACAAAGGCCTGGAGGTGTGAGAACTCAGGTCTGGGAAGGAAATCCAAGTAGTGAGGGCAGGAGGCGAGAGTGGGCTGTGGAGAGCAGCAGCTTGGCAAGCAGGTGAGAGGCTGGGTTTCCTGCAGGGGTGGCCTGCCTTGGAGGGTTTTGAACACAGGTGACGTGGCCAGAAAGCCTCTCAGGCTGCGGGTGGAGGAGGGGTCTGAGGGGCACAACAGAGGCAGGAGTATGGTGAGGAGGCTGGTGTGAGAGGATACGTATGGTCTTATCACACAGCTAGGATGGGAGGCCTTTTGAGGAGCTTGGCTGTGCGAGGAGAACAGGTAGGTAGCTGGAGGCAGGTGCAGGGTCCAGGAGGCTTTTTAAAGATGGGAGGCCCTTGGGCTGAGAGGGAGGACAAAGCAGAGGATGGCCTGGGGGACCCAGGAAGGGATGTGGGGCAGCACTGAGGGCCCAGCGGAGGTGGAAGCCATAGGTCATGGCAGGGCCGTCAGTACCACATAGGCAACAGGAGAGGCTGACTTTATCCCAGCTGGGGCCAGGCTTCATTCCTGTCCCCAAATGCTTTTCTTGCTCTGGGCCCCCATCTGATGCCTTCTCATCTTTTTTTCTAGCAAACTACGGAGCCAAACTTCCCTGAGATCCTCCTAATTGCCATCAACAAGTATGGGGTCAGCCTCATCGATCCCAAAACGAAGGTGAGCAGGGATAAGGCAGCAAGTGGGGGCGGGCTTCTCTGCCTGAACCACAGACACGGTCCCAGAACGAACCCCACAAGCCCTCCTAGCCACCATCTATCTCTAGACTCATCCACCCATCACGTGGCTTCAAAAGCTGTCAGCGTTTGCTAGGACTTTACCCAACGCTTGCTCCACCAAAATTGCTCTCCTGAAGTTACTAACAAACTCCTTCCTATGGAATGTGAACTCCCTTTAGTACTTGGCCTTTCAGTATCACTGGATGCTCTGCCCATGCAGGTCATGGGGCTGGCTGTGCAGGGGTGACCGTGCATCTGTGTTTCTGGGCCAGAGCAGCCCAGCTGCACACCCAGAGGGTCCGACTGGACAGGTGGTGAAGAGGGCTCGTGACCACCATCTTTCCATTGGCTTCATGCATCACGCATTCCTGGCTGTCCTCTGTGTCTTGGTCATTCCTTCCCGGACCCTTTGGTGCCTGCTCCTGTACACCGTGTTTCCCAAGGTTCTGCCCTGTCTTCTTCTTGGCTCCCTCCTCAAACTCTCCCTGGACCATCTCATTCAGGCCACGGTGTCAGTTCCCTCAGGTCTCCCAATTTCCGAGTTCTGGCCCCAAGTACCCAACAGCCTCCTAGACTTCCTGGGTGTCCAAACCAAGGTGTGGAGGGGGAGGCACCTGCTTCCCACCGCAGCTGGATGGCAGAGCTGGCTTTTCCCTCCGGCCATGGGCTCCTCTGAGGGCCTGAGGCCTTCTGTGAGGGCATGTGTGGGCAAGTGAGGCCACAGGGCCCAGGCCGTGCCTCTCTATGCCCTTTCTGCTCCCCCAGGATATCCTCACCACTCATCCCTTCACCAAGATCTCCAACTGGAGCAGCGGCAACACCTACTTCCACATCACCATTGGGAACTTGGTGCGCGGGAGCAAACTGCTCTGCGAGACGTCACTGGTGAGGGCGCATCCTGCTGGGCCTAGTGGGCTCCCTGCCTTGCCTGCAGCGTAGCCAGCCTCCCAGGGCCTGGAACAAACACAGTAGTGTGCGGCTGGGCCTGGGGTCGTGGGCAAGGGTCATGCTGGGGCCAAGGTCAGGTCAGTTTGAGGCTCAGCTTAGGTCTGGGGAAGGGACTTAATCTGGGGCTGAGGAACAGATCCCTCGTTCAACAACTGTTGTCTGAGTGCCTTCAGTATCTGGGGATCGGGCCCACTGTGACAGCCCTTTAGCCCCCCGAGTTCAACAGTGGAACCATTAACAATGAGACCTCCTTGACCAAGCTCAAACTTCCAAGGCATAGCTCAACTGAGAGCCAGTAGGGTCACTCTTGGAGGGAGGGATCCGTGACTTGAGGGACCCACAAGCTAGGGGCTTAATGTGGGGTCATAACAGTGTAGAACCTTAGCCATCTGGCTGGATGAATTCAACCCTTCAATTGTGCAGATGGGAGATAAGCCCTGAGTAGGAGGGATTTGCCTTTGTCCTGGGTTCTGCCCATTGCAGATTCCTGGGAGCTGTGCTATGGTCTGAGTGGCTGGCCCTGTCCCACCGTGTGCTCGCTTATCTTCTCACCCCTGCTTCCAGGGCTACAAGATGGATGACCTCCTGACTTCCTACATTAGCCAGATGCTCACAGCCATGAGCAAACAGCGGGGCTCCAGGAGCGGCAAGTGAACAGTCACGGGGAGGTGCTGGTTCCATGCCTGCTCTCGAGGCAGCAGTGGGTTCAGGCCCATCAGCTACCCCTGCAGCTGGGGAAGACTTATGCCATCCCGGCAGCGAGGCTGGGCTGGCCAGCCACCACTGACTATACCAACTGGGCCTCTGATGTTCTTCCAGTGAGGCATCTCTCTGGGATGCAGAACTTCCCTCCATCCACCCCTCTGGCACCTGGGTTGGTCTAATCCTAGTTTGCTGTGGCCTTCCCGGTTGTGAGAGCCTGTGATCCTTAGATGTGTCTCCTGTTTCAGACCAGCCCCACCATGCAACTTCCTTTGACTTTCTGTGTACCACTGGGATAGAGGAATCAAGAGGACAATCTAGCTCTCCATACTTTGAACAACCAAATGTGCATTGAATACTCTGAAACCGAAGGGACTGGATCTGCAGGTGGGATGAGGGAGACAGACCACTTTTCTATATTGCAGTGTGAATGCTGGGCCCCTGCTCAAGTCTACCCTGATCACCTCAGGGCATAAAGCATGTTTCATTCTCTGGCCCGACAGTGTCTTTGCTCAGGGAGGGGAAGTGGAAGGGAAGGGCATGTGGGGTCAGGACAGGGCCTTGCAGGGGAGCAGCCTATATAACGACTTCTTTGGTCTTAACCTGCTGGGGCCAAGCTGGTCTGGGTTTGGGGGTTGGGGAGCTTGAGCTCAAGATGTGCCTTAAGTGGCTTAAAGGGAAGAGCTGAGATTGGGGTGGGTTGGGAGGAAGTGCTGGACATCAGGCTGGGAGGTGAGGACCAAGTGTGCATGAGCAGCTGGGGGTCTAGAGGAGGAATCAGCTTCTGGGCTGTAACTAGGGCCAGTGGAGCCACAGCGGCCCTTGCACCTGCCAGAAACACCTTGGCTCATCAAGACATGTCCAAGAACCCCAAGAACAATGCTGCCTTGGGTTAAATCTTCATGTCCAGTGGGTGCCAGTAAAATGTTACTTTGTGACCAGCATGGGACAACCAGGTTTGGCCATGACTGGAGTAGGGCTGCGGGTGGGGGTTTCAGACAGGGAAGGTGTGACTTAGAGGTGGGGCATCCTCAGACTGTGGCTGGGATGAGCACCTAGAGAAGTGATTGATTGATTGATTGATAGTGGAGAATCCCCTTGTGGGGAGGGTTTGTGATCTGCCCTCGAGGTCCCATACTTCAGCAGAGCCAGGTCCTGCTTCTTTTCATACACTACAGTGTCTGGGTCATCAGCATCTGTGTGTCTGTCTACCCCACAAGGAGTGCTATTCCTGATCTCCTTAGCTGTTTGTTAGTGTAGGACTGGCTGGTGTGTGTAAATGGAGGCCTCAAACCAGAGAGCCCTGCTTTCTGGGATGGTAACGTGGCTGTTGGAGGACACAGCTCCACAGGTAGCCCAGGAGAAATCTGAGCCGGAAGGAAGGTGCTGTGGTAGTCTGCCTTATACCACCATCATAAAGAAGAGGAGGCTCAGGTCCAGAAAGGATGTGTAAGTAAGTGGGAAGAGCTCAACTCACTGCTTCTAACTTTGCGCTGCCAGACAGAAGGGGCTCCAGATACTTGTTCTAAGCTCTGGTTTCCCCTCAAGGCCAAAAGCTCTTGAATGTGCATGGATTGTGCCCACCCTCTTACTGGGGAATCAGCAAACCACAAGCTATCAGGAAGTAGCCCACTGCACCATAGAGCAGTTAACGTGGGGTGGGGATGAGATCTTTTTCCCTGACCCATGCCCCTCTCATTCTGTGGCCCAGAGAATGAGATCACTCAGATGGCATCACTATTGCCCCCATCCCCCAGCCTTCATCACCCTGGTTGATCACGAGGGGTCCAAAGAATAGACCACTACCTCTGGCTTCCTGAGAGGTTGCCTTTACTTATATGCACAGTCACTCCTTTAGCAGAAAATATTATGGAGGTGTTAGGATGAGATAAACCTGACAGCAACCAGTTCCAAGACCACACACAGCAGTTTTCCCCTTGCCTAGCCCCTTGAGATGCATTCTTGATAGCGAGAGCACAATGGTTCCCCTGAGAGCCTCCGTGGCCCTTCTGTGTGCCTTTATCAACCACTCCCCACCATCACCACCCTTAGGCAGAGAGAGGAAGAAGCAGGGGAGATGTGGCTAATTCTTCTTTGGAAACACAGAAGGCTATGTCAGATGCAATGGAATATATTGTGACATAGGATTATTTGGAGTATTCAGCCATGGGGATCTCTTAGAGGTCTCTTATTTAAGGATAGGGGACCTCTATGGAGGGCATGGTTGGCTTATCCACCTTCAGGGTGGGCAATGTAGTTTGAAAGGTAGCCTCACTTGTAGCCTGCCTGGTGGGTGCTTGGGTGAGTTCAAAGACCACGGTGGGCATCGGTGGTTGAATCTCATGCTTGCCAGGCTTCAAAGGTGTGACAGCATTCTTGATAGGTAGTAGTTTCTTGGATGGTGCTGCAAAATTGAAATGGCCTTGGTGTTCCTTTCCACTCTTGGGTAGAGCCGGGTAGAGGGCTGCTAGAGTCCAAGGACCTTCCACAACTCGGACAGGAGGTTTCATGGCTATGTGCAAATCTATCTATCTATCTATCTTCCTCATTCTTACTTCCACTCTGAGTATCTGTGGGATGGAAAAGACACAGATTCCTCAAATGTCACTTCTCCACTCTCTGTCAGTCATGTGTGAAATTCAAGTTATCTCTTAAATGTTAGCCACTCCCTTACCCTTTCAGGTTCTTTCCTCCAAGCTCTCCCCTCTACCTCAGGCTTTGTGCAAACTTTATTATGGCCCTCCAATTCAGCCTGGGGCTGGGGCTTAAGAGTCTACTACTGCATGAGGCTCTAGCTCACCATGGAAGTCCTCAGAAAGCAGAGACTGACATTTGCTTAAAGTTCATGTATTCCATAGCCATTAAATTAGTTTAGAAAAATGAGGGCTTCCCTCAATTAAAATGAGGGCTTTTTAAAGGGCAGAGACTTTGTCTTGTTTGCCACTACATATACAGTGCTCAGAAGTGTTTGTCACACAGTAAATGCTCAATAAACAATTTCTGTCCAACAGAAAAAAAAATTAGATGGTAGATACTTCTAATAATGGAGCTAGGAGATCAAGACCAATCCTTCTACCAAAGACAAATTAAAAACTGGATGATATACAAAAACAAGAAAACATCTTAAAATTATCTATGCGTTTACAATATACAGAGAAATTGCATGGCCAAAATCTAGAAGAGTGTGAGAATCTAAAGCCCAGAACTCAGGTTTTGTTTTCTGCTTAGATTTACCTTTTATTTTTATTAATTAATTTTTAAAAGTTTTTTAGTTGTTATAAATATTCAAAGCTTTTTTTTTAACCTGAGTGTAATTCGATCTGGAAGAAACAGCTACAAACATGAGCTTCCATTTTTTTTTTTGTCAGCTTTATAGGAGAAAGGGAATTTTTATTGGATTTGAATGGAATTTTTAGATCAATTCCATGACAATATCTTTATAACTTTTCTAATTCATGAACATGATTGCTCCATTTATTTGGGCATTCTTTCTCTCACTAAAGTTTTGTAGTTTTTAGTGATCAATCATATGCCTTCCCTTGTGAAGGCTTTTTTGATTAAAGTCTATTTTTTCTGATATATTTTTCTGATCTAAGGGATATATACCAGAGGCTGTGAATCTTTGGGGTTATCATAGGATAGTTACCGCTCTTTTATTATTATACTTTAAGTTCTAGGGTACATGTGCACAATGTGCAGGTTTGTTACATATGTATACATGTGCCATGTTGGTTTGCTGCACCCATCAACTCGTCATTTACATTAGGTATTTCTCCTAATGCTATCCCTCCCCCATACCCCCACCCCACGACAGGCTGTGGTGTGTGATGTTCCCTGCCCTGTATGCAAGTGTTCTCATTGTTCAATTCCCTCCTATGAGTGAGAACATGCGGTGTTTGGTTTTCTGTCCTTGTGATGGTTTGCTCAGAATGACGGTTTCCAGCTTCATCCATGTCCCTACAAAGGACATGAACTCATCCTTTTTTGTGGCTGCATAATATTCCATGGTGTATATGTGCTACATTTTCTTAATCCAGTCTATCACTGATGGACATTTGGGTTGGTTCCAAGTCTTTGCTATTGTGAATAGTGCCGCAATAAACAATACGTGTGCATGTGTCTTTATGGTAACATGATTTATAATCCTTTGGGTATATACCCAGTAATGGGATCACTGGGTCAAATGGTATTTCTAGTTCTAGATCCTCGAGGAATCGCCACACTGTCTTCCACAATGGTTGAACTAGTTTACACTCCTACCAACAGTGTAAAAGTGTTCCTATTTCTCCACATCCTCTCCAGCACCTGTTGTTTCCTGACTTTTTAATGATTGCCATTCTAACTGGTGTGAGATGGTATCTCATTGTGGTTTTGTTTTGCATTTCTCACATGATCAGTGACGATGAGCATTTTTTCATGTGTCTGTTGGCTGCATAAAGGTCTTCTTTTGAGAAGTGTCTGTTCATATCCTTTGCCCACTTTCTGATGGGGTTGTTCTTGTAAATTTGTTTAAGTTCTTTGTAGATTCCAGGTATTAGCCCTTTGTTAGATGGGTAGATTGCAAAAATTTTCTCCCATTCTGTAGGTTACCTGTTCACTCCGATGGCAGTTTGTTTTGCTGTGCAGAAGCTCTTTAATTAGATCCCATTTGTCTATTTTGGCTTTTGTTGCCATTGCTTTTGGTGTTTTAGTCATGAAGTCCTTGCCCATGCCTATGTCCTGAATGGTATTGCCTAGGTTTTCTTCTAGGGTTTTTATGGTTTTAGGTCTAACATTTAAGCCTTTACTCCATCTTGAATTAATTTTTGTATAAGGAGTAAGGAAGAGATCCAGTTTCAGCTTTCTACATATGGCTAGCCAGTTTTCCCAGCACCATTTATTAAATAGGGAATCCTTTCCCCATTTCTTGTTTTTGTCAGGTTTGTCAAAGATCAGATGGTTATAGATGTGTGGTGTTATATTCTGAGGGCTCTGTTCTGTTCCATTGGTCTATATCTCTGTTTTGGTACCAGTACCATGCTGTTTTGGTTACTGTAGCCTTGTAGTATAGTTTGAAGTCAGGTAGCTTGATGCCTCCAGCTTTGTTCTTTTTGCTTAGGATTGTCTTGGCAATGCCTTGTAAGTTGGATTCCTAGGTATTTTATTCTCTTTGGAGCAACTGTGAATGGGAGTTCACTCATGATTTGGCTGTTTGTCTGTTATTGGTGTATAGGAATGCTTGTGAGTTTTGCACATTGATTTTGTATCCTGAGATTTTGCTGAAGTTGCTTATCAGCTTAAGGAGATTTTGGGCTGAGACTATGGGGTGATTTTGTATCCTGAGACTTTGCAGAAGTTGCTGATCAGCTTAAGGAGACTTTGGGCTGAGACGATGGGGTTTTCTAAATATACAATCATGTCATCTGCAAACAGGGACAATTTGACTTCCTCTCTTCCTAATTGAATACCCTTTATTTCTTTCTCTTGCCTGATTGCCCTGGCCAGAACTTCCAACACTATGTTGAATAGGAGTGGTGAGAAAGGGCATCCCTGTCTTGTGCCAGTTTTCAAAGGGAATGCTTCCAGTTTTTACCCATTCAGTATATTGGCTGTTGGTTTGTCATAAATAGCTCTTATTATTTTGAGATATGTCCCATCAATAGCTAGTTTATTGAGAGTTTTTAGCATGAAGGGCTGTTGAATGTTGTCAAAGGCCTTTTCTGCATCTATTGAGATAATCACGTGGTTTTTGTCATTGATTCTGTTTATGTGATGGATTACATTTATTGATTTGCATATGTTGAACCAGCCTTGCATCCCAGGGATGAAGCCAACTTGATCTTGGTAGATTAGCTTTTTGATGTGCTGCTGGATTCGGTTTGCCAGTATTTTATTGAGGATTTTCACATCAATGTTCATCAGGGATATTGGTCTAAAATTCTCTTTTTTTGTTGTGTCTCTGCCAGGCTTTGGTATCAGGATGATGCTGGCCTCATAAAATGAGTGAGGGAGGATTCCCTCTTTTTCTATTGATTGGAATAGTTTCAGAAGAAATAGTACCAGCTCCTCTTTGTATCTCTGGTAGAATTCAGCTGTGAATCCGTCTGGTCCTGGACTTTTTTTGGTTGGTAGGCTCTTAATTATTGCCTCAATTTCAGACCCTGTTATTGGTCTATTCAGGGATTCAACTTCTGAATTCGGGTGGGTAACCCGACCTTTCTCACTTTAGTTTTGGGAGGGTGATCTTTGCTGGTTTAGTCGTGGGAGGGTGTCCAGGAATTTATCCATTTCTTCTAGATTTTCTAGTTTATTTGCGTGGAGAGTTTATAGTATTCTCTGATGGTAGTTTGTATTTCTGTGGGATCAGTGGTGATATCCCCTTTAGCATTTTTTTATTGCATCTAATTGATTCTTCTCTATTATTCTTGCTAGTGGTCTATCAATTTTATCTTTTCAAAAAACCAGCTCCTGGATTGATTTTTTTGAAGGGTTTTTTTGTGTCTCTATCTCCTTCAGTTCTGCTCTGATCTTAGTTATTTCTTGCCTTCTGCTATTAAATTTGTTTGCTCTTGCTTCTCTAGTGCTTTTAATTGTGATGTTACAGTGTCAATTTTAGATCTTTCCTGCTTTCCCTTGTGGGCACCTAGTGCGATAAATTTCCCTCTACACACTGCTTTACATGTGTCCCAGAGATTCTGGTATGTTATGTCTTTTTTCTCATTGGTTTCAAAGACCATCTTTATTTCTGCCTTCATTTCGTTATGTACCCAGTAGTCATTCAGGAGCAGGTTGTTCAGTTTCCATGTAGTTGAGAGGTTTTGAGTGAGTTTCTTAATCCTGAGATCTAATTTGATTGCACTGTGGTCTGAGAGACAGTTTGTTGTGATTTCTGTTCTTTTACATTTGCTGAGGAGTGCTTTACTTCCAACTATGTGGTCAGTTTTGGAATGAGTGCAATGTGGTGCTGAGAAGAATGTATATTCTGTTGATTTGGGGTGGACAGTTCTGTAGCTGTCTATTAGGTCCGCTGGGTGCAGAGCTGAGTTTAAGTCCTGGATATCCTTGTTAACCTTCTGTCTCGTTGATCTGTCTAATATTGACAGTGGGGTGTTAAAGTCTCCCATTATTATTGTGTTGGAGTCTAAGTCTCTTTGTAGGTCACTAAGGACTTGCTTTATGAATCTGGGTGCTCCTGTATTGGGTGCATATATATTTAGGATAGTTAGCTCTTGTTGAATTGATCCCTTTACCATTATGTAATGGCCTTGTCTCTTTTGATCTTTGTTGGTTTAAAGTCTGTTTTATCAGAGACTAGGATTGCAACCCCTGCTTTTTTGCTTTCCATTTGCTTGGTAGATCTTCCTCCCTCCCTTTATTTTGAGCCTATGTGTGTGTCTGCACTTGAGATGGGGCTCCTGAATACAGCACACTGATGGGTCTTGACTCTATCCAATTTGCCAGTCTGTGTCTTTTAATTGGGGCATTTAGCCCATTTACATTTAAGGTTAATATTCTTATCTGTGAATTTAATGCTGTCATTATGATGTTAGCTGGTTATTTTGCTTGTTAGTTGATGCAGTTTCTTCCTAGCTTTGACGGTCTTTACAGTTTGGCATGTTTTTGCAGTGGCTGGTACTGGTTGTTCCTTTCCATGTTTAGTGCTTCCTTCAGGAGCTCTTTTAGGGCAGGCCTGGTGGTGACAAAATCTCTCAGCATTTGCTTGTCTGTAAAGGATGTGATTTATTTCTCTTTCACTTATGAAGCTTAGTTTGGCTGGATATGAAATTCTGGGTTGAAAATTCTTTTCTTTTCTTTAAGAATGTTGAATATTGGCCCCCACTCTCTTCTGGCTTGTAAAGTTTCTGCTGAGAGATCCGCTGTTAGTCTGATGGGCTTCCCTTTGTGGGTAACCCGACCTTTCTCTCTGGCTGCCCTTAACATTTTTTCCTTCATTTCAACCTTTGTGAATCTGACAATTATGTGTCCTGGGGTTGCTCTTCTTGAGGAGTACCTTTGTGGTGGTCTCTGTATTTCCTGAATTTGAATGTTGGCCTGCCTTGCTAGGTTGGGGATGTTCTCCTGGATAATATCCTGAAGAGTGTTTTCTAACTTGGTTCCATTCTCCCCGTCACTTTCAGGTACACCAATCAAATGTAGATTTGGTCTTTTCACGTAGTCCCATATTTCTTGGAGGCTTTGTTCATTTCTTTTTACTCTACTTCTCTTCTCACTTCATTTCATTAATTTGATCTTCAATCACTGATACCCTTTCTTCCACTTGATCAAATCAGCTACTGAAGCTTGTGCATGTGTCACGTAGTTCTCATGCCATGGTTTTCAGCTCCATCAGGTCATTTAAGGTCTTCTCTACACTGTTTATTCTAGTTAGCCATTCGTCTTTTTTGAAGGTTTTTAGCTTCCTTGCAATGGGTTCGAACATCCTCCTTTCGCTTGGAGAAGTTTGTTATTACCGACCTTCTGAAGCCTACTTCTGTCAGCTTGTCAAAGTCATTCTCCATCCAGCTTTGTTCTGTTGCTGGCAAGGAGCTGCAATCCTTTGGAGGAGAAGAGGCAGTCTGGTTTCTCCCCATCTTTGTGGTTTTATCTACCCTTGGTCTTTGATGATGGTGATCTACAGATGGGGTTTTGGTTATGGATGTCCTTTCTGTTGATGCTATTCCTTTCTGTTTGTTAGTTTTCCTTCTAACAAACAGTCAGGTCCCTCAGCTGCAGGTCTATTGGGGGAGTTTGCTGGAGGTCCACTCCAGACCCTGTTTGCCTGGGTATCACCAGCAGAGGCTGCAGAACAGCAAATATTGCTGCCTGATTCTTACTCTGGAAGCTTTGTCTCAGAGGGGCACCTGGCTGTATGACCTGTCAGTCGGCCTCTACTGGGCGGTGTCTCCCAGTTAGGATACACGGGGGTCAGGGACCCACTTGAGGAAGCAGTCTGTCTGTTCTCAGAGCTCAAACACTGTGCTGAGAGAACCACTACTCTCTTCAGAGCTGTCAGACAGGGACGTTTTAGTCTGCAGAAGTTTCTGCTGCCTTTTGTTCAGCTATGCCCTGCCCCCAGAGGTGGAGTCTACAGAGGCAGGGGCCTCCTTGAGCTCCGGTGGGCTCCACCTAATTTGAGCGTCCTGGCTGCTTTGTTTACCTACTCAAGCCTCAGCAATGGCAGACACCCCTCCCCTAGCCAGGCTGTGGCCTTGCAGTTCCATCTGGACTGCTGCGCTAGTGGTGAGCAAGGCTCTGTGGGCGTGGGACCTGCTGAACCAGGCAGGGATATAATCTCCTGGCATGCTGTTTGCTAAGACCGTTGGAAAAGTGCAGTATTAAGGCTGGCGTGTCTCGATTTTCCTGGTACAGTCTGTCACGGCTTCCCTTGACTAAGAAAGGGAAATCCCCCGACCCCTTGCATTTCCCAGGTGAGGTGATGTCCTGCCCTGCTTCTGCTTGCCCTCCCTGGGCTGCACCCACTGTCCAACCAGTCCCAGTGAGATGAACCAGGTACCTCAGTTGGAAATGCAGAAATCACCCGTCTTCTGCGTCAATCACGCTGGGAGCTGCAGACCGGAGCTGTTTCTATTCAGTCATCTTGGAACAGACCTCAGGATAGTTACCTCTCTTGATTAGGTTATGCTATATGACAAAGGTTCTGGGATAATTACTCCAATGATTTACATTACATTACATTACATAGACTTCATCATAGATTACACAGACTTCATCATAGCAGACTGGAGAGATATTCTGTTGTTGGCTTTGAAGAAGTAAGCTGCCATGTTGTGAGGACCATGTGGATAGGACTTGAGGGTCACCTCTAGGAGCTCAGACCAAAACCCTGCTAACAGCCATTGAGAAAACAGAGATGACTTCACTTCTACAACTATGAGGAACTTTTAATTCTGCTAACAAGCAGTGAGCCTGGAAGAGGACCACAAACCTCAAATAAGATTGTAGCCCCAATTGATACCCTGTAAAGAGTAAGTAAAGGAACTGTCTAACCCATGTCTGTGAGATAATACATTTGTATAGTGTTAAGCTGCTAGGTTTGGAGTAATTTTTTAAAATACGGCAATAAAAAACTAATATAGGCTGGGCAGGGTAGCTCACATCTGTAATTCCAGTGCTTTAGGAGGCCAAGGCAAGCCGACTGCTTGAGGTCAGGAGTTTGAGATCAGCCTGGGCAACATAGTGAGATGCCATCTCTACCTTTTTTTTTTTTTAATTAGCCAGTCATAATGGTTTGTGCCTGTGGTCCCAGATACTAGGGAGGCTAAGGCAGGAGGATTGTTTGAGCCCAGGAGTTCAAGGTTGCAGTGAACCATGATCATGCCACTATACTCCAGACTTGGGCGAAAGAGTGAGACCTTGCCTCTAAACAAGCAAAACAAAAAACTAGTAAACACAGCAATAGAATCTATCCAAAAATAAAGGAAATTAATTAAATATTTTAAATGACTACTCAGAAGACTGAGGCAGGAGAATCGCTTGAAACTGGGAGGTGGAGGCTGCAGTGAGCTGAGATCATGCCACTGCACTCCAGCCTGGGCAACAGAGCAAGACTCTGTCTCAAAAAAAAAAAAAAAGTCTCAGTAACCTATGGGATAATATACTAACAAACAGCTGTGTAACTGGAATCCCAGAAAGCAGTGGTGGAGCAGAGGCAGAAAAATATTTGAAGAAATAAAGACTAAAATTATGTCCAATTTGATGAAAATTATACTCTGACAGATCTAAGAATTTCAGCAAACCCTAATCAAGATAGTCTCTCTCTCCCTCTCACATGCACGCACACGCACGAAGTTAAGCCATAATCAAACTACTAAAAACCAATAATAAAAGGAATAATCTTAAAATGTAGCCAGAGGAAAAAAGACACGTTACAAACAGAAGAACAGGGGTAAGAAAACTGAAACTTTACATAAGAAACTACATACGACAGAAGACAACAAAATTGACTTAAATTGCTGAAAAATACCCCCTCACACTAGAGAGAGGCCTTCTGGTGGTAGACATGGCATCAGTAGGTGCAGCAGTACGTGCCCATCCTGGAGGTGGCATGGGGCAACACATGGCACTCCGTATTTAGCAAATGAGGCTCCATTCTCCTCAACTTTAATGGATCTGGGCTGTGGTTATGGCTGAGGTCCTGACTTCTGTCTAGTCTTCCTTGTTCCTTCCCTGATTCTAAACTTGGTCCTGCACCTTCTAGATATCTCTTTGAGGTACCCAAATAGCTTTCCAATGCCTTTTCTTTCTGCTTAGATCAAGAAAAACTGGTTTCTCTAATAGGCAACCTAAGAGCTCTTAAAAACAGAAAATCCTTCATTTATTTTCTACTCACCTTTTCTCATCACCATTTTAGCATAGTAGTGGGTAGGGTCAAGTTAACTGTTACTTTTTCTAAGCCACCTCTTTTATCTAGGTTTATATAGTTCTTCAATTTTACTTTCAAAACTTCTTTCCCAGCCATGTTTCCTCCTCATCTCCATGTTCTATCACTGCTTGGCTGGATTATTGTTATGGGCTGAATTATGTCCCCCCAACTCCAATTTCATATGTCAGAGTCCTAACCCTCAGTGTGACTGTATTTGGAGACAGGGCACTTCAGGAGTAATTAAGGTTAAATGAAGCCATAAGGGTGGGGCCCTAATCCAACAGGACTGGTGCCCTTATGAGAAGAGGAAGAGAGACCCGAGATCCCACTCTCCCAAGCACACACACAGAAAAGGCCATGTGAACACACAGTGAGAAGGCAGCTGCATTCAAGCTAAGAAGACAGTGCTCACTAGGGCTCCTCACCAAATTTGCCAGCACCTTGATCTGGGATTTCTAGCCTCCAGAACTGTGAGAAAATAAATTTCTGTTGTTCAAGCCACCCAGTCTATGGTATTTTGTTATGGCAGCCCTAGCTTACTAAGGAACAACTACTGATATAATCATAAACTAGCTGCAATCGTCAGTTAGCTTCAGACTTTGTAACGTAGCCAGTAGAGTGATCTTAAATTCCATGTAATTTGTAACTCAAGTAACCATGTAACTTGAGGTCGCCCTGCCTCAGACCTGGGTAAACTTGGCTTAAACCTCCAGTTTCACAGCATATGAAAGACCATTGCCTTCTATTTAATTTATTCAAATTTCTAAACTTAGTTTTTCATGATCCCTGTGGATTCATTCCTGCAACCCTAAGTGTTGTATCAGTTCCACTCATCTGCCAGCTGGTACATGGAATATCAGGAGCTTCACCATTGTCCATAAGAAATTAAATTAAATTCATGATTTTGTGACTGTTCCAACTTTAATTAAGTCTCCAGGAGTTGCGGAAGGAAATTATATCCCACACCGCGCAGTCTTCTGCCTCCTAATTGGTTTCCCTTTGACACTGCATTGGCTTCCAAAACTTACTGTGTGATCATCCTCACAACCCTCAAAGAAACTCTAGCATCCCTTCCCCTTACTAAGCCTAATTCACTTCCTCAGCCCTTTACACAGAAATCTAACCATGTCGCTTCCTTGTGTGAATGAAAGCGATAATGCCATCTCCTAACTGCCAATATGCAGTGACTTGACTCTGGTTTAGCAATTCCAGGACCGCTGAAGTTTTCTTCCTCTAGCCTCCAACATATATCACCCACAAATGATACCCATAAAGCACCTTCCCCCTAATGGGCATGGCAGCTACTCTGTCCTGGACCTAGATGCCTGGCCCAGTGATGTCAATGCTATACTTTTGCCTTCTTCCTCACTGCTCTTTAAGGACCAGCCCCTCCCCTCTCTCAGGCCACCCTCCAGAGACATCTTTCGGTTATCTTCAGCCCCTCTCTAAGTGCCTTGCACAAAGTGTGGACTCAGTGGCTGTATGATACATGAATATATGAAGAAGTAAACACCCATGCTTGAAATCTTCCAAGGGGCCTCACTGCTTAGAGGATGAAATCTAAAATCTGAAGCCTGATGTACAGAGTCCTCCAGAATCTATGCCCAGCCTATACTTCCCCTGGTCCCTCCCCCAACCCCACCCCCAACTTTCCAGACACCCTCAGCTCTTGTCAGGGACATGAAAAGCTGCCTCTGTCTCCTGGAAGCAATGGGTAGGGATGAAGAGACAGGAGTGGGCTAGGCCTCTGACTTTACCTGTGCGAGTGCTGGAGGTTTCAAACAATTTTTCTTTTTCAGTCTCTCTCCGCCTAGAAGGAAGCAGACCATCCATGAAATGAAGGGGTCTAAAGAATCATGGTCTCTTCTAACGTTCCTCCTCCAGGATCTTCTTCCCCCTTCCATCTTGAAACTTACAATCCTATAGCATTTGCCTGCAAGGATTCCCAAATGTCATTTTCTTCTACAGATAAAAAGATTATGGGCGAGGCACGGTGGCTCACACCTGTAATGCCAGCACTTTGGGAGGCTGAGGCAGGCGGATCACCTGAGGCGGGGCCAACATGGTGAAACCCCATCTCTACTAAAAATACAAAAATTAGCCAGGCATGGGCCAGGCAGGGTGGCTCACCCCTGTAATCCCGGCACTTTGGGAGGCCGAGGCGGGCAGATCACAAGGTCAGGAGTTCAAGACCAGCCTGACCAATATGGTGAAACCCCACCTCTACTAAAAATATTTTTAAAAAAAATTAGCTGGGCATGGTGGTGCCTGTAGTTCCAGCTACTCGGGAGGCTGAGGCAGGAGAATCGCTTGAACCCAGGAGGCGGAGGTTGCAGTGAGCCGAGATCGTGACACTATACTCCAGCCTGGGTGACAGAGCAAGACTCCGTCTCAAAAAAAAAAAAAAAAAAAAAAAAAAAAATTAGCCAGGCACAGTGGCAGGCACCTGTAATCCCAGCTACTCGGGAGGCTGAGGCAGGAGAATCACTTGAACCCAGGAGGTGGAGGCTGCAGTGAGCCGAGATCATGCCACTGCATGCCACCGCACTCCAGCCTGGGCAATAGACTGAGACCCCATCTCAAAAAAACGAACAAAAAAAATATTATGGCCCAGAAAGAAGCAGTTGTTTTCCCAGGGTCACCTAGCAACTAAGGGACAAAGCCAGAGCTAAAACCCAGTCTTCCTGGTTTATGAACTTGCTCTTTGCACACTGCTATGCCATTTCATGGAAGATGGGAAGGTGGAGGCACTTGTTCTGGACAATATTCAAGCCCTGTCATCTTTCAACTGCTCCACATTGAATCCATAGTAATAGGCTTGACTAAGCTTTAGTGACAGTCCCTATCCTGAAAATATTGTCTTATTTGGGGGAGGTCAAAGGGGTGTGAGGAACTGCAGACTACATGAGAAGAGAGATTCAGATTATAAACGCCATCTTGCCATGTGGGATTACGGGAAGAGCGTAACTCTTATTTTTCTCAATTTCCTATAATAATCCATTTATTTTGGAAAAAATTCATTTAAAATTATATATATACTTACCAGTGAAAACAAAATATGGCAACAATAAAAAGCACAGAAATGATATCTGCAAGGAGCCACATGAACACATAGAACTTTGGTGTCTGAAAAACATAAACCACAGTGAAAGAACTTTACAGTTAGAAGGGATTTTGGATCATACGGTCTAAGTCCCTTGCTCTGCTGCCAGGGCTGGAGGAGGAGAGGAAGAGGGGATAGACAGGCCAAGGAACCTTGATTGATGTGGCATTCTCAAACACAGACAGTCCCTGCAAGTGTCCTAACAGTCACCCTTATACATGCAGGGGGCTCTAGAGGGAATAGAACACTTCACACCTTTCATCTCACCTTTCATCTCCCAAGACAGAGGGCAGAGGGGGTCCCAGAGAAGTCACACAACAAGTCTATTCTGGACCCAAGACCACAGTCCAGGTTCTTGACTTCTACTGCTGTTTTCAAGGCATGGCTTCTCAAACCTGGCTGTGCAGCCAAGTCTCCCGGGGCAGCTTTTAGTAATACAGGTTTCTGGGTCTCACTAGACACCTAAGGAATGAGAATCTCTGCATTTTTAACACATTCCCAGGTGATGCTGAAGCCATGTGTCTGTAAGCCAGCATTTGGGAACCATTGTTCTAAAGTATCACACTTTAATTAAGAATGCTGAAGTACAATTACCCCTTACCTACATGCTCCTCTTCTATGCTCCTTGCCCAAATCATCTATTTCCCAGAGCTCTGTCTTCTGGGTCCTCTCATTGAGTTTGATGCTCCCTTTCCACCTCAATTGTGCCCTCTCTAATTCCACTTGATGCTAATAGGGCTGGCACATTTTATCCTTTCTCAGACCACTCTCCACCCTATCCCAAGGTCTTTCCTTGAGCTGAATAATAAAATTAATAACACTAATGATCATAATTAACAATAAGCAATTAACAGGAGCCAGGCAGGTATTCTAAGCACTTCAGGGGTATTTACAGATTTAAGCCTCATAATAGCCCTACTAGTAGAAAATCTTAACCAACTTCCACTGAACTGAGGCTCTTAATCCCCTCTGGGAAAAATATTGACTGAGGGCTGCTGTAGTTGGCTGATTGCTCCAAGAGGCCTACCAGATAAGCAGAATGTTCACAAAGAATCAGTTATCCTTGTTTCCCAAATGGCTTAAGTCAACTGTACTTGTTATTGTAATAGTGCAATGTAATTAGATGCTGCTTAAATTTGTGAGATCTGAGTGAAAAAAGTATGTCATTTTCAAAGAAACTAAGTCAAATGCTTTGAAAAACTCAATGAGGACAAAATAGATCATTAAAGAATAGACAGCAATTAGATTAGGTGTAGGTGAAACACTACAAGGGTTTGAGGGATTATAAAGATCTAGGTAGATTGCTCATTCAGATTGATTGTCCTAATGACTTTAAGTTCCTGTTCTGCTTAAAACAAACAGTTAGAAATCCTAGCTAGTTCATCTGGATGTTTAAATGAGAGAACATAGAACTCGATCAGCAGAAATATCCTCAAAGAAATGACTGTCAAAAGGTGAATGAATATTTTAAAATAAAATTTGTGAAGTATGTATGTGGCATACTGTTTATAAAAATGACCACAAAATTCCTTCCAAACCTATATGCAGGCCCCTACACAACGTGACTTAGCTGTGCCTCCCTATCAAGAGGTGAAGTCTGTTTCTCTCCCACCCTGAATCTGAATTTGGCCAGGTGATTTTCCTTGGCCAATGGAACATCAGCAAACATAACACTGTGAGAACTTTGAAAAGTCCATGTGCTTTGGGGCTTGCTCTCTCTTGCTGTTGGGAACCCATCTCCACTAGGTGAACACACTCCAGCTAGCTGCCTTGAGGATGAGCGACGACACGAAGAGAAACTTGGTCATTCCAGGTGCGCCTCTAGACAAATGAACAAGGCATCCTAGACTATCCAGCCCAGCTGACTTGGCTCAAACCAGAGACACCACCTAGCCATCAGCCAGAATTGAGACATGATAAATATTTGTTTAAGACACTAAGTTTTAGGTAGTTTTTATTAAGCATTAAAAGCTAACTGATAAAGTGTATATCATTTTTAAATGATTCCTCACTTTAATTTTCTCAATTACGAGACCAATGACCAGACCAGATTATGTTGGACACAAGTGTTTCTACTGCACTATTATTATCCCCAATTTTCAAACAGAAGAAACAAAAAAGCCAAAAACCACAAACACATTAACTAGTATTTCCACATTCACACAGTAAGTAATGGAGCCAAGATCTGAATCTAAATCTCAATCAGTCTAACTCTGGAGTGTAGGCTTCCTGTTAAGACCTCTGGGACACCAGCCTCACCTCCCTGAATAAAATGACACATGGCATAGGCTGGGAACCATGCATTGGGTCCTTTAAAAATGCCTAGACTAGGTGTGGAAGGAAGATTGGTTTTCTTACATATATCCTTTTAAACTTTTTGATTTTTGAATCACATGGATTTATTCATTTAAATATTAAAATGAAAAAAACGCATTCAGAAATAGCATCATTTAAGTAAATGTGTACCTCCCAAAGGGACAACTTTGAGACATTACTGATTCAGGGGATAGGATTATGGAGGGGTGTGCTGCTTTCTAAATTATGCATTTTTGTAATGACTGGATTTTAAAATGTTAGAAAAACACATAGTATATACATGAAGGGGAGTTATATGGGGACAGGTGGGTGGAAAGGCTCCACCTGTGCTGAGTGACCTGCCATCCAAAGCTCCCTTCAGGGTCATCTCCAGGAAGCTGACCAAGCCACCATAGTAAGAAGTCAGCGATTTCTCCTGTCTACCAGAGGGCCTAGATGCAGTTACTGGCCCTGTAAGACTGTGCCTTGACTCTGGATCCCTTTTCCCCTGGTCCTGACCCTGAACAGGTCAGAAGCTCAGGCCAGAGGGTGGAGATCTGGAGGAGGTGACTTGAGGCCCCTTCCCTCTTAGGCTTCTCTGACAAAGGCTTTAACTTTCAAGGCCATTTGGAGTTTGGGTTATTACTTGGGATTGGACTCTTAATTCTGAAGTGAGGCTTTTTGATGACTAAAAGTGAACTTCTAAAAGTTATCTAACAGTGACTGGAAAAGCTACAGGACCTAAGTGAGATTTCATTCAGGGGCAGAGAAAGGCCTACATCACAGACCAGGTTTAAAGAATCAATGCAGCGAAATTAAACTGTTTTCTGTTGTATGCTATTGTGTCCCACTCAGTCAACCTACTCTCTGTACAGATAAGAACAAGTTCTGTAGCAGTAACTGGTTAGCTAGGGCTCCCTCCACAGATAGTGATAGGATTTGGCTGGGATCGTAAACCAGGTCTTCAGGTTCTCAAGCTTCTGGCAGTAAGCAACAGAAGGCCTAGAACATGCAACTGGACACTGGCTACCCTCTTCAAAAGCCATTTGTTAGGGCACACAGTTTCCACTTTGGAGTCAAGTACGCTTGGTTTTCTCCCCACTCTCCATGCCGTTGTCAATTGTTGCCATGCCTCTACAAAGGTGGGGCTACAGTAACAAAACTCTGAAGTCAGACCTCATTCTGAATCCTGCCTCATGAAACCACATGCAAAGATATCTTTGAGCTTCAGTTTCCTCATGAAGATGATAACAGTGGCCAATTCAAAGGGTTAAATGACATAACGCATGTCAAGCACATTGTAAGGATTCAATAAATGTCAATTATTATAACAACACTAATTTTTGCCTGAAAATCCCAGAAGGATCTGTGAGAATGGAAAATACCACATCTCCAATATTCATAGAAGTCTGTACTCTTAAGTGGCTGCCCAGGGGATGGCACAGTGGGCAACACAGGGCTGGGGGGCCTGCACTGCTATCATACCAAGCCTGGAAGAACAATCTGGACAACCAGCTCACCATGAAGAAGTGAGGGTGATCAAGCTGACTCAGGAGCCCAATGTTGTCTGTGGTCACTGAGTTAATCCTGGAGCACCAGGCCAGTGAGAAAAGCCAAGGCTCATTGACGGTGTATACGTTGATATGGATGTTAGCTGCTTTATAATCTCTGGAACAAAAACAGAACCCACAGGGGATTTAGATCAAGTTTCATTCTCATCATCTAAAAGGAGAACAGCCACCATGTTTGTGAAAGGCTGTTGCCTAAATCACCAGAAGCAGCTGATCCAGGGACAATTCATGATACGATGTGACAGAATGGGCTCATAGTACAATAAGATAAAGGATTGGATTTAGCACCTCTGCTCCTGTAGCAACAGTGGTGTGCTGGTAAACCAAATGTCCTAAGGAGAATAATAAAAAGGAAGAAAGAAAACATATTGAAAAAAAAAAAAAAAAAAAGAATGGGGAAAAGGAAAAAGGAAAACCCTATTGTAGCATATGCAAATTTCCATGGTAAAAACACTCCTACCATAGCCAACTGTAAGCTACCATTGGTAGAACCAATTTGCAGAGTTTCTGAATATTTAATAACAAGCTGGTATGAGCTGGCTCTGGCATGCTACTATGTAGCAGCACCTATATACTCGCTTCTATCAGAGCACTTATCACCCCGTACTCGAATGATCTGCTCATTTATCAGTTCTTTACTTGACTCTAAGCAAACTAAAAGCAGAGACTATGTCTTATTTGTCTCTGGATACTCAATACCTAGCATAATGCCAGGCTCCACAAATATTAATTGAAAAAATAAATAAATGAGTACCAATCTGGTGAACTTATTAAATTTCAAATATAAGGAATTTTTGCAAGTAATGAAAATAGGGGGAAAACCTAATTTGTCCCATGGCACTAAATGTCAGTGGATACTTGTGAACTGTTTATAGAGACAGGGAGAAAATAAGTGGAGGAACACCTAGTAATTCCAGCTAAGTTGTCATTTTCAGGGATTCAATTTCTCAGAAAACATACCATGTAAATGCCTTCAAAAAATTTTTTCAACTCTCAAATGGTATGGCATATTGGAAACTGCTCTGTACAAGCCTGGGTTTGAATCCCAGTTCTGTCATATACGAGCTTAGTAAATTCTTGGCCTCAGTATAGAAACTGTAAAATAATAATAATGCCTCCTTAACAGAGGTGCTAGCAATTAGTTATCCAATATGTTAGAATTGTCTCTGAACCAATCCCTGCAGATAAAGATAAATTTTAAAAATAAAATTAGGAAAAAATAGTAAAAAGTTACTTATTTTTACCTTTTGAAACCAAAACTCAAAAACCAATCACATTCCTTGTTTGTTTAAATTTTAAATTCAGGAGATACATGTGCAGGTTTAATACATGGATATATTGCATGATACTGAGGTTTGAATCTGCTACCCAAATAGTGAACATAGTACCCCACAGGTAGTTTTCCAACCCTTTCCCCTGTCTCTCCCTCCTCCATTTTGGACTCCCCATTGTCTATCATTTCCAACTTTATGTCCATGTGTACCCAATGTTTAGCTCCCACTTATAAGTGAGAACATGTGGTATTTGATCTTCTGTCTCTGCACTAATTCACTTAGAATAATGGCCTCCAGCTTCATCTATGTGCTGCAAAGGACATGATTTCATTCTTTCTTATGGCTGCATAGTATTCCATGGTGTATATGTGTCACATTTTCTTTATCCAGTCCACCACTGATGGGCAGTTAGGTTGATTCCATGTCTCTGCTATTGTGAATAGTGCTGCAATAAACATACAAGTGCAGGTATCTTTTTAGTAGAACAATTTATTTTCCTTTGGGTAGATGCCCAGTAATGGGATTGCTGGGTCAAATGGTAGTTACATTTTTAGTTCTTTGAGAAATCTCTAAACTGCTTTCCCCAGGGGCTGAACTAATTTACATTCCCACCAACAGTGTCTAAGCATTTCCTTCTCTCTGCAACCTTGTCAATATCTGTTTTTTTTTTTTTTTTTTTTTTTTTTTTGACTTTTTAGTAATAGCCATTCTGACTGGTGTGAGATGGTATCTCATCAGGGTTTTGATTTGTATCTCTCTGATGATTAGTGATGCTGAGGATGTTTTCATATGTTTGTTAGTTGCTTGTATGTCTTCTTTTGAGAAGTGTCTGTTCATATCCTTTACCCACTTTCTTAAACAAGTGGAGTGACATATGTGTTCATGGATTGGAAATTCAATGTAGTAAAGATGTCAGTTCTCCCTCAAATAGATCTGTAAGTTTGATGCAGCAAGGTTTTTTTGTACAATTAGCAAGTGGATTATAAGATTCATATGGAAAAGCACAGCCCTACAATAATTAAAACAATCTGAAAAAAAAATAGTGTGAGAGGGAATCACTCTATCTGATGTTAAGACTTATTATATAGCTACAGTAAGCAAGCTAGTGTGGTATTAGAGGAGATATGGACACATAAATCAGTGGAACAGAACCGAAAACCATACAATAGATCCATACAAATGTGACAAATGATTTTTGACAAAGATGCAAAAGCAATTCAATGGAAGAAAGTCTTTTCAAAAAATAATGCAGGAGTAACTAGACAGCTACAGTTTCTGGAGAAATCAGTAAAAAATAATCCAAAGATGTAAAAATTCAGCCGGAGCCAGACATGGCAGCTCATGCCTATAATCCCAATGCTTTCGGAGGCCAAGGCAGGAGGATGGCTTGAGGCCAGGAGTTTGAGACCAGCCTGGCAACACAGTGAGACCCTGTCTGTACAAAAAAATTTTAAAAAATAGCCAGGTGTGGTGGCACATGCCTATAGTCCTAACTACTGTGGAGGCTGAGGCAGAAAGATGGCTTGAGCCTAGTAGTTTGAGACTACAGTGAACAATGATCACATCACTGCACCCCAGGCTGGGGGACAGAGCGAGACTTTGTCTCTATTAAAAACAAAAAAAAAACAAAAAAAAAAACAAATTGAAGAGATAGAATGAGATACTAAAAAATGATTAACTAAAAAATAAAAAGAGAGGGAAGGAGTGATCAAAAAACCCCACAAGGAATAGAAAGGACAAATAGAAAAAAAATAGCATGATGGTAATGTAAACCTAACTAGATTAATATGTGAACTAAATTTTTTTTTCAGGTTCACTATTGTTAACCTTTTTTCCTCCCTTTTTTTCTTGTTATTAAAGTTCTAGGGTACATGTGCACAACGTGCAGGTTTGTTACATATGTATACATGTGCCATGTTGGTTTTCTGCACCCATCAACTCATCATTTACATTAGGTATATCTCCTAATGCTATCCCTGCCCCGTCTCCCCACCCCACAACAGGCCCTGGTGTGTGATGTTCCCCATCCTGTGTCCAAGTGTTCTCATTGGTGAACTAAATATTACTGGACCTAACATTCCAATTAAAAGTCCGAGATTATCCTACTAGATATAAAAGAACAGACAAAATTTTGTTTATAAGAGATGCACTTTAAAGATGCCAAGTGGTTGAAAGCCAAAAGATAGAAAAAGACTTATTAAGCAAACACAAATTATAAGGCGGCCAGTGTGGCAATATTAATACAAGAAAAAGTAAACTTTAGATAAGATTAATTACCTTAAACAAGGGACATTTCATAATGAAGGGGCCAATTCACCAAGATCTAATAATCCTAAGTGAAAATGCACCCAATAAAAGAGTTTCAAAATACAAGAAGGAAACACACACACACACACACACACAAATCAACAATCGCAATTACAGTTGGATATATTAACAGTTGGGTATATATTGGTAACTGACAGATAGCAGTATAAGGAACCATTCATTTTTCTTTGATTGGGGAAGTTGCTGCCAGAAGAAAGAAGGAATAAGTCTTGATCTTGAGAAGTCTGAGAAGTCTCCTTCTCAACAGGATAACCTGATCTTTTGTAAAAAGAATAATAATATTTACCAGGAAGAGTAGCCTTATATGTAATGTTCTTAAAAGGATGTTCCTGTTTAAGTCTTTCTTTATTACATATTTTGTAAATAAACATGGAACAGATTTATGAGGCATGGGTCCCTGGAGCATGACACATAAACTAGATAACTCTCTGGGACTATCAAATAGAGATGTTTCATGACTCAACTGCTCCCCTTATGTGTGAGTTAACCCTGCAGAAACTCACTTGGAGGCCTCATCTATTACTCTGGGCCACAGAGTACATGTCCAATAAATAAAGATACCTGCACAGCCACAATCAATGTCTCTCCTTGCTTTGTTTGAGCCTCTTGATTGCCTGCTGTATCCTTGAAATTAATGATAAATCTCGGCAGTATGTAGGTTATCTGATATGTGAATGTTTGATCTGCAATCTAATCCTTTGTATTAGCTCAACAGAAAAAGGAAGAAAAAATGAATATAAAATTTTCAAAAAGCCTATCAACCAACTTGAACTAATTGATATTTATAGAATACTACACCCAACAACTGAAGAGGGCACATAATCTTCAGGGGGACATGAGAAGCTCACCAAGATAAACCATATAGTGAGCCATAAAATAAGTTTAGAATTTAAGCCATAGAATTTAAAAGGGTTGAAAGTACACAGGTTTGTTCTCTGATCACAATAAGCTTAAATTAGAAATCAATAACTGAAGTAGCTAGAAAATCCTCAAATGTTTAAAAAGTTAGCAATACACTTCCAAATAATCCATGAGTCTAATGAGAAATGAGAAAACTTTAAATATTTTAAGTTGGATAACAAAGAAACAATATATCAACATAATTTGTGGGAGAAAATTAAAGCAATGCTTACAGTAAATTTAGAGCTTTAAGGCTGGGCGCAATGGCTCATGCCAGAGGTTGCAGTGAGCCGAGATCACGCCACTGCACTACAAACTGAGTGACAGAGTGAGACCCTATCTCAAAAAATAAAAAACAAATAAGTTTATAGCTTTAAATGTTTACATTAGAAAGAAGATCTAAAACAGGTCACCTAATTTTCTACCCTAAAAAAGCCATCTATTAGCAAGAACAGCAAATTAAAACTGAAGTCAGTGTGAAAATTATAAAGAGCAGAAATCAATGAAATAGGAAAGTAAAGGTGCAATAGGAAAAAGATAACAAAGCCAAAATTCAGTGTTTTGAAATGATTAAAATTCATAAACCCCTAGCAAGACTGATCAAGAAAAACAGAAAAAATAAAAACTTCCAGTATCAAAATGCATTAGAACTAAAGGTGGCAATTGCACAACGATGTAAATGTACTAAGTGTCACTGAATTGTTCACTTTAAAATTTTATGTTAGGCTGGGCGTGGTGGCTCATGCCTGTAATCCCAGCACTTTGGGAGGCCGAGGTGGGTGGATCACCTGAGGTCAGGAGTTTGAGACCAGCCTGGCCAACATGATGAAACCCCGTCTCTACTAACAATACAAAAATTAGCTAGGTGTGGTGGTGTGAGCCTGTAATCCCAGCTACTTGGGAGGCTGAGGCAGGAGAATCACTTGAACCTGGGAGGCAGAGGTTGCAGTGAACCGAGATCACACCATTGCACTCCAGCCTGGGCAACAAGAGCGAAACTCCGTCTCAAAAAAAAAAAAAAAAAATTATGTTATGTGAATTTCACCTCAATACAATTTTTTATTTAACATTTTTTTAAAACATTAAAAATAGACCAATAACAAGGAGTAATAAAAAGTAATACAAAGTCTACCGACAAAGAAAAGCCCAGGACATAGTGGCTTCACTGCTGAATTCCACCAAACACTTAAAGAAGAACTAATATCAATCCTTCTCAAACTCTTTCAAAAAAAATAAAGTGGAGGGAATAATTCCAAACTCATTTTACTAGGCCAGCATTACCTTGATACCAAAGCAAGATACGGACACTACAAGAAAAGAAAATTACAGGCCAATATCACCAATGAAATCCTGAGACATAAAAATCCCAACACAATACTAACAAACTGAATTCAACAGCACCATAAAAGAATCATTCACCATAATCAAGTGGGATTCCTCCGTGATACAAGGAGGGTTCATCATATGCAAATCAATAAATGTGACACACTGCATTAACAGAATGAAACACAAAAACCATATGATCATCTCAATAGATATAGAAAAAGCGTTTAACAAAATTCAACACCCTTTCATGATAAAAACTCTCAACAGATTATGTATAGAAGGAATATACCAAAATACAATAAAGGCCATTCAGGACATGGCCACAACTAAAATCATACTCAATGGTGAACAGTCGAAAGCTTTTCCTCTAAGATCAGGAACAAGACAAAGATGCCAAATCTCACCACTTCTTTTTGACATAGTACTGTCTTAGCCAGAGCAATTAGGCAAGAGAAAGAAAGAAAAGGCATCCAAATAAGAAAGAAGTCAGATTGTCTCTGCAGATGACATGACCTTTTATATAGAAAATCCTAAAGAATCCACAAAAATACTAAAACTAATACATTCAGTTTATCGGTTGCAAAGTTGCAGGATACAAAATCAACATACAAAAACCAGTAGCATTTCTTTCTATGTACTAACAACTACCTAACTGATGAAAGTAAGAAAATAATCCCATTTACAATAGCAACAAAAATAGAATTCTTAGGAATAAAACTTTACCAAGGAGGTGAAAGATCTGTACACTAAAAACTATGAAACACTGATGAAAGGGGCCGGGTGCGGTGGCTCACACCTTATAATCCCAGCACTTTGGGGGGCTGAGGCGGGTGGATCACCTGAGGTCAGGAGTTTGAGACCAGCCTGGCTAACATGGGGAAACCTGGTCTCTACTAAAAATATAAAAAATTAGCAGGGTGCAGTGGTATGTGCCTGTAATCCCAGCTACTTGGGAGGTTGAAGCAGGAGAATCACTTGAACCCAGGAGGCAGAGGTTGCAATGGGCAGAGATTGTGCCACTGCACTCCAGCCTAGATGACGGAGCAAGACTGCCTCAGAAAAAAAAAAAAAATTGGTGAAAGAATTTAAAAAAAACACAAATAAATGAAAAGTTATGTGTTTATGGATTGAAAGACTTAATATTGTTACAATGTCAAAATTACCCAAAGCAATCTACAGATTCAACATAATCCCTCTCAAACTTCCAATGTAATTTTTCACAGAAATAAAAAAAAAATCCTTAAATTTGTATGACCACTAATGATTTCTAAAAGCCAAGACAATCTTGTGCAAAAAGAACAAGGCTGGACACATCACATTCCCTAATTTCAAAATACATTATAAAGATGTGATAATCAAAACAGCATGGTAATGGCATAAAAACAGACACATACCAGTGGAACAGAATAGAGAGCCCAGATGTAAATTCAAATCGTTATAGTTAATTGAATTTCAACAAAGATGCCAAGAACATACAATGAGGAAAGGATAATCTCTTCAATAAATGGTGTTGAGAAATTGGATAGCCACATGCAGAAGAATGAAATTAGGCCCTTATCTCATACCACATACAAAAATCAAATCAAAATGGATTAAAGACTTAAATGTAAGACCTGAAACTAAAACTACTAGAAGAAAATGGGAAAAGCTCCACAACATTGGTCTCTGGGCAATGATTTTTTGGATATGACCCCAAAAGCACAGGTAACAAAAGCAAAAATAGACCAACGGAACTACATCAAACCAAAAAGTGTCTGCACAGCAAAGGAAACAATCAACAGAGTGAAGAGAAAACCTATGAAATGGGAGAAAATATTTAATAGCAAAAAAACAAATAACCCAATGAAAAAATGGGCTAAGGACCTGAAGAGATATTTCTCAAAAGAAGACACAAATAGCCAACAAGCATATGAAGAAAACACTCAATATCACTAATCATCAGGGAAATACAAATTAAAACCACAAGGAGATATCTCACACCTCTCAAAATTTTGGCTATTACAAAAAAGATGAGAGATAGTAAGTACTGGCAAGGATGTGGAGAAAAGGGAACTCTTACACACTGTTGGTGGGAATGTAAATTAGTACAGCCATTATGGAAAACAAAGTGGAGGTTCCTCAAAAAACTAAAAATAGAACTAACATACATATGATCCAGAAATCCCACTACTGAGTATATATCCAAAGGAAGTGAAATCAATATGTCAAAGAGATATCTGTACTCCCATGTTCATTGCAACACTATTCACAGTAGCCAAGATATGGAATCAACCTAAGTGTCCATCAAACAGATGAATGGGTAAAGAAAATGTAATATATACATACAAAGGAATACTATTCAGCCTTTAAAAAGAAGGAAATTCTGTCACTTGTGAAAACATGGTTGAGCATGGGCGACATTATGGTAAGTGAAATAAGCCACGCAAAGAAAGACAAATACCACATGGTCTCCCTTACGTGTGGACTCTAAAAAAGTCAAACTTACAGTGGGGTACGGTGGCTCACACCTATAATTCCAGCACTTTGGGAGGTGGAGGTGAGGAAACTGCTTGAGCAAGACCACGTCTCTATGCAGAATTTAAAAATTAGCCAAGTGTGTTGGCATGTGCCTGTAGTCCCAGCTACTTGAGAAGCTGAGGTAAGAGGACAGCTTGAGCCCAGGAAGTAGAGGCTGCAGTGAGCCAAGATCACGCCACTGCCTTTCAGCCTGGGTGACAAAACAAGACCCTGTCTTTAAAAAAAAAAAAAAAAAAAAAAAAGGCCTGGCACAGTGGCTCACACCTGTAATCCCAACACTTTGGGATGCCGAGGCGGGTGGATCACGAGGTCAAGAGATCGAGACCATCCTGGCCAACATGGTGAAACCCCATCTCTACTAAAAATACAGAAAATTAGCTGGGCATGGTGGCGTGCACCTGTAGTCTCAGCCTGAGGCAGGAGAACTGCTTGAATCCAAGAGGCGGAGGTTGCAGCGAGCCAAGATTGGGCCTTTGCACTCCAGCCTGGTGACAGAGCGAGACTCTGTCTCAAAAAAAAAATAAATAAATAAGTCTAACTTATAGAAAAAGAGAGTAGAATGTTGGTTACCAAAGGCTAATGTTGGTTACTGAAAAGTAGAATGTTGGTTACCAAAGGGTTGAGGGAGAGAGGAAATGTTGGGTCAAAAGGTATAAAGTTTCAGTTAGATAGAGGGAAATGTTTTGAGATCTATTGCACAGCAGGGTAACTACAGTCAATAATAATGTATATTTCAAAATAGCTGAGAGTAAATTCAAATATCTTAACATGAAAAAGATATGATATATGTTAATTAGCTTGATTTAATCATTCCATATTGTGTAAATATATTAAAACATCACATTGTACCCTATAAATATATACAGTTATGATGTCGATTAAAAATAATATAAATTTTTAAAATGTCTTTAAAACATTAAAAAACTTTGTAGTATCACAAATAAAACAGAGGGCAATTCTATACTCATATACTTTTGATTAAAACAATGCATTTAAAGCATTCTCAGTTAAAACAGCAAGAATAATCTCATTAAACCTTTTAACCACTCCAGCAGGTACCACTGTTATTCTAATTTACAAAGGAGAAAACTGACAATTAGAAACTTTTCCAAAGAGACCAAAGTAGCTGATGGCTAGGCCAGGTCTAGCAAACATATAACTTGACACATAATAATAGCTCAATAAATGGAAGTCATAATTATTTTTCAACTACTAGATCAATCTCAGGATTAAGAGAGAAGGAAATCATTCTAGAGCCATTTTCTATTTGAAAAAAAAAGTAGAAGAAAATAGAAATATGCTCAAAATAGAAGAGTAGTTGAGTAAAGAAAAATCTTCTGAATGGGAATTAGAGAGTAAAACATATATAATTTTCCAACGCTAAAAGAAAAAAAGACACTATTATATGATCAATCCATAGCCAGAAAGGCAGAAAAAGCAGGAACAGAAACAGATGCATGCAACAGCCTTTTACTAAACCCAAAGGAGACTTTGGATATCTATTATCTATAATCTATTATAGATAGGTAGATAATAGATATCTATATATTATGTATCTCTAACCTGTTATCTCCCTCCCTCTGTCCCTCCCCAAGGAAGACTTTGTCTCTAAAGCATTTAGAATCATATAAAAAATTAACCTTAAATCTAAGACAAAGGGGATATGGATTAAATTAAGCATGTTTAATAATAGTTAAGTTTGGAAAAGTTATTTTATTCCCAGGTGCTTTTAATTCTGAAAATTTGTCTCTAATTGTATATTTATAAATACAGTGGTTAATAATTTTAGTTTCTTCTCATGCTCAGCTATTTTTACATTTTTTAAATAATAGTTTTGTTATATTCTTAATTATCCGTTCCAGAAATATGGCTATCTGGATCACAAAGCCATTTACAAGGTACTGCCATCCATCTGGTAATGGTAGGAGGAAATAAACGTTTTGAGTTCTGACTTTTCAACGTCCACCTTTTATATAAGAACAGAAATGCCAAGCATACAAAAAAGTGTACTGAATGGTGAAAGATTAGAGTACACAGCAGAGGCTAAAGTCTATGTTCCAGGGACACAGTCAACACTTGATAAATGTTTGTTGGCACAGGGAGGGAGGGAGGGAGGGAGGGAGGAAGGGGTAGGAAAAAGAAAGGAGATTCAAAGGAGATAACCACACACAGAAATTCCGAGATGGAAAGGGGAAGTTAAGAAGTTTAATTAGAATGTGTATTTTGTGTAAGTAAGGCAATATGTGCCAAGAGAGGTGTGGTCAAACACTTACCTTAACCCATTAGGGAACAACTTCTTGTAGTCAACATTTATTATACTGATATTGTTTTTAGCAAGGGTTTCAATGGATACTAAACGGCCCACATGCTGAAAACCAGGAGCCACGGACCTGACGTATTGCCTATCATGAGCTGGCAACCAAAAAATCTCTAAGGAGAAACAAGAAGTCCCTCAGTAGATAATCAGCTATCCAGGTACGAACAGCCCCATAGAGAATGGAGGGAGCTCCATTCCAGCACAGGTAGTATTCTACAGAGAGTAGAGAGAGAGAGTCTAGTCCTTGGTGAAAGAGTCAACATGGGCTAGTATTTTCTTTGTTTTGTTTTGTTTTTGAGATGGAGTCTCGCTCTGTCGCCCAGGCTGGAGTGCAGTGGCACAATCTTGGCTCACTGTAAGCTCCGCCACCCGGGTTCATACCATTCTCCTGCCTCAGCCTCCCAAGTAGCTGGGACTACAGGCGCCCGCTACCACACCCGGCTAATTTTTTGTATTTTTATTGTATTTTGTATTTTTAGTAGAGATGGTGTTCCACCGTATTAGCCAGGATGGTCTCGATCTCCTGACCTCATGATCCGCCCGCCTCGGCCTCCCAAGTGCTGGGATTACAGGCGTGAGCCACCGCGCCCAGCCCTGGGCTAGTATCTTCTAATGAACTCTTATAATGGGGCTTTCACTAGGGCTACTCTGGAGCTGAGTTTTCTCATGACCTCTCCATTTACCAGTTAACATCAAGTGTCAAGGGCCTACTGTGTACACAAAGACTCATACAAGCAAAGTAGATTAGTTGATAGATATGGGTGAATAGTGAGAATCAAAAACATCTTTCTGGTTAATGATGTTAAAAATCATCTTTGAGGCTGGGTGTGGTGGCTCATGCCTGTATTCTTAGCACTTTGGAAGGCCGAGGCAAGAGGATCCCTTGAGCCCAAGAGTTTGAGACAGGCCTGGGCAACATAGGGAGGCCCTGCTTCTATTTTATTTAAAAAAAATCATCTTTGAGAGGAGTCATTTCCTGCCAACAGAGATGCTATTATGACTCATCTATGAAATACTTCCATTTGTAAAAAGACTTATAATTGTTTCACTCACAGCACTCCCATATTCTGAGAATTTATGGGATTTGGAACAACTGACTGCCCAAATGCAGAGTTGCTTCTGAAAAACATTACGAGCAAATCTCTGCTCAAATAAGAACCAGCTCTCCTTTCTATATCATTCATCATGCCAAGTCTTCAAAGCCTTAATGTTACCCAGGCTCTTTCTAATGGATCTATGTTGGTGTGGTGCAGGTCACATTAGATAGTTATTACACATATTCCTCTTTAACAGGGTGCTGACATTTCATTTGGTTTGGAATAGCAAACAGCCTCAATGATTTTCCCCACTGAGATAAATTTAACTGGGTCATTCCTAGATTACCACATGTAGCTGTATAAGTAACAATCTTCATTTCCATAGGAAGTAAAATTACTTAAGGATCCCAGGGTAGATGTACAAGGTAGGTCAAGTTCAACTACTGTGCTCCTAGGACATGCTACCCACCTCCCAACCTATGTCATAAATACTGAGATAGACTTACCAGATGTTGCTCGATTTTAGAGGCAAGGATCACGCTTACTACTTGGCGGACAAATGTGTGTCTGAGAGGATGTTTTGGTGGAGGGCGATGAAGATCAAATATCACAAATTTTCTTTCCTTCTCTGCAAGTGTCAATAAATCAGCTAGTGTTGGAATTGACTGATTTCTTGCTCTTTCTTTATCTGCCTCTGATAGAGGTTTCATATTGTAAAATGGCCTGAGCTAGAAACAAATACATCAAAAAATACATAAAAGCACTTTCCAGTTCTCCTACTATGTAGCCACACATCCAGCTCTACCTCAGTTGCTCCATTATCATTCAATCCATCAGGCCCTCTGAAGTACTAATCCTAGAAAACAGGTGACAAGGAGAGAAATAAAATGTAATCATCATCAATAATTACAGTGTTTGGAATGGTCTCTTCTATATCCTACAACCTGTTGTATTTGCACTGAAGGTCATGTTCTTATCCTGACCTTCCTTTCCAGCCTTCTCTCCCATAAGTCAAGATAATACATCCCTTTTCAGTCACGCTGGCTTCCTACATGGGCTCCCGCTATTCTAGTTTTGTGTAATAGGAAGAACACATGCTTTGGCTTCAACTGAATTTAATACCAGCTCTACCCCTCCCTTGACTTCCTTGCCATATCCACTTGTTAAAATCCTACCCTTCAAATGCTATTTCCCTCATGAAGCTTTCCTTTAATCTTCCTGAACTAAAGAGACTTCAAGGCTGGTGCTGTGATCATGCCTTTAATCCCAGCAGGCTGAGGCAAAAGTATCACTTGAGGCCAGGAGTTCGAGGCCAGCCTGGGCAACATAGTGAGACCCTTGTCTCTACAAAAAAATTTTAAAATAGCTGGGTGTGGAGATACATGCCTGTAGTCCTAACTACTAAGGAGGCTAAGGCAGAAGGATTACTTGAGCCCAGGAGTTTGAGGCTGCAAGTGAGCTATGATTGTGCCATTGCACTACAGCCTGGGCAATAGAGTGAGGCCCTGGGCAATAGAGTGAGGCCCTATCTCTAAAAAAATCAATAAATAAAGAGACTTCAATGGCTTTGAAGCCCAATGGCCCATTTTTATGCCTCTGTATGTCTCATTCATATATAGCTAATGTATGTAAAAATAGCTAAGCATGAGAAGAAACTAAAATTATTAACGACTATATTTATAAATATACAATTAGAGACAAATTTTCAGAATTAGAATTTGGACATGTCTTAGTACATTAAAGTTCAATCCTGGCTCACTATGCTTCTTGCTATGCAACCTTGGTAATAAAACCATTTAAATTCTCCAAGTCATCATTGCCCAAATTATAAAATAGAGGAGAGGAAGAATAACCTATATATTTCTTAGGATTATTTTGAAGATTAAATATGATAAAAATATTTACAGGGTCTGGGAGTATGTCTGGTACATAGATAGAAAAGTATACAATTCACATTAGTTCCTTCACTCTCTGCTGACTCTACTGGAGTGTAACTCCCTCTTGGTGGGAACTGTCATACATTCTTTGAAACGCACAGCATTTCACCTAACACATGGGAGAACACACATATGTTTGCTACATTAAATTTAATAGATGGCAACTTTGATAATCACTTGCCATTTTTTAGATCATTTGAGTGAAGGCAGTGATAAAAGGCTACCTCCCAGGAGAAGGAAGTAGCAGAAGGAAGAAGTCACATTTTCTTAAGACTCAAGTAATCTCTCTTTTTCTCTACACAACTTTATCTTCATTCTCTTTCATACCTCTCCTATTTCTTCTTCTTCTTCCTTTGACCTAAATAAGCTGCCTTTTTAAACATTTTTCTCAGGAAAGAAACAATCACATTGCACAGTATCTCCGGAAAATTGCTAGGCCAGAAGGCAGATCATTGCTAGGCCAGAAGGCAGATCTAAACCATGGTTTAGATCTGATTGAAAGCTACAACTAATGGTTTTCTTAATTCTCAGGACAATAGAAATATGCTTCAGAATTCAAGATTTTGTTAGCTACTACCAGACCTAAACCAACTGGTTCACTTAACTATTAAACCTTCTTGTGAGAAAAATTGTTAAAAGAATTTATGGGAAAGACCAACACAAGACCAAAAATTCAAAATAGCAAAGATGGTAAATATTTAATCAATATAAGAGTTTAAAACTAGACTCCAGTAAACTTTAAATAGTATTATGGGGGTAGGCCTAACAGCTGAAGTACATTGTGCCTCTTTAGACTTAATCAGAAAAATAAACTGGAATGGATAAATGCCTGTTTAGACTATATTCAACATGTGATTGAATGTTTTCAAAAAGCCACAGGAAGTAACAAGCTAGAAATGAAAATAAATTTCTGGTCCTCCAGATGAAACATCTGGTTCCTCAAATAAAAATAAGATTAAAAGGTCCTCTGTTCTCTGTGCCTCTGTGTAGACATATTACAAAAAGAAAGGTTATTGGAAGAACCAATGTATAATATTGGTTAAGAAATAGAAAGACAAGTCCGGGCATGGTGGCTCACGCCTGTAATCCCAGCACTTTGGAAGGCCGAGACGGGCGAATCACCTGAGGTCAGGAGTTCGAGACCAGCCTGACCAACATGGAGAAACCCTGTCTCTACTAAAAATACAAAATTTAGCCGGCTGTGGTGGCACATGCCTGTAATCCCAGCTACTTGGGAGGCTGAGGCAGGAGAATCGCTTGAACCGGGAGGCAGAGGTTGCGGTGAGCCAAGATCGCACCATTGTACTCCAGCCTGGACAACAAGAGTGAAACTCCGTCTCAAAAAAAAAAAAAAAAAAAAGAAAAGAAAGAAAGAAATAGAAGGACAATTAAACCTGTCCAATGATGCCACATCAAGGAAACATTCCACTGAATAGACGATTCTGATAAGAACTAACTGTAACTACATGTGAACAACAATACAATTTTCTTTTCTTTTTTTTTTTTTTTGAGACGGAGTCCTGTTCTGTCGCCCAGGCTGGAGTGCAGTGGTGCAATCTCAGCTCACTTCAACCTCCGCCTCCCAGGTTCAAGTGATTCTCCTGTCTCAGCCTCCCAAGTAGCTGGGATTACAGGCATGCACGATGACGCCCAGCTCATTGTTGTATTTTTACTAGAGACAGGGTTTCACCACGTTGGCCAGGCTGATCTCGAACTCCTGACCTTGTGATCCACCTGTCTCGGCCTCCCAAGTGCTGGGATTGCAGGCGTGAGCCACCATGCCCGGCCAACAATACAATTTTCTTGTTGATATGGGCACCACCACATCTACCATTAATTGCATTACTATAAAAAAATCAGATCACCAGAGTACTACAACCACTTAAGTAGTGGGAGTATCTAACAATCCTGTCTTTTTCCATGTCCCAATATAAAACTATTACTTTGAGACCATTGTCAGAAGAACATCTCTTTCTTCTCTATGGCACTTTCCCTGTACATTTATTTATTTATTTTTAATTTTTATTTTTCTTGAGTTTTGTTCTTGTTGCCCAGGCTGGAGTACAATGGCACAGTCTCAGCTCACTACAACCTCCACCTCCCAGGTTCAAGCAATTCTCCTGCCTCAGCCTCCCGAGTAGCTGGGATTACAGGCACCCACCAACATGCCCGGCTAATTTTTTTTTTTTTTTTTTTTAGTAGAGACGGTGTCACCATGTTAGCTAGGCTGGTCTCGAACTCATGACCTCTCCCCTATAAATTTAAATATTAGAGGCTGGGCAAGGTGGTTCACAGCTGTAATCCCAGCACTTTGGGAGGCCAAGGCTGGCAGATCACAAGGTCAAGAGATCGAGACCATCCTGGCCAACATGGTGAAACCCTGTCTCTACTAAAAATACAAAAAATTAGCTGGGCGTGGTGGTGTGTGCCTGTAGTCCCAGCTACTCGAGAGGCTGAGGCAGGAGAATCGCTTGAAGCCGGGAAGCAGAGGTTGCAGTGAGCCGAGATCACGCCACTGCACTCCAGCCTGGCAACAGACCGAGACTCCATCTCAAAAAAAAAAAAAAAAAAAATTAGCAAGCTACTTTGCAAAAAGAACCACAAGAAGAAATGTACTACAGACAAATTGTTTTTCGAAGCCTCAGAAGGTTCTATCGCACATTATCAAATTACAGCTCATATGAACGTTACTATATTGATTCAAAAAATAACCAAATAGACTTCTGGTTTCTGGTTCCACATGTAAGGAGCTTGGAAGCTGTCACTCCATCCTAACAACAAGTAAAAAGTTGAACAGAATGAAAAATCAACAACTCTTATTGGATCTGTAATAGAGGTGAGGACACAGGGCAAACTGCTGCCCAGAAAATTGGAGACACAGGTGAAAGGAGATGAATCATAGCTTACCAGAATGAGCCTAACAAATGGAAACCACTAAGGAAACCAGTGCTCGGGTAGGAAAACTTGAACCATCACTGACAAATTCCTGGAGGATTAGTGTGGACAAGTCTGAGAGTTAAAAACTCAAGGGGACACCTTGAGATACGTGATTATGTTGCTTATTTGAAATCTTTCTACGTTTTTTGATGTAGGCATTTATTGCTATAAACTTCACTCTTAACACTGCTTTTGCTATATCCCATAAGGTTTGGTATGTTGTGTTTCTATTTTCATTCATTTCAAAAATTTTTTAAATTTCCTTAAGTTCCTCATTAACCCACTGATCATTCAGAAGCACGTTGTTTAATTTCCATATATTTGTACAGTTTTTAAAAAGTATAACATCTTATTTGTAAAAAGCTTAAATTTGACATAAAATTTTATAAACACAGTATTATCTGATTTTTACATTTTCTCTTTTATTTGAGCCAATAAAATTTATTTTTTTAACTTTTATTTTAGATTCAGTGAGTACATGTGCCGGTTTGTTACCTGGGTATATTGCATGATGCTGAGATTTGAAGTATGAATGAACTCATCACTCAGGTACTAAGCTCAGTACCTAATAGTTAGTTTTTCAACCCTGGCCCCCTTCCTCCTTCAGTAGTCCCAATTTTCTATTGTTGCCATCTTTATGTTCATGTATATCTAATATTTAGCTCCCACTTATAAGTGAGAACATGCAGTATTTGGTTTTCTGAGCCTGTATTAATTCACTTAGGATAATGGCCTCCAGCTGCATCCATGTTGCTGCAAAAGACAGGATTTCACTCTTTTTTATAAGTGCATAGTATTTTGTGGTGTATATACTTGTACAGTTTTGAAAGTTCCTCTCATTGATATCTAGTGTTATTCCATTGTGGTCAGAAAAGATACTTAATATGATTTCAATTATTTTAAATTTGTTGAGATTTGTTTTGTGGCCTTACACATGGTCTGTCCTGGAGAATGTTCCATGTGCTGATGAAGAGAATGTGTATTCCATAGCTATTTTATGAAGTATTCTGTAATTGTCTGTTAGGTCCATTTGGTCCAAGTACAGTTTCAATCCAATGTTGATCTTTTGTCTAGATGATCTGTTCAATGCCCATAGTAGGATGTTAAAGTCACCAACATTTACTGTGTTGGAATCTTTCTCCCCCTTTAAATCTAATAATATTTGCTTTATATGTCTGGGTGCTTTAGTGTTGAGTGCATGTATATTTATAATTGTTACATCTTCTTGGTGAATTGATCACTTTATTATTTCATAATGACCTTCTTTGTCTTTCTATGGTTTTGGAACTAAACTCTGTTTTATCTGATGTAAATATAGCTATTCCTGCTTGCTTTTGGTTTCTGTTTGCATGGAATATCTATCCCTTCACTTTCTGTCTGTATGTGTCTTTACAGGCAAAGTGAGTTTTTTGTAGGCAGCATATAGTTGAGTCATTTCCTTTATTCATTCAGGCAGTCTGTATCATTCAAGTGACTAATTGGTTTACATTCAAGGTTATTATAATAGGGGATGACTTACTGTAGTCATTTTGTTAATTGTATTATGTTTGTTTTGTATATTCTTTGTTTCTTCTTGTTTTTCATTTCAGTCTGATGGTCTTCTGTAGTATAAAAGGTTTGATTTTTTTTTCTCTCTCTCCTTTGCCTATCTGCTCTATTGATGAGTTTTATGCTTTTCCATGTTTTCATAATGGTGATTATCACCTTTTTGCTTCCAGATGCAGGGATCCCTTGAATATTTCTTATAGGGCTAGTCTAGCGGTTTTGCATTCCCCAGTTTTTGCTTGTCTGGGAAAGACTTCCTCCCTCATTTCTGAAGAATAGATTTACTGAGTCAAATATTCTTGGCTGGCAATATTTCTTCTTTCAGTACTTTGAATACCTCATTCTACTCTCTCCTGGTCTGGATAGTTTCAGCTGTCAGTCTAATGAGAATTCCTTTATATGTGACTTGATGCTTTTCTCTTGCTCTTTTTAGAATTATTTGTCTTTGACTTTTGACAATTTGATAAAATATGCCTTGGTGAGGACCTTTTGGGATTGAATCTATTTGGGAACCTTTGAGCTTCTTAGATCTATATGTCCACCCCTCTCCCCAGATTTGGGAAGTTTTAAACTATTGTTTCATTAAATAGTGTTTCTATGGCTTTCCAACTCTTTCCCTCAGGAACATCTACAATATGAAAATTTGTTTGCTTAATAGTGTCCTTTATTGTAGGCTTTCTTTATTCTTTTTCATTCTCATTTCTTTTTTTCTCCTCTGGGTAATTTTCAAATGATACATCAAGCTCAGAGATTCTTCTGCTGAAACAAGTCTCTTGTTGAAGCTCTGTACTATATTGTTTTATTTTGGTACTTGAATTATTCAGCTGCAAGGGTGTCCATTTGGGTTTTTTTGTTTGTTTGTTTTTTTTTTGTTTTTTTTTTTTTTTTGAGACAGAGTCTTGCTTTGTAGCCCAGGCTGGAGTGCAGTAGTGTGATCTTGACTCACTGCAACCTCCCCCTCCCGGGTTCAAGCATTCTCCTGTCTCAGCCTTCCAAGTAGCTGGGACTACAGGCACATGCCACCACACCTGGCTAATTTCTGTGTTTTTTAGTAGAGACAGGGTTTCAGTATATTGGTCAGGCTGGTCTCCAACTCCTGACCTCAGGTGATCCAGCCGCCTCGGCCTCCCAAAGTGCTAGGATTACAGGCATGAGCCACCACATCCGGCTGGTTCTTTTTTACTGTATCTATGTTTTTGTTGAATTTATCATTGACATAATGAATTGTTTTCCTAATTTTGTTGAATTGTCTATTTTTTTGTATCTCATGGAGTTTCCTTAAGGTAATTATTTTGAATTCCTTTTCCAGTAATTCATTTATTTCCTTTTCGTTCAGGTCTTTTACTAGAGTTATTATGTTCCTTTGGTGGTGTCATATTTCCTTGCTTTTTCATTTCTTGTGCCCCTGTGCTAATGTCTATGCATCTGGTGGAATAATCACCTCTTCTAAACTTTCTAGAGTGGCTTTTCTAGAGAAAGATTTTCACCTGCAGTTGGGTCTTAGTGCACTAGTTGAGAAGGGTGTGGTGACTTTGTTCCTGGGTAGGTGCAGTGGTATAGTCTCTGTGCAGCTTCTTTGGCTGCATTCAGCGTCAGCAAAAACTGTGGGCATCTCAGTGGCTTAGGGGTGTGGAAATTTGTTGTCGCAACAGCAGAGGTGTATGTTGTTAATGTCCTTGGTCCACAAATGCTTTTGGTGTTCTCCAATTCTTGTTTTCCCTACAATGAGGAGACTTCACTGAGGGGATCCCTCTTGGTGTCAGGTCTGACACGGCCTACAATCAACTGCCATGGTGCTGGATTCCAGGTGCAAATGTTTACATTGGCAGAGTCCTAGGATCAGAGTCTCACAAACCTATTTGCCCTCTCTGTGAACCTTTCACTCTCTGTGGCAGAGTTGGACATAGGTTGCCCACACCATCAGACTCCAACCCCTTAGCAGCTTGAGTCCAGGAAGTTAGGCTGTAGCTGTGACTCCACTCTTGCTAGGCAGGGAACAGCCCTGGACTGACTCTAAGGAAGAAGGTATGTTCTGGAGGTTTGAGCCTAGGGCACAGGGTATGGCTATAATTTGGGAGCTTGAGCCAACAGGGCTCAGTGGCAGCTTGGGTGCCTTGGGATGAGGCACCATGTAGTGGCAACACTAGACTCTAAGATGGTAGGATTCAGCAGTATCTCAGACTCTGTGAGGCCAAGTGCAGCAGCCAAGTACCCCAGTATGGCTGTTGTTTGGGTCCTGGGGGGCAAGAAGCAGCACCATGTGACTCCATTCCTTAGGGATGGCACTATCTCAGCAGCTTAGACTCTAGGGAGCTAGTCCAGCTCCAGGGAAGCAGGGTACTACAATTGTTTGGCCTGTAGGGTCGGGTATCTCTCCTCAGACACTGGTTTGTTTCCCTGGGATGAAGGGTACTATGTTAGCTCAGCCATGGAACGTGCAGTTGCTCAGCTCAGCCAAAACATTGATTCTCCAAGGGTTGATGTGCCACTCTACTCAGGCCTTGGGGGCCTGACTGTTCTGAGCAGCCCAGGCACCATTTCCCTGCCACACAGGGCTCTGACAAAGTACTTTTTCCTTGAGAGGGCAGTGCACAGTTTCAACTCAGGACCCCAGTGGCAGGGCATAGCCAAGTCTGAAAGAGGTAGATGGAGCTGTTCTGCCAAAGCACCGTATCCCCAGGAAAGGGCACACAGCTCCATCTCTAGCCCAAGGGTACAGGGGGAGGGGTAGGTGAAACAGTTCTATCTGCTGCTTGGCTCCACAGAGAAAGGTGTAACAGTTGCTTGGCCTGGGGATGTTAGGCCACTCTGTTGGGGTGGTTCCCCAGTAGTTTAGCATAAGGGATGAAGGGGTGCTGTGGCTACTCACCTCTGGAGCAAGATGTGAGTAGTTCCAAGATGGCATTGCGCAGTAGCCATGTAGGCCACGGGGCAGGCACAGCTGGCTCCTTCTCTGAGGGGAACACAGTTGTATGGCCTCTAGGTAGCTACCCCAGCTGGGCTTAGGGCCTGTGAGGACTGCAGGGGACCCCAATAGGGGTCCAAGCTGTTGCTGGGGGCTGCTGGGATCCTCTTGCCTACCTTTTCACCATAGAGAGAAGTTCCTCCTGGTTCCTGGCTGATCTCAGCTGGGGGATGAGGTGGCAGGGTCCTGTTGTTTCCTTCCATTCTCTATGTGGGTCTCCTGAGTTTCTGTGCTCACCAGGGTTTCTGTTACTCCTCTGATGTACTCTGGTGCTGTCCTTTATTTTCATTAAAATATGTTTTTTTATTTATTGTTTTGGCTGTCTTTGTGGAAGGGATGAGTGCTAGTATTTTCTAGTTGAATATCTTGCTGTCATTTCTCCTTTGAGTGGGTTCTGTCATCCTGCCTGTTCCTTCATTAATGTGATAAATAAAACTTGTACTCATGCCAACTATGTATCTGCATGAAAATTATATTTTTATCATTTCTATAATTATACTTTCACAAAAGGATATAACAAAGTTCCACGGAAGTGTTGGTTGGGCTAAAGAAACAGGAATTCAGTTTAGCTTCCAGTATCAACTCCCAGAATGTCTGTATCTATTCTTATTTTGTTATAAGATTAACTACTTGATTTTCACAATAATCTCAAGATTAATAAATACATTAATAAATAATGACCAATTCACCACCATGATCAATCAATAATCATACCCAACCAATAAAGAATCATCAGAATAATCTTTACTAATTTCTTCACTATGGAAAAAACTACCCAAATCTCCAAATCTTTTAAATCACATGATAACACCATTTCAACTACCTTCTAACCATACAGCATGAAAGCAAAGAAAGCTCCACGATCAAACCTAAAGATAAAGTCTCCAGACAACCATATTTGAACCCCAGGTTTCAGGATGCTCTTCAGTAGCCATTGAAGTAGGATAACTAAATGCTACAAGCAAAGCACCTAAACACCCTAAACATGCTAAAACAGAGCTATTAATGCTAAAAAAATGCCTACCAAAAGTCACTGCAATAACAGATCCAACCCTATCACTTACAACTAACCCAAACATTCAAAACTGGAGACAGTTTTGAAGAAATGTTTGAAAACCAAAAATAAGGCCAGGCACAGTGGCTCACATCTGTAATCCCAGCACTTTGGGGGGCTGAGGCAGGTGGATCACCTGAGGTTAGGAGTTCGAGGCCAGCCTGGTCAACATGGTGAAACCCTCTATTAAAAACACAAAAAATTAGCTGGTCATGGTGGCGGGCGCCTGTAGTCCCAGCTATTCAGGAGGCTGAAGGAGGAGAACTGCTTGAACTCAGGAGGCGGAGGCTTCAGTGTGCCGAGATCATGCCACTGCACTCCAGCCTGGGTGACAGTGAAACTCCGTTTCAAAACAAATAAAAATAAGGCTGGGTGCGGTGGCTCACACTTGTAATCCCAGTACTTTGGGAGGCCAAGGTGGGCAGATCACAAGGTCAGGAGTTCAAGACCAGCCTGGCCAATATGGTGAAACCCCATCTCTACTAAAAATACAAAAAAATTAGCTGGGCATGGTGGCGCGTAGCTATAATCCCAATTACTCGAGAGGCTGAGGCAGGAGAATTGCTCGAATTGGAACCCGGGAGGCAGAGGTTGCAGTGAGCCGAGATCACACCACCGCATTCCACCCTGGGCTACAGAGCGAGACTCTGTCTCAAAAATAAATAAATAAATATAAAAAAAGAAAACTAAAAATAAGGATGCTATTTAATAAGTTATTAAGTATTAAATGTTTCTGAATGTACTTAGAATTATGAAAAAAATTAAATTCATGGTTCCCACATGGTAGCTAACCATGACTGCTGACATGAGAAACAACTGTTGTCTTTCAGCAATAAGGACCACTAAGTTCCAATAACGACCAAGAAAAAGCATCCATTAATTAAAATTCATCAACTCTACTGTTCCATCAAACATCTCAGCCTGATGAAACTTTGGCTCAATTTTAGGAGTAAGTTTAATTCTGTAAATCCTAATAAGACTTTTATCAGCCTTATATTATACATCAGATACAATAATAGGCTTTTCATCTAGAACACACCTTTGCCAAAATATTAACTATAGCTAACTAATTCAATATATACATCCTAATGGAGCACCTCTAGTTTTTATGTGTCTATATATGAGACATATTGCAGACGCTACATATACTCAGAAACCTAGAATATCAGAGTAATCACATTATTTTCATATATGGAAATAGCATGGATAGACTATGTACTCCTATGAGGACAAATATTCTGAGTAACTACAGTAATAACAAATCCACTTTCAGCTATTTCTTATATCAATACTAATTAATACAATGAATCTGAAGTGGAGTCTCAGTAGATGATACAGTTTGGATATGTGTCTCCTCCTAATCTTATGTTGAAATGTGACCTCCAATGTTGGAAGTGAGGCCTAGTGAGAGGCATTTGGGTCATGGGGGCAGATCCCTTATGAATGATTTGGTGGCCTCCCCTTAGTAATGAGTGAATTCTCATTCTATTAGTTCAAGCAAGAGCTGGTTGTTGAAAAGAGCCTGGTACCTCCTTCTCTCTTTCTTGCTCCCTCTCTCGCCATATGACATGCCTTGCTCCCCCTTCATCTTCTGCCATGAGTAAAAGCTTCCTCACCAGAAGCCGAGCAGATGCTGGTATCATGCTTGTAGAGCATGTAGAACCATGAGTCAAATAAACCTCTTTTCTTTTTAAATTACCCAGTCTCAGGTATTCCTTTATAGCAAAACAAAATGGACAAACACAGTAGGTAAGTCCATCTGTACATAATTCTTCACTTTTCCCTATTTTTACATGAAACATGATCAAACGGCCCTCAGGATTAACATCAAACATAAATAAAATTCCATTCCACCAGTACACAATCAAAAATCCCTTTTCTTTTCCTAATTACACTACTACCGTATAAGTGAGCTATTACCACAGCTGACCCTCACACCTTGCTATCTCTGCTGTCACATGTGCTAGCAATATGGATGCATGCTATCTATCTTGTTGAGATGTTTATTTTCAAAATCAAAGTCTCAAATGAGTATAGCTGATTGGTCAGAACCTAGGTCACATGAATTCCTAGTCATAAAATAAGCTAGAAAACGTAGGTTGTTTTGTTTTCTTTAATCTATCTTGAGAAAGTAGGCTTGACCTTTATCAAATGCAATTCTGACTTTTTACCCACTTAAAAACACTCAAGGATAATTCTAAACTCTTTAACTTGTTATGTAAGCATTGCCATAATCTCCGATCAACATGTTTTCCAGATTATTCTCCCAATCTATCGCTCATCTACTTCCTACCCCTCTTCCTTCCTCTCTTCTTTCCTCTATCCCTCCCTCCCTCTCCTACACACACACACACACACACACACACACACACACACACACACCCTGTTGCTCCAGGATAATCTCTGAAACACATCATCATTACTGCCCTTGCTTCCCCTTGGTAATGATCTTCCCTCAGCTCAAATGGTAGCTGTGCATAAAGTATTCCCCAACTTCTTCCAGAGGAACCATTCATACTTGCCTCAAAATTACACTGTACACTGCACAGCACGTGCTTTATACTGTACCACATCCATTATTAGTCTATACATCTCCTTCCAGAATCTCCCATCTACATTCCTCAGTCTGAGTTAGAAGTTGTTCTTGTGTGCTCCTGAAGCAACCTGAAATTAACTCGTTTTGCTCTTATCACAATGTACAGTAACTGTCTGTTTCTTATACTAGCCTGTGAATTCCATTAAGGCTGGATGTGTGTTTATTCACCATTATATTCCATGTGCCTTGTACCATTAGGTGCTCAATAAATATTTGTTGAATGGCAAGCAGAAAAAATCAAAAATATATGTCCTAGTCTGCCTCATCTAGGAAAATGTTATGTACATGTTAGCCATACTGTAAAAGCTTATGAAATATTTGGGTAAAAAGAAATTACAAGATAAGGGTAAGTTTACAAGTTTGTCTTCAGACTTTCTAGTGAATGTAGAAAGCAGCAATTAGACTCACTTCATTACTGAAAAAGCCCTCCTGCCAATACTATAGTCCTGCTACCAAACTGGGATGAAATCGTGTGGATACTTGCCTATCTTCATCTATGGCCTTTATTTTCAGGAGCAGCACATGATCTCTTACAAAAATTCAATGCAGGTTTGTGGAACTTGGGAATGTGTCTTACCTCTGGTTTTACAAACCATTTGCCTGCATTCAGAGTCGATAGGAAATCCCAGTTGAAGAAGGCAGGGTTCTCGCAGGCAGATTCTGGCTGAACTTCCCCAATATTGGTTGTTCTTTTCAGGTCAAAGTCATGCATGAGGAAAGGCACATGATCATAACTGAGGCAGAGGTAGAAAAGAAGGGCAGGGGTAGATAGGCTGAATTTAGCTACCTTGGTAGACAGGCTCCCCAGACAGTCCTTCAAGGTCACAAGTGTCACTAGGGCTCCTTACTCCCTCTCAAATCTTAGAAAAGGGCTACATATCAGTCATTTACACTTTGATGTCAATATTTTTCTGCTCTAGGGATCAATCTTTCATGATATATAATCACATTAGTGATCGTGAAAGACTAGCTTCTCTATTCAGGGGCTTTCTGGCATTAGGAAAACAGCAGGCACAGTAGTGGCCTGAAAATAAAGTGAATGGAGGTAGGGATGATGCAAGGTCCTCAGGTTCCAGGACCATACTAAGCAGGTGTCCACACAGTTTTCCTGTATTATTCTGATCCTTTCCCAGCTAGGCACTGCACTGAGTATTTCTTTTTGTTTGTTTGCTTGGTTTTTGTTTTTGTTTTTTTGAGACGGAGTCTTGCTCTGTCACCCAGACTGGAGTGCAGTGGCATGATCTCGGCTCACCACAACTGTGATCACACAAGTGATTCTTCTGCCTCAGCCTCCCGAGTAGCTGAGACTACAGGCATGCACCACAACACCTGGCTTATTTTTGTATTTTTTAGTAGAGACAGGATTTTGTCATGTTGGCCAGGCTGGTCTCGAACTCCTGGCCTCAAGTGATCCGCCCACCTCAGCCTCCCAAAGTGCTGGGATTATAGGCATGAGCCACCGTGCCCAGCCTACACTGAATATTTCTGGTCCTAGACTTTCCACATCAGATAGTATCATAAGGTAAGTTCCTTGTTCTTCTATCTGCAATTTGCTTTGGAGAATCTCTGATTTTATGAAACTATCTCTCCCTTTCTCATTAAAATATCTATGAAGAGAACATCTATAATGAGGAAGATAAGGCTTAGAACTTACTCTTCTGCTATAAGCCACTAGAAAACTGGACAAAATAAAGGAAATAACTATTTTCAGTTAATGGACAAAAGGATGCACAATATTACTACAATCTCTGAGAAAAGCAAAAAAAAAAAAAATGACATAAGCAATTCCATCGCCCAGGCTTCTTTCCTGCAGGTGAATACTGAATTTCAGTACAGGGTGGGGGAACCTAAAAGGGACCTAGCTGTCTTGCTGAAATGAGAAGAAAGAGATTAGAGTAAGGGGGGAGCCAAGACAGCTAGAATTTATGGGCTAGAGTCCCATAAAGGATAGAGTTATGCAAAAACAAACACACAGTTCCAAGAAAATATGCAAAAGTCCATAAGTGTATGGCTAAATATCAATCTGTATGTGTACAGAGTAAAACTATGAAGCTTGGCAAGAACAACTTCTAAGAAAAGAAAATATTACCAGACAGTTCTAAGACAATCGGAGCTTGCACAGGGGTATGAATCATTCAAGTTCCATCCAGCGAGAGAGGAGAGTCTTCAGTAATTACATAGGCTTTCTTTAGAGACTCCAGAAGATCACACCTTAGAAAAGGGGATAATTGGCCAGGCGCGGTGGCTCACGCCTGTAATCCCAACACTTTGGTGGGCGGATCATGAGGTCGAGATCAAGACCATCCTGGCCAACATAGTGAAACCCCGTCTCTACTAAAAATACAAAAATTAGCCAGGCATGGTGGTACACGCCTGTAGTCCCAGCTACTCAAGTGGCTGAGGCAGGAGAATGCTTGAACCTGGGAGGCGGAGGTTGCAGTTAGACAAAATCGCGCCATTGGACTCCAGCCTGGGCAACAAGAGTGAAACTCCATCTCAGAAAAAAAAATGGTCGGGGGAGGGGGGGGAATAATTTAGAACTACAATGGCCTTAGAGCCACTTTAGATCCTCTAAAAAAGAGCTTAAAAACAAGCTTCAAAAGAAAAGACCAAACTAGTCTGGAAGTAACAACTATCTGCTAGAAAATGACCAACCTTAAAGGATACAAGATATAGCACCCAACAATGTAAAACTACAAGTCCAGCATATAATCAAAACTTACTAGAGATATAAACAAGCAGGAAAATGTGACCATATGGAAGAGGAATTACTCAACAGGGACAAACTCAAAAGTGAAAGAGATGACAGAATTCATAGACAAGGGTGTTAAACAGTGTAGAACAAAATTATAAAGGTGTAAACAAGGTATGTAAAGGAAAACATGAACATAATGAAGATACACATACAAGGTATAAAAAACGGAAATTTAGAGATAAGATATAATAACTGAAATGAAAATTTCATTGCATGAAATTTAAAACAGATCAGATATTGCAGATCATGCAAAGAACAATGAATTTAAAGATGCAGCATTAGAATCTATCCAGATGAAAGCATAGAAAGAAGACTGAAACAAAAAAGAATGAGGCATCAGTGACCTGTAAGGCAATGATCAAGCAGTATTATATATATGTAAATGGAGTCCTAAAAAAGAAGGGAGGTGCAGAAAAAAACATTTCAAAAAGTAAAACTAAAAATTTTTTCAAAATCTGATGAAGATTTGAACTGAATGCTGAATTCTTTCCTGGCTAAAAGTCTCCAAACTAATGTCTTCAAATTCTCTTTCCATTTTTCTCACTTAGACTCAATGAAATTACTACTATATTTTTCCTGCAGGCATATCTTGTGATACATAAACTACAGGCAAGAAAAATATGTCAGATTGCCACTGCCTGCTTCCACGTTAACTGAAGATGCTTTGGGCCTAACATCTTTTTTTTTTTTTGGAAACAGAATCTTACTCTGTCACCCAGGCTGGAGTGTAGCGGTGCCATCTCAGTTCACTGCAACCTCCGCCTCCCAGGTTCAAGTGATTCTCCTGCCTCAGCCTCCCGAGTAGCTGGGATTACAGGTGCCCACCACCACGCCCAGCTAATTTTTCTATTTTTAGTAGAGATGGGGTTTCACCATGTTGGCCAGGCTGGTCTCGAACTCCTGACCTCAGGTGATCTCCCTGCCTCGGCCTCCCAAAATGCTGGGATTACAGGCTTGAGCCACCACGCCCAGCCAAATCTAACATCTAGACACCTCAACTGACTGCCCTCCAGACTAAGGAAACCGATTTATAGATTTCTCCAAACATTACATTTGTTTTTCTTCCATTTGAAAGCTCATTTGCAATACTAACTCCTGAAACGAGACACAGCTGTTTAATGGGACTGGGCTATTCCCAGAAATAGAAGACTGGTTTACGGGGATCCTTTGCCACTCAGCTATTAACTCAGTTTTCCCACCAACTCAGCTTTTAGTGTGTGAAACCTCTAGGGAAGCTTCAGATGGGGATGTTGGAGCTCAGAAACCTACACCCAAATTGTGGTATGCTGACATGCTGAAATAAAGAAGGCTGTTAGGCATAATGGTTTAAGCTCTTTGGCCCAGGCAGTTCTGAATAATTAAATTGTATTAGATTTCCTTTTGGCAAAACAAGTGGTATCTGCGCAATAGCTAATACCACTTGTTGTGAATAGAAAAAATTTCCAAATAAGCTAAATAGTTATGAGAGGTGTGTACCACAGATTCCCCTTAAATGATCTCTTTAGCTGGCTTCCTAAGGGAATGGGAAACTGGTTTTAGTTCCCCTTACAAACTCTTATTATTGTCATCTTGCTCTTCTTTCTATTCACAACAGACAATGAGGACTAGTAACAAAAGAACTGACACTTTTGTCATGCAGAATCAGAACCCTATACCTGGCACTCAAGAACATTTACAGGCTACTACAAAGCAGTTTCATTCCTCAAATCCTAATTATGGTACCCTTGACCCCTGTCAGCAGGAAATCAGCCAAAGCAGTCATGGCCCAATTCCTCCTTAATGATCACACTTCAGGACTGAGGGATAAAGAAGATAAGGGGGTACTGAAGCCATCCTCACAGGGTTAACAAGAATTCTGGACAGAAATATAGCTCTAATTAAGTATTAATCAGGCTTCATTTTGAACCACTTCCTTGTAATGGAAAATCATTTGACATTGACCATTTGCATCCCCAGTGTATCTATAGATAGGATTTCTGACATTAGAATCACAAGGCTTTTGTTTAAGAATTGCTTAAGATGTTTTTCAGATCCCATATTCCGGTAAAACAGCTGATATGAACCAGTTTGAGGACCCCCACAGAGGAACAGAATCAGCATGAGAATATAGTTTCTTCATCTCCCTGTCCCTTGACTTTACCCTGTACTCTTTGACCAATCAACGATCTGCACACTTCAGCCCACTCCAAAACCATTAAAAACTCTAGCCCCAAACTCCTCAGGGAGATGGATTTGAGGTTTCCTCCTATTTCCTCATTTGATGACTCTATCACTAAATCTTTCTCTGCTGCAAAAAAAAAAAAAAAAAAAAAAAGGAGCTGGGGCTAGGGGTGGGCATATGTGGAGGAGAATACAGATAAGCATCCAGAAGATTTCTTATCAAAACATAAGACAGAAAACTAGGAAATAACAATTTTTACATGCTTGAAGAAAACAACTGTCAACTTAGAATTCTATATGCAGCAAAAATATTCTTCAAAAATGAAGGGAAAATTAAAATATTTCATACAAACAAAAAGCAGAATAATTCATTTCCAGCATACCTTTACTGTAAAAAAGATTAAAATAATTATTAGACAAAAAGGAAATTGATACAATTTGAAACTTGGATCTACACAAAAGAATAGTGCCAGAAATGATAAATACGTGAGTAAATATAGAAACTTTTTTCTCATTTTTTAAAAACAGAATTAACTGTTTAAAGCAAAAAGTAATAGCAATGTATAATGAGGTTCGTGATAGCACCAGGTCATACTATGAGAGAGATGAAATGTTAGTGTACTGATAAAAGACATATGCTTTACACAAAAATGTATAATACTCAAAGGGAGAAATAAGTTAAAGATCATATTGTAAACTCTAGCACAACGACTGAAAAAAAAGAAAAGAGGTATAGCTAATAATCCAACAGTAGAGATGAAGTTCTAAAAAATGCTCCATTAGTCCAAAAGGAGGCAGGAAAGGAGAAAACAACAAAATGATAGTGCACTTGCCATGGGTCTAAAATTTAAAGGGGTGCCAAAAACTAATAAGCAAGATAAATACTATTTTAATACAATATTTAAAAGACAAAACCAATGCAAAAATCCACTATAAACAAAATATTAAATTTTAAATGAAGATAAGATAGTATTACTGATTTTTCCTTTTGTCTCAGGTTCTCATATGGCTTGGCATGACACATCTTCATTAAAATTTTTGACATTTTGTTCATCATGGATGCTAAAGGGTAGGCAATACCAACAGAAACTAGTTATCACACACATACTTGTTATGTGTGACATTTACATTTATTTCCCTTAAAAAGTTAGGCGGAGACTGCATTAGTAGAGAGGGAGTAAGAGCAATAGGCACAAACAAGCTTATTGGGATCTTTCAATCTAACTCAGCTTCCATGGACTTCCAGTGACTGTTGGCAAGATTTCTCCTATTGGTCCACACGAGGAGGTCAACATTTCTTCAGGATCTGTGTGTTTCTGCAATCCCCAGAAAACTTAATTCAGTGTTCTCCAGAGAGGTGTATGGCTGGCTGGGCTTTTATGCTAAAAATTTTATAAGAGGACTGGGAATAATAGCAGCCAAAAATTTTGCGTAGATCTTCTCAGAATCTCCCATAGGCTTTCACTCAGATGCAAATAACTTGTTTACATTACTTGCTTTTTAGATTTAAAAAATGTCTCTGCCTTTTCAAATGTTTCTCAAAAATATATTCAAATGAAGGTTTTTTCATATAAACGTGTTTCACATTTAAGAACAACATAGCTGCAATTTTATAAAGTGGGATGAGCACTATCAAATTCACTTTGGGGTGAACTTGGGGTAGGGATCAAACATCCTTTACAACTATATTATCACAAATCTCAAAAATTCCAACACTTTAAAGGCAAGAAGGGAAGAAGGAGCCAGCAAAAGAAGTCACATAGGAAACAGCCAGGTAGGAAGAAAATCAGGAGAGTATGGTATTCTAATAGCCAAATAAAGAAAGTCTTTCAAAAATGAAGGACTTCTCAAATGCTGAGAGAGTAAGATGAAAATGAAAATTTACTATGATGTTTAAGAAGTTTGAGGTCCCTGATAACTTAGTAAGAGCTCTGAGAAGTGGTGTAGAAGAAGCCTGATTGGGATAGGCTCAAAAAGGATTAAAAGTTATCCAAAACAAAGGGGAGAACTGAGAGAAGGCAAAGAAAGGCAATGTTGGAGTTCAAGACACTCACCCTAAAATATGACGGCAGGAGACCAGAATATGCCACCCCAATATATACCTCTTTGGCATATTGATTATTTTGAGCTGGTTATTTTGAGAAACTGCAGACACAGGAGAAGCTCTGAAAAGTTGCCCTTTTGTAAAGGAAATTTATATTTATAAAGGAAATTTTCATTAGTAAAAGTATCTGTACCAATAAGAGAGCTGCTCTGAAATCATTTTATTATCAACAGACTTATATCTGTTTAATAAGACAACCTTTATTCACCACACATTTTCTTCCCTCTTCTTACCACAATTTGTCTCTGCCCCCGCACACCCCTATTCCTTTCTATAGCTCAGGAAACTATACAAGCTTCAATCATCTGGCCTTTTCCTTGAGTTTCAAATTTTTGTGGGACTCCCATGTGCACATAGGTAATTAAAATTATTTTTCTCCTGTTAATCTGTCTTATGTCAATTTAATTTGTAGACTAGCCAAAGAACCTAGAAGGGTAGACCAATAAAACCTTTTGATCCTCTAGAGCAGTACAGACCACTCTTTGGAGGAATGCTGCTTAAAAGAAAGTGAAGACATGGAGCATAAACTGGAGCAGTATATAGGGCCTAGAAAAGTTTTAAAATGTCAGAATGGATCATCTTCTGATTTTAGAATCACTTTATCTATATCTTTTCTTAAGAAAGCTAACGCAATTCTTTTCTTTAAATTCTATTTTGAGAGGATTGTAGATTCACATGGGTTTGTAAGAAATACAGAGAGATCCTATATACCCTTAGCCCATTTCCCCTAATAGTAACATCTTGCATAACTATACTATACTATCACAACAAGGAAACTGACACTGATAAAATCTGTGACCTCATTCAGATTTCATTCGTTTTACATGAACTTATTTGTATATTTAGTTCTATATTTAGTTTACATGAACTTATTTGTATATTTTGTTAATTTTATCACATGTGCAGACATATCACCACCACCATAGTCAAGATACAGAAAAGTAAATATACAAGAAGAGTTTTGTGTTACCTTTTAAAGTGGGAGCCACTTCTCTGCCTCCTTCACCCCTGGAAACCACTGATTTTTCTCCATCCCTTTAATTTTGTCATTTGAATGTGATCTTCAAATGGAATCATACAGTATATAACCTTTTGAGACTGGCTTTATTCACTCAAAGTAACTCCCATGAGGTCCATCCAAATAGCAGCATGTTTCAATAGTTCATTCATTTTTATTGCTGGGTAATATTCCACAGTATGGATGAATACAGTTTATTTAATCATTAAACCTCTTAAAGGACATTTGGGTTGTTTCTAGATTTGGGCTATTACAAATAAAACAGCTATGAAAATTAATGTGAAGTTTTTCTCTATATGAACATTGTCTTCTTTTCTGTGGAATAAATGCCCAGGAGTACAATTTCTGGGGTGTATGGTAAGTATATAATGTGCCACATAATGACAATTCAGTCAACAACGGACCTCATATATGACAGTGGCCCCATAAGATTATAATGGAGCTGAAAATTTCCTATCACCTAGTGACTTCGTAGCCGTAATATTGTAGCACAATACATTACTCGTATGTTTATGGTGACACTTCTGTAAACAAACCTGTACAGCCAATCATATAAAAGTATAGCACATACAACTACAGATAATACATAATACCTGAGGATGACAATAAACAACTGTTACTGGTTTATATATTTACTACACTACACTTTTTATTGTTATTTTAGAGTATATACATTCTATTATATATTTAAAAAATTAAATGTAAAACAGCCTCAGGTAGTCCTTCAGGAGGTATTCTAGAAGGCATTGTTTTCATAGGAGATGACCGCTCCATGCATGTTATCCCTGCAGACACTGCAGTGGGACAAGATGTGAAGGTAGAAGACAGTGATATGAACGATCCTGACCCTGTGTAAGCCTAGGCTAATGTGTGTGCTTGTTTCTTAGTTTCTAACAAAAAAGTTAAAAAAAAATTAAAATAGAAAACAGCTTAGAGAATAAGGTTATAAAGAAAGAAAATATTTTTGTACAGCTGTACAATGTAGTTGTGCTTACACTAAGTGTTATCACAAGAGTCAAAAAGTTACAATAAGCTGGAGTTAATTTATTATTGAAGAAAATTTTTTTATGAATTTGGTGCAATCTAAGTGAACAGTGTTTATAAAGTCTTCAGTAGTGTACATAATGTCCTAGGCCTTCCCATTCACTTACCACTCACTCACTGACTCACCCAGAGCAACTTCCAGTCCTGCAAGCTCCATTCATGGTAAATGCCCTATACAGGTGTACCATGTTTTATCTTTTATATTGTTATTTTTACCGTACTTTTCCTATGTTTGGATATATTTAGATACAGAAATACCTACCATTGTTCTGCAATTGCCTACAGTATTCAGTACAGTAACATGCTGTACAGGCTTGCAGCCGAAGAGTAACAGGTCATACCATATAGCCCAGGTGTGTAGTAGGCTATGCCATCTAGGTTTGTGTAAGTTCACTCTATGATATTCACACAGTGATAAAATTGCCTAACAACGCATTTCTCAGAACGTATGCTCATCATTAAGTGAGATATGACTGTATTTAGTTTTTTAAGTAACTGCCAGACTTACTTGGAGTGGCTATACAATTTTATGTTTCCACCAGGAACATATGAGTGACTCAATTTGTCTGCCAGCATTTACTGTTCTTGCTATTTTTTAACTTAGCCATACCGATAGATGAGTAGTATTAGTTTTAATTTGCATTTTCCTAAAGGTTAATGCAGTTGAACATCTTCTCATGTACTTATTTGCTATCTGTATATTCTCTTCAGTGACATATCTACACATGTATTTCGTCCATTTTCTAATTGGATTGTTTGGTTTGTATTTGTTTTTGTTTTCATTTTACTGTTGAGTTTTGAAAGTTTATATATCCTAGACACAAGTCTTTTGCCAGACATGTGTTTTACAAATATTGTCTCCCAGTCTGACACTTGTCTTTTCATTCTCCTCATAGGGTCTTAGAGCAAAAGCTTTTCAGAATGAATTCCCTGGAATTTTCTCCTTCCCCCATCTCTGCTTGGTAAAATGGTATTTTTCCTTCGAGGCTCAACCCAAACACAACTTTGAGCACACAAATTTTTTTTCTTTTTTTTCCCACACAACAGGAAGTGACCTTTTCCTCCACTGAGGTTCCATTACACTTATTTTTCTCTGGAAGGCTCTTGCCACAAATGGCCTTATTCTGTAGTTATCTGTAAACATCCCATGTCTCCTTCACTAGCTGGAACATCTTTTAGGTATGACTACATCTTATTCATTTGCATTTCCCAAGCACTCAGAAGAAGGCCTGGAATACAGCAAATGCTCAAGGAATGTTAAATAAATTGCTAAGGTAGTACATAGAGTGAAGTGGTAAGCACGGTTTGCAATGGGGCCATATGTGAATCATGTGTGAAGACTATATCTAGTGTGTCTGATTTGTAACCCTGTCATTGAAAACATGGAGATGCAGAGGTGCGGTTTGTGAGATGTGGTTCATTTGTGTAGTACATGCATATATGCCATATGAACACAGGAACAACTCCCCAGGGCTTGCTGTCTCTACAACCTCAGGCCAGGCTGGTTCTCTTGCATGGCATTGAACTTATACCCTCCTCCCCTCACCCCAGTTCCCTGCTTTCTTACCTTAAGTGTATATCAGTCTCCAATCCATGGGCTCCATGTTCAACAGCTTTCTCAAAGGACATCATGGTATTCTCAGGCCCCAACTGTAGAAGAAAAGGACATCAGGCCCTAAGCCTCAGAGTCTCTCCTCCCAGCATTCCTTTTGTGGTAGGGGTAGAGCCCAGTAGGATTTTGGGGAGCAGAGCTTGGCTCCCTGAGATCTCCTTTCAAAACCTGTATACCCTCCGTCCAAGCTGATTCTGGGACTCTGCTCATCTGAGACAATGTCACTGGGCACAGTAAAGAGAAATGGACTGGGAGTTAGGTGGCCTGGATTCAAGTCCAGCCTTTACAATGAACTCTTTATTCTTGCCATCTTAATGCAATCACTTTTTCTCTCCAGGGGCTTCCATGGTTCTCTTTTCTTCTCTTGACCACATACCCCACACATACTTATTTTCACCCATGTTCATCATGCTCAGACCTACCATGGGTGCACCTCTATGTCCAAAGATGGTTGGCTTGGGCCCCAAATTCTCCTTCTCCTGAATGCAGGGAGAATAAATCCCCAGTGGCATCAAATAGAGACCTAAAAGGATAAGAAGAAAGGGTAATCCAACAGGCACTTGTAGACCTGAAAAATTTGAAAGGAAGGGGAAGTGGGGGAAAAAGAGATAAAGAGGGATGGAAAATCATCCCAAGCAAAGCAGCAGTCTGAGTAAACCCACAGTCCATGGGTTTCATTGACTGTGTACTGGCTAATTTACTTTCTATTTCTGTGACATTTCCACTTACTTCCAGGGATTTGGATATAAAAGTATAGAACTGTACAAATATAGGGCATTATTATTAAGGCAACTTTACTGGAACTGGAAATTGACAGAGGGCTCAACTGTACAGGGGACAGATGGGGAAGAAAAGGAAGGAGAAGGGATGTCAAGGAGCAGCTTCTCAGGAGGAGGAGGAGCTTGGCTGATTCTAAGAAAGCCCCAGAGCCTGTAAAGATCATCCTAAAACATCTGTATATTTAAGGCAGTACAGTATAGTGGAAAGGGCACTAATTGGCAGAAATCTGGGTTTAAAGCCAAGTTCTGCCACTTCCTAATTGTGTGACTAAGGACAACTTAACCTCTCTGAATCTTCATTTTCTTCTGTAAAATGGGGCTGTCCTGCTGCTTATATCAACCTTATAGGTTGTTATGACAGTGTTGACTCATAATAGTTACTCTATAAATATTAATCATTTGCTTCCCCCTCTTTCCTTCCCTCCCTCTCCCTCTAGTACATACACACACATTCACATACAGAGCCTGTACACAATGCCTGCGATAACCAGCCATTCCCCAAGACTTACTATTTTAGACCTCTGGGAATTTTACCCATTTGTACATTTTCAAGTTACCACCTTTGCTTTAGTGACTTTCAAATCTCAGTCTCCAGCTCTAACCTCTTAACCTTGTGATTACATTACATTGCTTGAGTCTTTTTTTCTCAGAATGTGTCATCCTGTATCTTCTCATTCTAACTAAAATTTAGAAAGTGAAAAAGAAAAGAGTTCATTATTGTCCCCTTTAAGCCCTTGCCCCAGAAATACTTTCTAAAATTTACCCTCCACACACAAGCATATATATATAAACACACAATGGCAGCACTATCTATGCAGTCTTTCTCTTGCCTGCATACCCCCACAGGTCAGAAAGCAAATACCTCTTACTTAAAAAGGAGGAAAAAGGAGACCCAGAGAGAAGAAGGTCCTATTGGTTTATCCATAGAGTGGTGAAAGATACTTCCATTCTCAAAACAGTTTAGTGTACAGATCCAGTTCTTTTGATTCCATTACACTGGGACAAACAATGAAGAGGAAACCAGTGACAGAGACAGACATTTAACCTTCTGCTGTAAGTCCTCAGGTATGACATGGTCTCACAGGGGACTGCTTTGAGTTACTTGGATGTAAGCAGAAATCTCTGGACCTAGTATTAGTTGAAACTACTAATATTTGCCGGGCGCAGTGGCTCACGCCTGTAATCCCAGCACTTTGGGAGGCTGAGGCAGGCGGATCACGAGGTTAAGAGATTGAGACCATCCTGGCCAACATGGTAAAACCCCATCTCTATTAAAAATACAACCAGGCGTGGTGGTGCATGCCTGTAATCCCAGCTACTTGGGAGGCTGAGGCTGGAGAATCGCTTGAACCCAGGAGGCGGAGGTTGTAGTGAGCCGAGATTGTGCCACTGCACTCCAGCCTGGCAATGGAGCAAGACTCTGTCTCAAAAAACACAAACAAACAAACAAACAAAAAAAGAAACTACTAATATTTGAATATAAATGGAAAGAACTGTGACTTGTACCAGCACTTTGGTCAAGTAAAATTAAAACAGCCTCTACTGCGTCACCCACCATCCATCTTCAGACAGTCAATGTATAATAATGTAGAGAAAGATCTTATTTTTCCAAAAAAAGAATCCCTCTTTAGAAGAAGGTCTGTTTGGCCACAGAAATACTATGACAGGCCATTGGCCACTATAACAGGGTAGTGAGTGAAAGCACAGGAGCATGCCTGAGTAACAAGCTAAATGAATTTCAACGAGGCATAGGGGTGGCTAGTTCCCAAGCTTCTGTTTTCCTGAGTGGAGTATGCAAGCTAAAGCCAGAGCTGAAGAAATAGGCAGGGTTCTGCCCTATGTGACATACCTTCTCTTTCCAAACATGCCACGTAGAAGGCCACAGGCCAGAAAAGGATAACCATCACAGTTATGCTGACCAGGTGCACGTAGGGAGCAAAGATCTGTGAGAAAGCCAAAAGTCAGGCTGGATACATCTAGACAGCTAGTGCTGGAGCTATAGGATGATGCTTACCTGCATTGACAGCCCAGCTACCAGCCACCTTTCTTTCCAGAATTTGCATATAATGAACATTAAAATGACACACAGAAGAATCACTAGCAGAATCAGGATCTAGGGAAACAGAAAAAAAATCTCCTGACTTCAAGCACTAGGCTTGGATCAGAACTGTCCTCAGGAATTATATGTGTGTCTTCACAATGTCAGGGACCTTATCTGCTTCCTCATTCTTTTACCATAATAATGTAGAGAAAGATCTTGTTTTTCCTGCAAATCCCCAGTATTAGATGGAACTAATCATTCACCTTCTTTGCTTCTAAGTCTTTGCTGTACAGCATGGCTGGAAAAAATTACACAGCTAATTTACCATTACTAATTTACTATCTCCAGCCTCAGCTGGGTCCTCAACATTGCTTGGTATCTCTTACTCAGATTCAACAGTTGCCATTAAATTCTTCACCATTTCTTTAGTCCTCAATTGTATACTCAATACAATTATAAGTAAATAATACTCTGTAATTGCCTTTTCAACGTCCGTTTTCCCCAACAGACTATAAGCTTCATGAAGTCAAGGTTAATATTGGTATTTTTTATGATTACATCCTCAGTGTCCTGCAGAATGCCTGGCACATAGTAAGCATCCAATAAGTATTTATTAAACAGATGAAAAAACCTGCCTGCCAGAACACTGTATACTTCATAGAGAAAGAACATTGAGACCAAGAAGACCTAATTTTCCTAACTTCCTCCCTTTCAAATGTATAGTTTTCCTACATCCGTGCTGCCCTCTAGACAGTACTTAGCTCTCCTTTCCATAATCTCTACATCTAAAATAACTGAATCCATAATTAAGTCTTTCACAACTCTTTGCTGACTTCAATGATAAATTCTACCAAACATTTAAGGAAGAAATATTTCCAATCTTTAACAAACTCTTTCAGAGAATAGAAAAAGAGAGAATACTTTATAACATCTTAAGAGTGCAACAAAACATTATACCCAAATTTAACAAGGACATTATTACAAGAACAGAAAATACATACATAGATGAAAAAGTTTTAAACAACCTATTAGGAAAAACTAAATGCATCACAACACAAAAGTTGAATTGCCAGAGTCATAAGAATCACAGATCTTACCCAACACCAAACTTCACTATGGATTTAAAGGATACAGGCAATCATAGAGAACAGATAAAAGATTTTCCAGTGGCAGGCTGGGAGCAGCGGCTCCCATCTATGATCCCAGCACTTTGGGAGGCTGAGGAGGGTGGATCACCTGAGGCCAGGAGTTCGAGATAAGCCTGGCCAATATGGTGAAACCCCATCTCTACTAAAAATACAAAAATTAGCCAGGTGTGGTTGCACACAACTGTAGTTCCAGCTACTCGGGAGGCTGAAGTGGGAGAATCGCTTGAACCCGGGAGGCAGAAGTTGCAGTGAGCTGAGATTGCACCACTGCACTCCAGCCTGAGCAACGGAGTGAGACTCTGCCTCAAAAAAAAAAAAAAATTTTTTTTTGAGTGAATATGATCACGTCAAATGCAGTTACTCATATAGGGTCTTTCCTCTCCCGTATTAGTATACATTCTGTTTTTGGACTTAAAATGTAAGGTGTGTTTTGAGCAAAATATGAAGAAACATTGCTTCACAGGCGTCATTTTGGTTTTTTATGGAGCATCATTATTTTATATTCCATTAATTATATAACTCTAGCCAGTCAATATCTTTTAACACATGAACCTATATATTCCAGGTTTGTTTACAATAAAACCAACCTAAATATATCTAGGTATATCCTGCTAGAAATTTTTGCAGATAAGCAGCTGACAAATACATTTCGTGTGTTTACCAGGAGGTCAGGTTATTAGCATGTTTACAAGGAGTTTGGGTTGATGCCATTTGCTTCTCTCTGGGCATCTGTAGGTAGAAGGGGAAGGGGTTCTAGGCCTCGTGCTAATGCTTTTCTTCCTAAATTTATTCTGAGTACAATAAAATGAAACTCCAAGCCCCACAAAATCTCCCTTGCCAATAAAATCAGTCTCTCCTCACAAGTCTGATAAGCCTGGTCCTTCCTGGTTTGAAGACCTGAAGACTCAACCAAGGTAGTTAACTTCCAAGGGAATGCCAACTCTTAACAATCACCCTGCACTTTTCATTGCCTTCAGACTCTGTGAACTAGATCCCAGAATGCCTCAGAAGATGAAGGCTTAGAAAACAAGATTTTACTAACAAATATTGGCAAAAATCCTGTAGAATATGTGTGGGAATGAATTCTAAGGGTGCTAGACAAGGAAAAGAGAACATAATTTTAGACCAGACTAAATTTATTGATATGGGTGCACTTACCAGAGATTCTGGATTTAATATCCTAGAATTCAGGTATTAAGCAGTTCAAAGAGGTTCTGATTGTTTGGTTATCTGAAGCCTAGGCTCATTGGTAGCCTATGCTCAATGAAATTGGGATGCCAGTAATTTCTTAGTATAATATAGAAGAAATAATAAAAGATTTATTAAGAAAAGGTGCTGGAACGGTATCACCTATGATCAGCTAACCTACTCCCTATATCGTGTTCTCTGGGAGGTCTCAGAAGACGCTGGTGAGGAAAGTGTCAGCATCCTTGAAAAGCACTGTGGTGGCCATCCTGTATGCCTGAAAAAAGGTGAGAGATGCTGCCACTCAAACAGTCTTCCTGATTTCAAAGGGGATGATGTGCTTCTGCTGTGGCAGAGGCCAAGTAGCAGTACTTAACTGGCACAGGCAACATAAGCATAGTTTTTATAATAGACACTAACCTGGAATGGTAATCAGAATGTTTTCAGGGATTCTTGGTATTGGTTAATTTATCATGGTGTCCCAACTCCAAAACAGATGTTGGATATCAATAAGGCCTATTTGTTCAATTTTCAAATCTATATTCTTTCCCTAGAAAAAATCTCATGGCTTCAAGCTCCATCTATTCTAATAACTCTAAATTTATATTTCCAGTTCATACTTCTCATTTGAATAAGAGGATATTGATAAGGCTTGGACCTGTGTTCCCTCCAAATCTTATGTTGAAATGTGACCACCAATACTGGAGGTGGGCATAGTGGGAGGTGTTTGGATCATGGGGACAGCTCCCTCATGAATGGCTTAGTGCTGTCCTTGCAGTAATGAGTGGGTTCTCATTCTGTGAGTTCACATGAGATCTGGTTGTTTAAAAGGGCCTGGCACCTCCTCCTTCTCTCTCTTGCTCCCTTTCTTGCTATGTGATATGCTGGCTCCCCACTTGCCTTCCACCGTGATTGTATGCTTCCTGAGGCCCTCACCAGGACCAGATGCCAGTGCTATACTTCCTTTACAGCCTGCAGAACCATGAGACAAAATAGACCTCTTTTCTTTATAAATTACCCAATCTCAGGTATTCCTTTATTAGCAATGCAAATTGACTGATTTAAGACTTAAGGGGACCACTCAAGAGTTTGAAATGTTTCTGGATTTGGGGAAATACAAGAAATACAAGAAATGGTATCAACACTATGCCTGATGTTCTCACTCATATTTGGGAGGTAAAAAAGTTGATCTCATGGAAGTAGAGAATAGAGTGATAGTTACCAAGGGCTGGAAAGGGTGGGTCAGAGTGGGAGAAATGAAGAGGGGTTGGTTAATGAGAACATACCATTAGATAAAGAGTAAGTTCTAATGTTTGACAGTACAGTAAGGTGACTACAGTTAGCAATAATTTATAATATAAAATAGCTTCAAAATAGTTCAAAAAATAGTTTCAAAACAGCTAGAAGAGTTGAAATGTTCCTAACATGAAGAAATGATAAATGCTTGAGATGATGGATATCCTAAATTCCCTGATTTGAGCATTATGCATTGTAGGCATATATCAAAATCATCACATGGATCCCACAAATATGTCTAATTACTATGTATCAATTTTTAAAAACCATGCCCAAAAAAGTCTATAAAAAAGCAAGAGGCTGTCACTGGAGCTGCTCAAGCCCATGGGAGAACAAAACAAGGATGCTATATTGGAAATATGCTGCATGCCTGCAGATGGTGGGGCAAAGCTGACTGTCCTCTGGGGACCAGATATAGACCCTGTGAAAGAAATCATGCTGGTGTTATTTTAAAGATATCCAAACCCAAGACGGGGTAAAAAGGACTTCAAAAAAGAAATTTCAGGGGGCTACAGGAAGACAGGCATTGACTCCACCAAGAGAGTTATAGTCAAGGTTCTCAGTAGGATTTCTGAAAACACACATAGAAAACGTCCACGGGAAAACAAGCAACTGTACATTTACCTAGAAATGAACCCCTGATTCCCTTTCTCCCCTCTCCTTGTGAGACTGTGCTCGTTTCTCCATCTCCTCTTCCCCTGGACCCCACTCAGGCGGAAAAGAGGTAGAAGGACCACCATGCCCTCTCTGCCGCTATGGGCTTCAGGCTTGGATAAGGCCCAAATAGGGGAGGGGAAACATTTTAAGGTTAATAAAGTTGGAGCTTAGGTTATTACAGTGAACTGAAATTTTTAATCACTGAAATGAGAGTATTCTTGTGACTGAAAAGTACTGGGAAATTAATGGAATGAGTGCCTAAGATTTTACTGGAATGGGAAGAACAGGGCTACAGATTGAGTTTAATAGGAAGTAGTGAGAACAAATAAGAGTTTGGGTTCAGCTCGGGTTCAGCTCCCTCCATAAATCAGTTGCAACGTTAGAAATTTAATTATTTCAGTTAATATGGTGTAAGTAAATCTCTTCTCTCCAAGGAGAACAGTAACAGAGAGGGTAACCCCATACACAAAACTGAGTACCAAGGAGCATGTTCAGGCCTGGTCTAAGGTTCAGTCCTGGTCTAAGGTTTCCTATGTGGACTCAGATGTCCTACCTTATGACACAAGTGCAGGTATAGTTCAATCCTTTCCCAAAGCAACAAAAATCCAAGTAACTGCAAAAGCAAAGAAGAAAAAGAGAGTTATTTTGAAATCACCAAGTTGCCACCCAAAGCACTGTTCCTATAGCTCCAAATTCCGTTCACAGTCTAGCAGTACACTCATTTCTTGCTATACCTGTACTTTATTTAGCCTCTGGGAGTTTTCCATGTTGTTTGCCTGAAAAAGCTCCCTCTCCCTATGCCACTGACTCTTCAAAGCCAGTTCAAATCTCACCTCCTATTTATAACTTTCACCCGCAACCTCAGGAAGAATTCTGTGTTATCTCCTCTAAGATTTCATAACAATTACCACACTGATACTCAGTTGAGTTCCTGCCCATTTCTTTTCCCTGTGAGGAACCTTATTCATGGTATTACTTGGACTCACTTGTAAGAGAAGAAAGGTCAGGAGGCAGCCCTTCCAAGGACTCTTGTTTTGGGGAACCAGGGCTGTTGTTACAATTGTCAACCACTGTTGTTAACACTGGTATAGATTCAACAAATCTTGGATTTTAATCTAAATCTAGCCAGTCACCAAGTCAGTGTAAAGACAGAAATTGAGAACTGGAGTCCTCAGATGCCTAGGATATTAATGATAATTTGATGTGTAAGGCACTTACCTCTTTATCAAAATAATTTCATGTGTATTTCATTTGTTCTTTACTTAACCCTATATTATACCATTTTATTAAATATTATCATTCTTATTTGAAAAAAAAATGAAACTGAGGTCAGAAGAGTTACATGCCTTGACCAAGGTTACATAGTACCTAAAGATAGAACTAGAAATAGAATCCAGGTCCCCCTCCTTTTTCACTATTGTTGCCATTGCATGTATCCAAAAAGAAGTAGGGTAGAGTAGAAAGTTTGTTAAAATATATTGCTTTATTGGACACCTGAATTCATTCCCACCTTAGAACCTAACTATACCATTTCATGTTTATTGTGCATAAAAGTGGTACAATTCAGTGGTCAGAGTTTGCCCTACAGCACATCCTTCATCTACATTTTCCCCATGTAAAAAAAAAAAAAAAGTTTCTAATTGGTCTCTCTGCCCATAGCCACCCTCCAAACCACAACATCAAGAATAATTTTCCTAAAATAGAAAACTGATTTATATCAAATGTCTTAGCCTTTCTTTCCAGGCCTTCCAAAATCTCACAAACCTCTTTTCAGCCATGTTTCCTTTTTTTTTTTTTTTTTTTTTTTTTTTGAGACAGAGTCTCGCTCTGTCGTCCAGGCTGGAGTGCAGTGTGGCTCGATCTCGGCTCAGTGCAAGCTCCGCCTCCCAGGTTCACGCCATTCTCCTGCCTCAGCCTCCCGAGTAGCTGGGACTATGGGCGCCCGCCACCACGCCTGGCTAATTTTTTTTTATATTTTTAGTAGAGACGGGGTTTATCATTTTTTATTGTGTCTATTTGATTCTTCTCTCTTTTCTTCTTTATTAGTCTTGCTAGCGGTCTATCAATTTTGTTGATCTTTTCAAAAAACCAGCTCCTTTTTGAAGGGTTTTTTGTGTCTCTATCTCCTTCAGTTCTGCTCTGATCTTAGTTATTTCTTGCCTTCTGCTAGCTTTTGAATGTGTTTGCTCTTGCTTCTCTAGTTCTTTTAATTGTGATGTTAGGATGTCAATTTTAGATCTTTCCTGCTTTCTCTTGTGGACATTTAGTGCTATAAATTTCCCTCTACACACTGCTTTAAATGTGTCCCAGAGATTCTGGTATGTTGTGTCTTTGTTCTCGTTGGTTTCAAAGAACATCTTTATTTCTGCCTTCATTTCGTTATGTACCCAGTAGTCATTCAGGAGCAGGTTGTTCAGTTTCCATGTAGTTGAGCGGTTTTGAGTGAGTTTCTTAATCCTGAGTTCTAGTTTGATTGCACTGTGGTCTGACAGACAGTTTGTTATCATTTCTGTTCTTTTACATTTGCTGAGGAGTGCTTTACTTCTAACCATGTTAGCCAGGATGGTCTCGATCTCCTGACCTTATGATCCACCCGCCTCGGCCTCCCAAAGTGCTGGGATTACAGGCATGAGCCACAGTGCCTGGCCCCCCATTATTCTTCATTATGCCCTACATACTAACAGAACTGACCGTTCCCTCTCAGCAAGACAGCCTATATTTTTCTGTCTTGCTTAGTCATGAAGCTCCCTCAGTCCACAATGTTCTTCCTCATTACCATATCTATATGTCCAAATCTAACATTCCTTTAAGATCCCACTACAGTGACAAGGAATAGTTATAACTTATATCTCACATCTACCTCTATGAAGTGCACTGCATGAAAACAGAAATTGCTTAGCTTTTATTGATCTTCGTATACTCAGCACTTCTCACAACGTTCTGCTCATATAATGATTAATAAGTTTTGTTGAAAGAAAAAGTTCATGCAAATAGCAACATATTTGGGGGCTAGGTTCTTCTGTATCAGACAAGAATTCAATAGAGAAAGGAATGGTGAAATCAGAGAAAGTTATCTGCCCTATGTATAAATGGGCACTGCAAAACTCTGTCTAAAGTTATCCTCCCATTTCCAGACTTTTCTCTTACCTGGCATAAATTTCTCACACTAAGTGACACTACTATGTTAGGCAACAGAAGCAAGGTCACACTATTGCCAAAGGCTTTTGCTAAAATGTACTTTGCATCTGGGCTAGGTGACTAGCATTTGTACATTAGAACAAATTTAACAAGTAAGCAAATTTTTTTAAGACCCAGAAAGACTGATTTTCAGAAGATGGGACATGAGATGAGTAAAGATACTGCTGCTGTGAAGCTATGGGTATCTAAAATGACAATATTGAGGGAACCATAGGATAGGGTATGAAACAAGGAAATAGAAAAAGGATGTTGTTACACTTTCAAAGGGCCAAACTGGCAAGACACATCCTCTAACAGAACAGGCTTTCCTTCCACGTCCTTCCACGTCCTATTCCTTGTGCCTAAAATTCAACTAGCTAATGTAAATCCCAACTCTACTAAGACAAGAGTGATCTTAGGTTCTGAGAGTCCCCAGTACCAACTGGATACTATACCACAGGCAGGAACACCTCATCAGGCTACTCAGGAAGGGAGTGGAAGAAATGAGAAGCATTACTCACCAACAGCAATGAAGAGTAGGCAGTCAGGATCCTAGCTAAACTCAGAATAAAAATAGACCAGAAAAACCAGTATCCTGTTCCTAGAAAAGTGACCCTGAAAAAAAATGTGTTTCAGTTCTTAAAATAATGCAGAAATCAGTAGCATCTGTGTCAAGGATGGGGACAAAACCAGACTAGATAAGGCATAAGCAAATGTAGGGAGATAAAAAGAAGCAGTGTGTGAACAGCAGCTTTTGCGGATAATTATATGAGGAGTTTTAAAGTTGTGTTCTGTAGGCAATTGGGGATGTTCATGGGGTCTGTAAACGCAGTAGGATCTTAAGTTACTTAGAATACATATTTAAAAATTACGTCCTCTTTTAAAAATTAACATAACACAGAAATTTGGGAATACCGGAAGAGAAACAATACATCCCATAAGTTTACTGCCTGAACAAAACTAATACTTTACACTTTGGCAGGCTCCTTGTCCACATGCATATGTATTTTTGGACATAATTGCAATCACAGCCACCATATTAAAAAAAAAGCCCCAATTTTTCTGTTCCTAATGTAGCATATGAGAGAAAATTGTTAATGATTTGTTAGGAGAAACAATGTTATACTTGATCTAGGTATTACACAAAGAAATTTGAATCTTCATCTCAAGAAAACAGAAATTTCCTCCTCTCCGTACAAAACCTGGAGAAATTAAATTTTTTAAGAATTAAACTATAGGTTAGTGAACATATAACTACACTAGTAAGAATTATAAAGGAAATTCTCTTGGACAAGAGCTGTGAGATAAACTAGGAAGAAACAAACAGGCAAAGAGCCTTAACTAGCAAAAGGTATCCCAGATCAAGACTGGGAAGAGTGCTCTGTAGAAGATGAGCTCACAATCAGGAATCAGAAAATATGTAAGGGATGTCAACAAATGAACCCTATGAGCCAACAAATAGAAAAACTTGGACCCAAAAAAACATAATTAATAGAATCAGAAAAGAGCCACAAAATAAATATATTTAAGATCTTCCATGATGTAAAGGAATGATTCACATCCATGAAACAAGAATAGGATGTTTTAACCCAAGCACAGGTGGTTATTAAACAGAGATCTTGAAAAAAAATTTTCGAAATTAAAAAAAAAAACATGAAATCTGGCCTTAATAGCACTCTAGATGTAGTCAAAGAACTAATCAGTTTAACCAAATTGTGATATTGACTTTGCTTTCCAAGTAACAAAGAAAACTTAGTGTTTGTCATTTCATGGTACTCCTCTTTCTTCTAATCATTTTACTGGTCACATTGATATTTTATTTTAATCCCTTTCTACCTAAAAGGTTTTCTTTTGGATATCAGATCACATGTAAATATTACTATTAGTTTGCTTTACTTCAAAGCCCTCTCACCAAACTCAAGTGAAGTTCCCACCCCCCAGCTATGGATTACAGGCAAAAGAAGAACTGTGATTTGGCTTTTTCTCTCTCTCCCTCTACTTCTTCCCATCCGGGTAAGTAACTGTACTTACTGTTGGTGATGGTAGTGGCGTGAAAAAAGGGAGTGAAAAGAGCGAGAAGGAGTTTGCTTATGTGACTGCCTGAACATCAGTGGGAACTGAAAAAGGAAGTCTCCTTTCTTGGCCGTCACTTCTTTAAGCTGAGAATATACAATGCTGATGACTATGCAGAAGTCCTACTCTATGTGAATGTGTCCAATTTAGGCTTCTTCTGACTTAGTATTTTTAAGCAGTTTTCTCTCCGCTCTGGACCATTGTGTTACATCCCTCTAGCAGCATAATCACACCTCCATTTTGGATGTAGGCCTACTCACTCAACCAAGACAGCTTTACTGGGGCAGCCTAGTCAATGCAACCTACTCATGTAAAATCCATATTTTCTGTTATCATTATAACAATGTTTAAAGAAACCTTCAAGGACCCCTTCCCTCCTTTCTCACAGCTGTAAGATGCAGCTTTCTTGCACCTTTCCCCAATACATATTGCAATGTTTTATATCAGCATCACCAACTGTCAGCTGACAGTAACTCTAGATGAGAAAAAAAGATACCATCGATGGTGGAGGCCCTAGGAACCCTCGCACAGTTTGAAATGGAGAAACAACACACACAGAGGGGAAAAGAGAGAGTTACGGTTACCCTACCAAAAAATTCTGCTCTTTCTAGCTAAGGGGAACAACTAGAAAAGCTAGACAAAATGTTTTGAAAAATCTAAATGAAAGCATCAGATATCTACCAGACAGTGAAGAACTATGAAGCCAAGATCTAAATAAGGAAGGAAATCCAGTGATAGTGTAGCATTTGGGGTAATTTTTCTCTAGAAGGATTGGCTGAGGTACAGGAAGCTCTTGTAAACTTCACAGGGCTACAGGGGAGAAGGTAATCTCGTAAACACAACACACTTTGATTTGGAACCTTACAGGGTTACATTCTAGGAGTAAGCACAAACTTTTCCAGTTTGTGACTTGTGGGGGAAGGAATCCTAGCTTTGAAGCATCTAAATGTGTGAACAGACGTTATTAGTCTGCTCCCCCTAGGTACTGGCTTGATGGCGTACACAGCTTAGGCCTCTCCCTAACAGTCCTCTTCTACGGCACACGTAGGGGTTATTTTTTATACAGGGAAAAAAAGATTCTAGATGAAAGATCAGAGGTGCATGATAAAATGAAGAGCAATAAAAAAAAGTAAATATGTAGGTAAATCTAAAAGAATATTAACTATACAAAACAACAATAATGTCGTATGTGGTTGGAAAAGTATGTAGGATTAAAATATATGATGAGAATGGCTTATAACTCAGAAGTTATAAGTGTCTGAAGAAGTTATAAGTATATGAAGTTAAGGTGTTTCAAGATCCTTGTATTATCCAGGAAAAGGTGAAAATACTAATATAAGACTTCGGTAAGTCAAGATTACATGTTGTAATTTCCAGGGTAGGTACAAAAAAGACAGCAAGAGTGAGTAGGAGAGAAAATATGGGTATTCCTTCCAATTTAATAGAGGGAAAAAATGAAGTAATAAAAAATACTTAATATAAAATAAGGCAAGAAAAGAGGAAAAAAGAACACAGGGCTGGGTGCGGTAGCTCACACCTGCAATCCCAGCAATTTGGGAGGTCGAGCGGGCAGATCACTTGAGCTCAGGAGTTTGAGACCAGCCTGGGCAACATGGCGAAACCTGTCTCCACAAAAAAATATAAAAATTAGCTAGGTGTGGTGGTTTGTGTCTGTAGTCCTAGCTACTTGGGAGGCTGAAGTGGGAGGATCGGTCAAGCTTGGGAGGCAGAGGCTGCAATGAGCCAAGCTTGGGAGGCAGAGGCTGCAATGAGCCAAGATCATCATATCACTGCACTCCAGCCTGGGCAACAGAGTGAGACCCTGCCTCAAAAAAAAACAACAACAACAACAAAAAAAAAAACACAGAACTGATAGGACAGTAGCATTAGGAAGAATATGGATGTAAGCTCAAATAAAATATATTAGTGATATATTAGTACAGAGCTATTTTTTATTTGGAACATAAAGACAAATATTGCCAAACTGGATTTGAGAAACCCAACCATATGCTATTTATAAGAGAAACTTCCAAAACATGAGCTACAGAAAGGTTAAAAAAATAAAGGATGGAAAAGATAAACCATGCAAAGCTAGTATAGCTATATTAGTTATTATACAAAATAGTCTTCAAGTTAAAAACATATGAAGAAAATGAAAGACTATGCTGCAACTTTGCACTAAGATTGAAGACTTCATTGGTACTGAGACTTGTGCCTGATTTACAACACTACATCCTGGCAGACGAAGATCACAAATGGGGGATGGCTGCAAGGATGATCATGGAAGCTAGCCAGTAAGCATCTCAGTCTTGGGAACAATGGTTAGGGTTCCAAGCCATGCCGGTGGTCAGTGCAAAAGCCTGTTGTGAGGGATATTTCTGTAAAATGCCTGGAAGAGCAATTCCAAAAAGTAGCTAGGGACCAGTGCTTGACTGAGGCACTGTCTAATGAAAGTAATATGACCAGAGTGACCAGTGTCATTTTGATGACCAGAGTTTCTTCTTACCACCACCACGCTATTTTTGCTGTCTTGTGGTAAGCCCCAGGACTTTGATACCACTCAAGGGATGGGGAGAGAGGCAGAAAGATTTGGATATTAGACTTTGCATAAACCTTATCAACTATGGATCTCAGAGCTGGTATTTTAAAATTTATAAATATAAATAAATAAATTATACCATAGCATTTATATTTTAAATTGAAATACAATTCCTGTGGAATAATTCAGAACTGGCCCATAAATGAAACTGCAGATGAACCAGTGAGAAGGCTAACTGAAAACCCCCAATGAATAAGTAGGCAAAGGAAAATAAATTTTAAAAGAAATTAGTTAAATAAACTTGTTCTGAAACTAAATGATTCAAATTAAAACAAAAAATTTCATCAAGAAAACATTATGCAATATTACAATATTTAATGCTGTCATATACCTCTGTTTTAAATAGAAATTGCTATAACCTTTTGAGAAAGTACTTTGGCAACAGACATAATGAATTTTTTTTTTTTTTTTTTTTTTGAGTCAGGGTCTGGCTCTGTCACCCAGGCTGGAATGCAGTGGCACGATCTCGGCTCACTGCAACCTCTGCCTCCCAGGCCCAAGGGATCCTCCCACCTCAGCCTTCTAAGTAGCTGGGACTACAAGCACACACCACCATGCCTGGCTAATTTTGGGGCATAATGAATTTTAACAACGTTTATTCTTCTTGACTCAATAATGCCACTTATGGGAATCTATTCTAGGAACATTAGTCAGAATACAAAGATTTATCTGCATTACTAGTTTATAAAAACAAGAAAATTGGACACACATATAATGCCTAACAATTAAAAATGGCTAAGTGTATTATAGCATCTGTCATGAAATATTTTTAAACCATTTTAAATGATGTTCATTAGGAGTTTAAAAATTTTGTTAAAATGTTTATTATTTTAAGTGAAAAGAGAAAGCAAAATTATGTATACAATATGAGCATAATATAAAAATAAACATAGAAAAATATAACAAGTGATTATCTCTCAAGAGTGAGACTAGGCAGATACTATATTTTCTAACTTTTTGCATTTTACACATAAAATAACAAACCATGTTTTACTTCTACAAAGAAAACAACAACTGTATTCCATTTTTAAAAGCCCCATATCCGAACAGATCCTTCTCCCCCAAATACCAAATAACAAGATTTGCAGGAAGGTTAGAAGACATCAAGCCAGAAAAGGGCTGGGAACATTCCAGAGTAGGAGTTTAGCCATGAAAAGGGTACTGGAAAGGGATACCTGTCACTGTGTTCAGAATCGTAGGAAGCCTCCTAAGAACAGCAGGGAGAGGAAGAGGGTATAGGAGCAGCAGAGAAGGCAGGGTTCAGGGATAGAGATCATGAAGACCAACTAGTGTCAACATCAGTAACTCAAAGAGACTAAAGAAAAGATACCAGGGAATCATTATCTGAGTAGAAGGACTGTGGATATTGGAAGCATGAAAGCTTCCTACTGAGCCAGATTTAGTCTAAGTATGAGACTGAGCACAGTGGAAGAAAGTACAATAGGTTAGGGTGCTAAGCATCCTACCCCTGCCCCAGAGGCAGGCCTCTCACCCAAAAGCTGTGGAAAGCCCAGTTTTGTCCGCCTTCCCTACTATATCACCGGATCTTTTCAGCCTGAGGTAGAATCCAGGTGGCTATCAGACCAAAATACCCTTACACAAATGAAACTACAAAAAGTGAAACTCACCAGTCAAAGTTAAAGTATTCACTGGATGTTTCTATCCACAGGAACAGCAACATCAGAGACAAGACAAATGAAATTACCAGGCACGGCAAAATAATTGCTCTTTCTGGGAAAAGAAAAAAGAAATCTAACTTAGCTCCATTTATCCTTGTTACCTCAGCAGTTTCTGTATACACTTGCCAAAGGTCAGCATAGTTGCACTGCCATGCATTACCCTCCTGAGGCTGGAGTGATCACTCTCTTCTTTTTACCCCTACCAAATCCTGTATATGCCTATTTACAACCTTTCTTACACTTAACTGGAATTATGCATTTATGTTTTATCTGATGCTACACTGTTTCTTCTTTGAGGAAAAGGAACGTCTCTGTATTACCAATACATAGCATTGTTTCTTGAATGCAGCTGGCTCTCAACAATCATCTGTTGAATTCATCTGCCTCTCCAGCTATCAAATGTTTTGTTCAGCAATTAATTTATTGATTCATTCATCATTAATTGGTTCATTTAGTCATCAATCTACCCCATTGGAGAAGAAAGGGGGAATCAGAGTTAAAGAATAATTTTTTTTAAGTAGCTATTTTGTTCTAGTAAAATGCTAGGGAATTTCACAAGCTACTTTCATTTGATTTATTTCTCATTAGAGCCATATGAGTTGGGCATCAACCTCATTTTTGCAGAAGAAAGCTCAGAGAGGTAAAATAATTGATTCAAGATCACACAGCTAAGAAGTGGCAGGGGCAGGACTAGAACCCAGATCTGTGTAAGCTCAAAGCCAAAATGGAGGTTATCATTATGGAGAAGGTACTGCTTTCTCTGAAGGCAAAGAAGTCTCCCTGTGTTAGTTTTGTCCTTTTCAATACGTCCTCCACACAATCAAATAATCATTCCAAAACACAGCTCAGACTACTTCATCAGCTTAAAGTCTTTGGGGATTCTTTATTCCCAACATGGCAGAAGTCAAATTCTTAAAACCACACAACATTGGACCCATCTCCCTCTCTAGCTTCTTTTCCCCTCACTTCTTCACATTCATATCCTCTCCTTCATCTAAAATAAACCTTGTATCAGTCTCCAAACTCATTATGCCCTTTGACTACTCCTCCAATACCAATTCTTCCACCATCCCCAATTCTCTACCTATCCAATTCTTAATCACCCATCACCTTCTAAAAGGTGGCCCTCCCCTTGGTATGTGCCTGTGTACATGCGCATACAGTTACAGCACTTCTCTCACTATATTGAGATTGTGTGTGTACTTATCTTTCCCCACAGTAGACTGAATTCCTTGAGAGCAGGAACCATGCCTGAAGCACTTGTATTATCCCCAGTGACTAGCATAGAGGCCGAATATCTGGGCAGGAAAGATACAGTGGGGACAGAAGAACATTCCTTCCTACTGCAGGGAAACCTCCCATTTCCTACCCCTTTCCTTGTGTTCCCCACCTCAGGTATAAGAAATTAATGACCCAACTGGTCTGATTCTGGGACCCTAGTTGGACCATGTTTACAAATAAGTAAAGGTACATGATTTTGCTCTTCTGTTCTCATTTCAGTGTGCTGATCATTTAATCACTTATACCATGTAGCTCACCAAAGGGTTCCAACATATGGCTTACAAATAGAGGCCCTAAAAAAGGCTAGTCCACGTGCCACCACTCAGCCTTACTAGAGTTCTTCCTCAGGGAAAATCACCACTAGCTTGACCAATAATAAAGGAGCACCTTGTTTCTCACTTGCTGTTTTTTTCTCCTGCGAAGAGAAATTCACAGAGGAGAGCAAATTACAATTCAGGCATCCCTGTAATCCGTAACCAAAAATATCTAATTGCACCCAAACATCACTTTTTCTTCAAGATTCACTGAATGAATAAATGCAAAAGTGAATTAATGAATAAACATAAAAGAGGTAGTAAGGAAAAGTAAAGAATAAAAGTGAAAAATGAAGTGAAGGAAAGAAAATGAAGAAAGCAAGTACATGTTTCAGTAAGTTTAACATTGGTGCAATACTTTTATGGAAGAAATGGAGCCCTAGCATCCCCAGTCCTGGAGACCATAAAGAGCCCTCATGGGGCCCAGCAGTCAGCCTATGCTCCCCGCATCTGAGAAAATGTGGTCCAGCTCCTTATCAGTCTGTACCCAAGTGCAGCAACAAAATCCAACTTTAGTTTTTTCCCATTGTCTGAATTTCCAGAGGCAACTATAGCAGCCAGTAAGGAAGGTGACAAAGCATTTGTGGTTGAAGATGCGTGGAATCCATGGATTAAGCTTTTTTGGTTTTTCTGTCTTATTCCTCTTGTGCTCAATCCTGTTGACCTTCTTAAACATGATTCACCCTTTAGCTGGAAAGACAAATAAAATAATCAGGATCTAGTGTCGCTCCCCTTAATGTACCTTATCCCACCATTCTACAGAAAATTTTATCAAAGACAGATGGATTTTTAAAAAACTGTTTATAATCAAAGGTAATATACTGGATTTGGGGCAGAAGAATAGAGTTTCTTCCTACCTTTCCCTCCCACTAACTTGTTGAGTGTTTACTGTGATCACTGCATCACTCTAGGTTTAGTTTTCTCACCTCTAAAGTGGGACAATATTCCCTGTCCTCACCAACTAATAAATGCTGAAAGAATCAAATTAGATAATATATGCAAACGTGCTTCTCAAATTGCAATATGCTGTTGAAATAACTTGAGACGTTAAAGGCACGGGTGAGGTACATGAAAATACCATCGTTGACTAATAAGTGACTCAGACACACAGCTGGCTGCTCCTTCCCTTTCTCTCCTCTCCCATATGGAATCAGTTAGGGTTAGCTTCAATTATGAATGATGGAATCTTCAAAACAACAATGGCTGAAATGTGACAAGTTTATTTTTCCTTTGCCAACAAAAAATATTTCAGAGATAGAACAAAATATGTAGCATGTGGCTTCACAATGGCACTAAGAACACAGGCACCTACCACAACCTGCACCTGTGTACATCATCAAGGAGCCTGAGGACAGGCCAACATCACCTGGCACTACTACCACCACCAATGCCTACCCACACATGCCAGCTGGGGACCTATAGACTGACCCACCCATCCTATTGCTGTCACTGCTAGCACCAGTGCATGTTACCTGGGAGACCAAAGATTGGCCCCCTAACACTACTGCCATCGCTGATACCACACATGCTGCCCAGGGCTCCAGGTCCCACCCACCTGCCCTGCACACTGCTAACACTGCCAGTACCCAAGCAAGCCACCTAGAGACCTAAAAATTGGCCCACCTCGACCTGCTAACACCAGTGCCTGTGTACACTGGCCAGGGGTCCAAGGACAGGAACAATCGGCCTGCCACCACCACCACTGGGGCCTGAGGATTGGCCTGCCTGATTTCCCCATTCCCAGCAAAGTCTCACCACAGCCTGTGCTAACAACCAGAGCCTAAACCACTGACAAAATCATAGACACCACTGATATTGATTACAGCCAAAGAAATCCCAGGGAGACTATACTACTGCATGAACCCAGAATAAAAACTAAAGTGCCCCACCCAACCAACTCTACAGATACATCTACAAGAAAAAAAAATCTTCCCCTATGAAAGCCAACCCAAAAAATTAGAAAAGGCAACTGTTACAGCAGATGTGCAGATATCAACATAAGGACACAAAAAACATGAAAAAGCAAGGAAACATGACAACTTCGAAGTAATGTGATAATTATCCAGCAAGAGATTCCAATGTAAAAGAAATGTGTGAAATGCCTACAAATAATTTAAAATAACAATATTAAATATACTCAATGAGATACAAGAGAACACAGATAAATAATACAAAGAAATCAGAAAAACAATTCAAAATCCGAATGAGATAATTCAATAAGGAGATATTAGTTCAGAACCTGAAGACAAGTCATTTGAAATAACCCAGTAAGGTGAAAGAAACAGAAGGAGGGGAGGGGAGGGGAGGGAAGCGGGAGAGAGAAAGAAAGAGAAGGAAAAGTGGAAGGAAGGAAGCCTGGCTGGGCACTGTGGCTCACACCCAGCACTTTGGGAGGCCAAGGTGGATGGATCATTTGAGGTCAGGAGTTCGAGACCAGCTTGGCCAACATGATGAAAACTCGTCTCTAATAAAAAATACAAAAATTAGCTGGGCTTGGTAGTGCACATCTGTAATCCCAAGTACTTGGGAGGCTGAGGCAGGAGAATCACTTGAACCTGGAAGGCGGAGGTTGCAGTGAGCCAAGATCGCACCACTGCACTCCAGCCTAGGTGACAGAGCAATACTCCATCTCAAAAAAGAGGGGAGGGGAGGGGAAAAGGAGGGAAGACGGAAAGAGACAGAGAGAGAAAGAGAGAGAGAAGGCAGGCCGGCTGGCCATAGTGGCTTATGCCTGTAATCCCAGCACTCTGGGAGGCCGAGGCAGGGGGTGGGGGGAATCATTTAAGGTCAGGAGTTCGAGACCAGCCTGGCCAACATGATGAAACCCCGTCTCTACTAAAAATATAAAAAATTAGCCATGCATGGTAGTGCACATCTATAATCACAGTTACTTGCGAGGCTGAGGCAGAAGAATTGTTTGAACCTGGAAGGCGGAGGTTGCAGTGAGCTGAGATTGCACCACTGCACTCCAGCCTGGGTGACAGAGCAAGACTCCATCTCAAAAAAGAAGGAAGGCAGGCAGGCAGGGAAGGAAGGAGGGAGCGAGGGAGGGGAGGGAAAGAGAGAGAGAGAAGGAGGGAGGGAAGGAAGGGAGGGAGGGAGGGGAAGGAAAGGAGGGAGGGAGAAGGGAGGGAGGAGGGAGGGAAAAGAATAAAGAAACCCTACATGACATTTTTGAAAACCATAAAGTGACCAAGTACTCGAATTTTGGATATTCCAGAAGAAGAGGTGGGGAAAAGCATCGAAAACCAATTTAATAAAATAATCACTGAAAACTTCCCAAGTCTTACAAGGGGTTCAGACATCCAGATAGTGGAAGCTCAAAGATCCCCAAATAGATTTAACCGAAAAAGGTCTTCTCCAAGGCACTTTATAGTCAAACTGCCAAAAGCCAAAGACAGAGAATTCCAAAAACAGCAAGAGAAAAGCATCAAGTCACACATAAGAGAAACCAGTCAGACTAATAGTGGATTTCTCAGTAGAAATCTTACACGATAGGAGAGGATGGCCTGAAAGAAAACAAAGACCAAATGGACCTAACAGATATATACAGAACATTTTATCCAACAATTACAGAATACACATTCTTCCCATCGGCACATAAAACATTCTCCAGGATAGACTACATGTTAGGTCACAAAACAAGTCTAAACAAATTTGTAAAAATCTAAATCACATTAAGTATCTTTTCTGACCACAATGGAAAAAAAGTAGAAATCAATAACAAGAGAAATTTTTGAAACTGTAAAAATACATGGAAATTATTTTAACAACTTGGTCCTGATTGACCATTGGTCAATGAAGAAATTAAGAAGAAAAAAAAATTATTGAAACAAATGAAATTAAAAAACACATACTAAAACCTATGTGATACAGCAAGAGGAATGTTGAGAGGGAAGCTTATACCAATAAACATTTACATCAAAAGTAGAAAGATTTCAAATAAATAATTATGCACCTCAAGGAACTGGAAAACCAAGAACAAACCAAAGCCCTTCTATTTCTCAACAGAAGACATACAAATAGCCAACAGGTATATGAAAAAATGTTCAATATCACTAATAATTAGGGAAATGCAAATCAACACCACAGTGAGACATTATCTTACCCCTGTTAGAAGGGCTATTATCAAAAAGACAAAAAATAAAGAAGCTGGCAAAGATAGAGGGCACTCTTACACACTGTTGGTGGGAACATAAATTAGTACAGCCCATAAAAAACAATATGGAGATTTCTCAAAAAACTAAAATATTGTAGTAACCATATGATCCAGCAATTCCACCACTTGGTAGTTATCCAAAGAAAGGAAATCAGTATATCAAAAGGATACCTGCATCCCTATGTTTATTGCAGGACTACGCACAATTGCAAAGATAGAGAACCACCCTAAGTGTCCATTAATGGACAAATGGATAAAGAAAATGAGCTTATATATGCAATGCAATACTCTTCGGCCATAAAAAGAAAATGAAATTCTGTCATTTGCAGCAGTATGGATGGTACTGGTGGTCATTATGTTCAGTGAAATAAGTCAGGCACAAAAAGACAAATATTGTGTGTTCTCACTCATGTGGGAGCTTAAAAAGTTGATCTCATGGAGGTAATGAGTAGAATGATAATTACCGGAGGCTGGGAAGGACATGGGGTTGCAGGGGGATGAAGAAAGGTAGGTTAATAAGTACAAACATACAGTTAGAGAGAAGGAACAAGTTCTAGTGTTTGATAGCATAGTAGGGTGACTACAGGTAACAATATACTCTGTATTTTAAAATAGCTAGAAGATTTGAAATGTCCCTAGTACAAAGAAATGATAAATTTTCAAAGCGATAGATATCCTAAATACCCTGATTTTACCATTACACATTCTATGCATGTATCAAAATATCACATGTATACAATAAATAAGTACAAACATTATGTACTGATAAAAATTTTTAGAAACTCTAATGTTTCCTTTTGTTTCTTCCATCAGCATAGACATTTACATATTTGAGAGTTAATATATAATTATTCATACTTGCTAGGAGCAGTGGCTCATGCCTGTAATCCCAGCACTTTGTGGGGCCAAGGCAGGCGGATCAACTGAGGTCGGGAGTTTGAGACCAGCCTGACCAACATGGAGAAACCCCGTCTCTACTAAAAATACAAAATTAGCTGGGCATGGTGGCGCATGCCTGTAATCCCAGCTCCTTGGGAGGCTGAGGCAGGAGAATTGCTTGAACCCAGGAGGTGGAGGTTGCGGTGAGCCAAGATGGCAACATTGCACTCCAGCCTGGGCAACAAGAGTGAAAGTCTCAAAAAAAAATTATTATTATTATTATTCATACTTGATGTGTTTTTGGTATCTGATCATACACATTTTCAATTTTATTAATAAATCTGCAAAATGACAAAAAAAAACCCTCAAGTAACATAAATCAAAATTCATTGACCTTCCAATGAGAAACAGACAAATCCAAAATTATAGTCAGAGATTTCAATACCCCTTTCTCAATAACAGTAAGCAGGATAGAGTAGACTTAAAAAACACTAGAATTGGAAAACAGAATTGAAAATACTAGAATTAAATTAGAAATTAATGAGAGTTGGAAAACTCCTAAATATTTTAAATAGCAACTTCTAAGTAACTCTGAGTTAAAAAAAATCAAAAGGGAAATTAAAACCTTTTGAACTGAATAGAAATGAAAACACAATATAGAAACATTTGTAAGGTATAGTTAAAGCAATACTTAGATTGATATTTATAATGCTAAATGCCCGTACTAGAAAAGAACAAAGATCTCAAAATCAATAACCTCAATTTCCATCTTTAGACAATCAGTAAAAGTGGAGCAAATTAAACACAAAGTTAACAGAAGATTAGGAATAATAACAATGGATAATTAAATAGAAAAAATAGGAAAAAAAATCAATGAAATCAAAAGTTGGTTCTTTGAGAAGACCAACAAAACTAATAAATTTCCAACCAGGATCATTAAGGAGATTAAACAAGAGAGAAATCACAAATTATCAATATCAGGAATAAGAGGGAACCATCACCACAGACCCTAGAGACATCAAAAGAGTAGCAATAAAGAATTTGGTACAACTTCATTCCCATAAATTCTATAGATACATGAAATGGGCAAATTCCTTGAAAGACAAAAACTACTGAAGCTCACTCAAGAAGGAATAGAAAACTTGAATAGCCCTTTATCTATCAAGTAAATTGAATTTTACTTAAATTAAAAATAAAAAGCCTTGTTAAAAAGCCTTGTTAAACAAGCCTTCCCATCAAGAAAAAGAAAAAAAACAACAACAACGGGTTCACTGGTGAATTCTACCAAACATCTATGGAAGAAATAATACCAATTCTATAGAAACTCTTACATTAGAAGAGAATGGAAGACTTTCCAAATCATTTCATATGACCAGTATCCTGACACCAAAACCAGACAAAGATATCCTGAAAAAAGTACAAACCAATATCCCTTACGAATCCAAATGCAAAAATTCTTAACATACATCAATACATACTGACCAAGTGTAGTTTTCCTAAGGACTGCAAAGATTATTCAACATTCAAAAATCAATCAACTTGGGGCCAGGCATGGTCACTCACTTCTGTAATCCTACAACTTTGGGAGGCTGAGGCAGGCAGACTGCTTGAGCCCAAAAGTTCAAGACCAGCATGGGCAACATGGCCAAATCCTGTATCCACAAAAAAATACAAAAATTAGCTGGGTGTGGTGGCACATCCCTGTAGTCCCAGCTTCTTGGGAGGCTGAGGCAGGAGGATTGCTTGAGCCTGGAGATGGAGGTTACAGTAAGCCAAGATCACACCACTGCACTCCAGCCTGGGCAACAGAGACCTTGTCTCAAAAAAAAAAAAAAAAATCAATAAACTTAACCATACTATCAAACTAAAACTATATGGCCATCTAAATAGATACATAAAATACTTCTGAGCAAATTCAAACTCCATTCCTGACAAAAACCCTCAGCACACTAGGAATAGAATGGCGAATATTATGCCTTTATATGGAGAATATATTAAAAGCCAATAGCTAACTTCAAACTTAATAGTGAAAGATTGATTGCTTTCTAAAGACTAAATGATTTTTTTCTAAGATCAGAAACAAAGCAAGGATGTCTGTTATCACCAACCTTGTTCAACATTGTACTGGCAGTCCTAGCCAGTGCAATAAGGCTAGAAAAAGAAATAAAAGGCATAAAGAATAGAAACTCTATTTGCAGACAACAATATTATCTATGTAGAAAATCTCCAAAATTCTACAAAAAACTTAGAATTAATAAGTGAGTTTGGCAAGGTAGAACTAGATGCAAAAATCAAAAATTTTTATAGACTAGAAATGAACAAATAGAAGGTAAAAATTTTAAATCACTATTTACATCACGAAACAGCAAAACATGAATGGGAAAACTGGTGAAATCTGAATGATATCTGAAGTTTAGTTACCAGTAATGTACTAACGTTATCTTAGTTTTAACGAATGAACCACAGTGAAAGGATAATGCTGGGGGAAACTGAAACTGGGTAAGAGTATACAAGAACTGTCTGTACTATCTTTGTAACTTTTCTGTAAATCTAAAATTATTCCAAGATGAAACATTTATTTAAAAATTAAATTTAAATGATGATTTACAATAGTAACAAACACATACTTAGGTATAAATCTAACAAAATATGTGCAGGATCTGCATGCTGAAAACTATAAGATACTTGATGAAAGAAATCAAAGAAGACTCAAGTAAAGACTCATAACAATACTGAGTCTTCTAATCTAAGTACCACTTTCTTGGATTAGAAGACTCAATATTGTTATAATCTCAATTCTCCCCAAACAGATCTACAGGTTCAACATGATTCCAATCAAAATCTCTGAGGACTTTTTTTGTAGAAATCAATAAGCTGATTCTAAGATTTATAAGGAAAGGCAAAGGAAATAGACTAGCCAAAACAATTTTGAAAAAAAATGTATTTTGACTCAAACTACCTGAGTTCAAGACTTAATATAAAGCTACAGTTACCAAGATAGCGTGGAATCAGCAAAAAGACAGACATAGAGATCAATGAAACAGAATATGGGTTCCAGAAAAAGGCCCATATATATATGGTCTATTCATGTTTGACAGAAGTATGAAGGATGGAGAAAGGACAGGTTTTTTGACAAATGGTTCTGGAACAACTGGATATTCACCTAAAATGAACCTCAATCTACAACTTTGCTTTTTTTTTTTTTTTTTTTTTTTTGAGACAGAGTCTCCCTCTGTCACCCAGGTTGGAGTGCAGTGGAAGGCGATCTCAGCTCACTACAACCTCTGCCTCCCAGGAGCAATTATCTTGCCTCAGCCTCTTGAGTAGCGGGGACTACAGGTGCATGCCAACACATCCAGCTAATTTTGTTGTTGTTGTTGTTTTTGTTTTTGTATTTTTAGTAGAGATGGGGTTTCACTGTGTTAGCCAAGCTGGTCTGGATCTCCTGACCTCAAAGGATCTGCCCGCCTCAGCCTCCCAAAGTGCTGGGATTACAGGCATGAGCCACCACACCCAGCCCACAACTTTGCATTCTTTGTAAAAATTAAATGGATCACAGACTTAAATATAAATCTAAAGCTGGCCAGGTGTGGCAGGTCATGCCTGTAATCCCAGCACTTTGGGAGGCTGAGGCTAGAGGATCACTTGAGCCCAGGAATTTGAGACCAGCCTGGGCAACATAGTGGGAGCCCATCTCTACAGAAAATACAAAAATTAGACAGATGTGGTGGCGCACACCTGTAGTCCCAGCTACTCAGGAGGCTGAGGCAAGAGGATCACTTGAGCTGGGAGGTTGAGGCTGCAGCAAGCCATGATGGGGCCACTATACTCCATTCTGGGTGACAGAATGAGACCTTGTCTCTAAATGAATAAATAAAACCTAAAGCTATAAAACTTACAGAAGAAAACATAGACGAAATCTGTGTCCCTGCTTTAGGCAAAGATTTGTTAGGTATAACACCAAAAGCATGATCCATAATAGAAAAAACATATAAGTTGTACTTCATCAATATTAATAACTTCTAGTCTTCAAAAGACATTCCTAAGAAGTAAAAAGGCAGGCCACAGATTGGGAGAAAAACTGTCCTATATTTTGATGGTACTTACACAATTATATGCATTTGTCAAAACTTGCAGAATTATACACTAAATAAGGGTGAATTTTAGTGTATGCAAATTTTATCTTAATTAGAAATTTCTTGGCCAGGCGCGGTGGCTCACGCCTGTAATCCCAGCACTTTGGGAGGCCGAGGCGGGCAGATCACGAGGCCAGGAGATTGAGACCATCCCGACTAACACGGTGAAACCCCGTCTCTACTAAAAATACAAAAAATTAGCCAGGCATGGTGGCGGGCGCCTATAGTCCCAGCTACTCAGGAGGCTGAGGCAGGAGAATGGCGTGAACCTGGGAGGTGGAGCTTGCAGTGAGCAGAGATCGCGCCACTGCACTCCAGCCTGCGGGACAGAGCAAGACTTCGTCTCAAAAAAAAAAAAAAAAAAAGAAAAGAAATTTCTTGTAAGTATATGAATTGATGTATGGATTATTTTTTTAATTAATTTTTTTTTTTTTAGACTGAGTTTCACTCTTGTTGCTCAAGCTGAAGTGGAATGGCGTGCTCTCGGCTCACTGCAACCTCCACCTCCCGGGTTCAAGCAATTCTCCTACCTCAGCCTCCTGAGTAGCTGGCATTACAAGCACGCACCACTATGCTCGGATAATTTTTTGTATTTTTAGTAGAAACAGGGTTTCACCAAGTTAGCCAGGCCGGTCTTGAACTCCTGACCTCAAGTAACTGCCCGCCTTGGCCTCCCAAAGTGCTGGGATTACAGGTGTGAGCTACTGCACCCGGCCAGATGTATAGATCTTGATTGGAACCTGTGAAAAGACTTTCTGGAGGAAATTGGTAGAAATTTGGTTATTAACTGATTTACATTCAGTTGGTTTAGTAAATTACTAATTTTAGGTGTGAAAATGATGATATGGCTGTGTAAAAAAAAATTCCTTTTTTGGCCGGGTGCGGTGGCTCATGCCTGTAGTCCTAGCACTTTGGGAGGCCGAGGCGGGCAGATCACAAGGTCAGGAGTTCGAGACCAGCCTGGCCAGGTGAAACTCCGTCTCTACTAAAAATACAAAAATTAGCCAGGCATGGTGGTGTGCGCCTGTAGTCCCAGCTATTCGGGAGGCTGAGGCAGAAGAATCGCTTGAACCCAGGAGACGGAGGTTGCAGTGAGCCAAGATCGCGCCACTGCACTCCAGCCTGGGGGACAGAGGGAGACTGCCTCAAAAAAAACAAAAAAAAAAAAACAAAAAAATTCCTTTAGAGTTTCACACAAAGTATTTACAGGTAAAATGTATGGTGTCTGCAATTCACTTTCAAATACTTCATCTAAAAGAAGAGAAAGCAAATATTGGAAGATGTTAACAATTATAAATATATGGGGTTATATTTTCCTGTATATTTTAAATAGTTCATAATTTAAAAAGTAGATGCTCTGGGCCGGGCGCAGTGGCTCATGCCTGTAATCCCAGCACTTTGGGAGGCCGAGGTGGGCGGATCACGAGGTCAGGAGATCAAGACCACGGTAAAACCCTATCTCTACTAAAAAATACAAAAAAATTAGCCAGGCGCGGTGGCTGGTGCCTGTAGTCCCAGCTAGTCGGGAGGCTGAGGCAGGAGAATGGCGTGAACCCGGGAGGCGGAGCTTGCAGTGAGCCGAGATCCCACCACTGCACTCCAGCCTGGACGACAGAGCGAGACTCCGTCTCAGAAAAAAAAAAAAAAAAAAGTAGATGCTCTGGAGCTCCTTGCCTAGGTTTCATATCCCAGCTTTGCCATATTTAGCTGTGCAACTTTAGGCAAGTTATGTAAGTATTCTGTACCTCAGTTTTCTCATCTTTAAATGTGGATGATAATGGTACATATCCATATAGTTTGTGGGGATTATTGAGTGAATCAATAGACGTGAAGAACTTAGTTCTGGAAATACTGTAAACTGAATGTTGGCTTTCAATATAATAATTGTTATCCATTCAGCACACTTTGAGCACTCAAATGACCAAGCATTAGGTTATGCGTCAAGGGCAAAGTGATAAGTCAAAGCTATCATTGATAAGATTTAAATATAGTGGAAGAAATGTATATTAGCAATTAAGTATAATATAATGTAATAACTTCTAGAATAAACATCTATACAATACACTAGGCAGCATGGAGAATAGAGTGATTAACCCAGCCTCAGAGCATAAATGAAGACATTTTGGAAGTTCAGGAGGGAGCTGAAAAAGACAGGGAAAATAAAGACTACCTACAGTTTTTTGTTGTTGTTTCGTTTTTTTAAAAAAAAAAAGATTGAAATAAAAAGATCTTGGAGATTCAGTTTAAGAAAAGGAACTGGGCACATACATTTGCCTTCCATTTCCTTGCAAATCATCTTTAAGTGACAGTAGAAAAGTATAATCAGGCCAGGCGCGCTGACTCACGCTTGTAATCCCAGCACTTTGGGAGGCCAAGGCGGGCAGATCACCTGAGGTCGGGAGTTTTAGACCAGCCTGACCAACATGGTGAAACCCCGTTTCTACTAAAAATACAAAAATTAGCCAGGTGTGGTGGCGCACGCCTGTAATCCCAGCTACTTGCGAAGCTGAGGCATGAAAATTGCTTGAACCCGGGAGGCGGAGATTGCAGTGAGCAGAGATGGTGCCACTGCTCTCCAGCCTGGGGTCTCAAAAAAAAATTTTTTTTAAAAACATTTTCTGGTTGACAATGGTTGAGTTTGTCTAAAGACCTGGGATAGATAGAAAGGGAATGGTCATGTTAAGATAAAGATTATGGAGACCAAACTTGTTTTGAAGTCTTATAGTGGCTGCTCTTAGAGACAATAGGTGACAAATGTTTCCTATTCAGATCTTAGTTAATCTCTTTAGGATCGGAAGGGTCTGGAAGAAAAAGATCTAGCTATGTTAACAGAGATTCTTTACAGATGCCACGCCCCCACCCCACAAAAAAACAGCTTTGAGGGCCATTTCAAAATATGGCAAAGAAACATATTTTGGGGTAAAATATTTTTTTCTTTTTTGACTTATATTGTTATGCCAGAGTCAGGTTGGAAAGAAAATCATGATATATAGGGTTAAATAAAACACATCTGATGAGAATTTATGGTTTGTAGGGCATGACTCTAGGGTTAAATAAAACCCATCTGATGAGAATTTATGGTTTGTAGGGCATGACTCCCCAGACCCCTTAGACAGGAATTTGGACAAGATAAAAAAAAATCAGCGTTTAGTCCTCACACTGGCCTCATATGAAAACCAGGTAATCCCTCTCACCCAGAGTATCACACATTCCCATCCTGGACCCTCTTTATGAGACAGGGGCCGGAGGTAGCAGTTGCTAGGCAACACCAACCACCCCACAGCTTCTCACCAGCCCCATAGAATACCATCAGCATCCCGATTATAAGAATTAGGTATTCTGTCCCATTAATTTGCCCAAAGATGGAAGAAATCCTAAATGACTATCTCACCCTCAAAAGTAGTAGTTACCTCACTTCCTTCAATTCCTTGCTCAAATGTCACCTTCTCAACAAGGTCAACCCTAACCACTTTATTTAATACTGCAATCTGCTCCCTCCTTCTAACTCCTCTATTGCACTCTACTTTTTTTCTATAGAAAATAAAACATTATATAATGTATTTATTTAGGAAGTTTACTGTTTATTGTCTGTCTTTACCTCCTAGAGCGTATGTTCCACATTTAACAGTAAGAGTTTATTGCTCACACATCTGAGCTAATGGGCTATCTGTTCTGCTGATCTGTTCTGCCTCAGCTAGAATGACTGGGATGACTTGGCTTTCCTTCATGTGTCACTCAACCAGGTTGGCCTGGGTATGTTCTCATGGTGTTGGAAGTTGTCCAAGAGAGTAAGTCCCAAATGCAAGCCCATTTCAAGCCTCTGCCTCACCGGATGTCTGTTCATATGGTTGAGCCCAAAGTCAACAATCAGCGCAGGTCACCTCATGGTGGTTGGTCACAGTAAAGTTACACAGAAAAAGGTGTGAACACAAAGAATGTAACTAAGGGAAGGGTGAACAGTTGGAGTCAAATAATACAATCTACCTCTCTATATGACAAGCAAAGTAAACTATGAGGCATAAAAGCAATACTAGAGACAAAGAGGGACATTTCATAATGTGAAAAAACAAAAATTTTAATTTGCAATTTGTAAGTACTATTAGATATGAGTTCTAAATTTCTCTTCAAAGAATCAATATGTCAGTATGTTCAATTCTTTGCCTTCTACTTTTAAACTTCCTCGTAAAGCAACCTTTTTTGATCACCTGCTCCATCCTGACTCATTCTGATTACCAGCTCTGCCCTGACTCATCCTGATCACCTGCTCCACCCTCACTCCCGCCAAACCACTCACCCCGTCACTCTCTCTAAATTAGCCAATTGGAATTAGTTTAGCCTGTGCGGTCTAACACTAGCCAATAGGGGAACGACACAGCAGCAGGGGCCACGTGTGTCAGGAATAAGAACCCCTTCCCCTCCCTTGTCCAAGTGTGTGCTCACCATTGCTCCATATGTAAGGGTGCACCCTTCTATAGAAGTATATTGCCTTGCTAAGAATTAAAAAGAAAATTTTATATTTGAGTGCTATTTCTTTTGCGGCACCGAAACTATAACAGTACCCAATCACCTAGTCTCTAAGGGAGAAATGGACAAATGCATAATCATGGTAGGAGATTTAACACACCTCTTAAAAAAAAAACAGAATAAGCAGAAAAAAAGTCTGTAAGGATATAGACGACTGTAAAAGTTGATTAACTAGTCTTAACATTTATAGAACACTGTACTCAACAAATGCAGAGTGTACTTTAAAATGGACATGGAATATTTATCAAAAATCACAATTGGTTTTAATAAACCTTGACATCTTAAGAATATATCTTCTGACTACAGTGCAATTTAACTGGAAATCAGTAAGAAAAACAAATTGCACATTTGGGAATTAAACACACAGAAACCTACGCATGGTCAAAGAAAAATCACAATGGAAATGAGAAAAAAACTTTCAGTTGGTTAATGATGAAACTACTGCATATATATAGAACTTGGTGTGACTAATTGCAAATACTGGGGTGTCCAAGGGCAGACGTTATGAACAAAAAGCTCTATGGGAGGATGGTAAGCTGCTTGGATATCGAATAAAAGGCAGCTTTTTAACCAGAATAATTACCACCACCATTGTCTACACACCTGCAGATACTTTGTGTCTAAGCACCAGCCAGCGTAGCCACGTTTACATGAAAATTCCTAATATTTAAGGGGAGATCGAGAAACACTGTTTCCTTCCCAGAGCTCTTCTCTGAATTCTACACTCATATATCCGACAGGCTACTGAAATCTCCATTTGGATTTCTCACAGGCACCTCAAAAGTAATATGTCCAAAACTGAACCCCTGATGTTTTTTCCCTCTAAAATCGATTCCTCCTGCAATCTGTCCCATCTCAGTAAAGGTCACCGCCATTCCCCAGCTCATGAGATCAAAACCCAAGGGTTGCCGCCCAGGATTGGCATAGTCGAAGCTGATTTTTATCCCCTTCGCCATTAACAACTAGAAAACTAGAAAATACACGAAGCCGCTACTGTCAGATACTGAACAGGAGGTCCAGGCCCGTAATCCTCGAGAGGGGACACAAACGACCCGACAGAGTGAGCGAACAACGTCAAAGGGCCTCAAGTTTGGCCGCCGACTAATAATACTAATAGAACTTCCTGCTTCTGGTGCTGCTTAGGGAGGAAGCACGGAACTGGGCACATTTACTTACCGAGACTTCCCAGTCCCAACCCAAATCCAATCTTCACGCCTGAGGAGACCAGCGTCTCTTAAGATGGACGCCTGGCTGGAAGGGCAGCCCGAGGGAGGCGGGGCGGGAGGGGGCGGCCTGGCGGGGCTGTGGGCGTGGTCAAGGACACCCCGTGCCAGAGCAAGGCTGAAGCTAAGGCCAGACCCCCAGCCTTGGCTCAGAGCCCCACCTTTTAAATGTCCGGTAAGGTATGCTCTCTTTGTTTTTGGTTTGGTTTGGTTCTTACAAAAAGAACTTGACTGTTTAAGTTTAGTCCTTGTTAATAACTTAGTTCAAGCATTACCAATTTTTTGTATCCCAGTTATTCATAAAATTGCCATATATATATATACATCTATCTATATATTTATATATTTTTTAAGAGACGGGGTCTTGTCGCCCAGTCTGGGCCTCAAACTTGGGCTCAAGCAGCCTCCTGCCTCAGCCTGAAGAGTAGCTGGGACTACAGCCCTGTGCCCCCCAGCCACCACGCCCAGGCTACCTCTTTATTTTATTTTATTTTTAACTATTTTTTCTGCCTTTTTAAAACAAATTTTTAATTTTTATGGGTACATAATAAGTGTATTATTTATACAACTCATAGTAGGAATACATGAGATATTCTGATAAAGGTATACAATGTGTAAGAATCACATCAGGAGGCCAGGCACAGTGGCTCACGCCTGTAATCCCAGCAGTTTGGGAGGCCGAGGCAGGTGGATCACCTGAGGTCAGGAGTTCGAGACCAGCCAGGCCAACATGATGAAACCCTGTCTCTACTAAAATACAAAAAAATTAGCCGGGCACAGTGGTGGATTCCTGTAATCCCAGCTACTCAGGAGGCTGAGGCAGGAGAATCACTTGAACCTGGGAGGCAGAGGTTGTAGTGAGCCGAGATAGCACCACTGCACTCCAACCTGGGCAACAAGAGTGAAACTCCATCTAAAAAAAAAAAAGAATCACATCAGGTACACTGAGTATCCATCACCTAAGCATTTATCATTTCTTTGGGTTATGAACGTTCCAGTTACACTCTTAGTTATTTTTAAAAATGTTCAATAAATAATTGCTGACTGTAGTCGCCTTGTTGTGCTGTCAAATATTAGATCCTATTTATTCTAACTATATATCTGTTGTACCCAGTAACCATCCCCACTTTGCCTTACCTTTTTTAAACCAGTTTCAACCACTCAAAGGGCCACAAATGGGCCTGTTTTCGCTTTTGTTTGTTTAATCTTTGATTCCTCTAGCCATTTCTCTGACTCTGACCTCGTTCCTGAGCTCTAGACCTTTATCTCCAACTGCCAGCCACTGGCCTTCAATCTGGCCGTCCTGCTGCAGACACCTCAAACTCAGTAAACCCTAACTTAAATTCATTATCTTTCCCTTCATGTCTGCTCCATCTTCTATGGCTCTAAATCACTAAATGACAAGATGTGAAACAGATGTCTCATCCTCAACTCCTCCTATTCCTTTGCAACCCCCCAACCCTCCACCTTACACAGAGTGACCAAATTCTGCTTATTAGGATACTTCCTATTTCGCCTAGTCATTATCTTATTGCATTTCAATGCCCACTAGGCCCTAATCATCTCAGTACATGCCAACCCAGCTTAATACCGCTACGTTAAGGTAGACTGCAGCAGACTCCCAAAGCGCCTCACTGTTTCCAGTTTACCTCTCCCAAAATCTAAGACCAACTGTTGATCTTTTAAAAATGCAAATCTGACTATGCCTAAAACACATTCCAAAAATTAAAGCTCCTTAAATTGGATCTCACCTTTCTCTCCAGCCTCAACTTGCCCCCAACTCTCCTCCATCACCACTTACATTGAAGCTTCAGCAAAGCAAACCTCTTGTTCTACTCCCCTACACCATTCTGTATGTTTATTCACGCTGTCCCTACTGGCAGGCTTATACACTCCCAAAGTTGACCGGGCTAACACTCCTTCTCTTAGTGTGAGGCTCAATTCAGGAAGCCTTCTTTGTTCAGCCTCACCCCTATTTCTCACCACCAGATTTGATTAACTACCTTCTCCTGTGTGTTCTATATATCCCTCCAAATAAACTTCTTATTACTATCCTAGCCACATTGAATATAATTACCTATTTTGTTTTGCTAATGTTTTAGTTTCTGCTTCCCCCTTCTAATTGTAATCTACCTGCGGGAGAGACAATATCTAACTGATCTCTTTATTCCCAATGCCTTCTACAATGCTTGGCACATGTCAGTCAATTGGTTGGTTACATAAATAGCCAGAAGCTACAGACCCATCAACCCTTAAAGGGAATTAGGCAGTTAGGCTGCATCTTTTCTGACCCAGCTGAATTCTCTGGAGCGTGCCTCCCAGTAACCAGTTAGAAGGATCTGGCAGTATCCTGAAGAGAGATTGTTAGCTTGGATGATGGGTCAGTGATAGTGTAGAGGGAGAGATGTCGATTGAAACTTGAGATATTTACCCTCTCCCTCCTAACTTCCATTCTGGACCCTAGCTTAACGCTTGACAGAACAGTAGTAAACTGTTGGCACCCACTGAGTGCCACAAAAACAATCTTTGTGATATGAAGATTTTTTGAAACTCCATTTTGACTGCTTCTTGAGAGAGTTTCCCTGTTTCCCTCCTCTCTTATCAACAGACAATGAAATAAGCTCTGGTGGTTGGTCCCAAGTTTGAGCATATACAGGCCTGATGCTGTTACTCCTGCTTTTAAAGGTACATCAAAAAGCAAGACAAAACTAAAGCAGGTAAAACAGAATATAAAAAATGGTACCAAAGAGTTTATCAAATAAGTGAAATTGTAACATTCTTATTTCAAAGTATATAAATATTCAATTAATCTCTGTAGGAGGCTTCAACCCTGGCTGTTAAAATCAGTAATGAAGGTAGACTTGATGACCTGATGTGGTTTCTTAAAAACCACAGGTTCCCACTAATATCTGGGAAAGATTTTCTCCCAGCTGTATTGTCCCAACAGCCAACAGAACTGACTCAATTTTGTAGGCTCATTATTTAGCTAATTAAATGATCCTTTTCCAGTAAATATTGTTTAAAGTCTGGTGGGTTTTGTCTAATCCTAGGCAAAAAGTGTAATAAACTCAAATAAGATTGTGTTAAGACTCAGTTTTAAAAAAAATCCTCTTTCAAAACTGCAAACTGTATGCTAGTCATTTCTTCAAAACTCCAGCTTTATTCTGGAGAGTAGTCTCTTAGTCTAATAGTTTCCATGAGGAGCAAACCAACTTCAGATAAAGTTTTTTTTTTTAGTAATCATTGTTGCATTATCATCTTTTGGAGAATTCTGCTAAAAATAACAATTCGCTGTAGTCCATAAGGCCCTATTTCAAATATTTTGCAAACGTGTATTCACACACACACACACACACACACACACACACACACACACACACCATTCGCTCTTTAAACATCTAAAATGGCACATGTTCACCTAGGCCTTCGTGTATAGGAAAGGTTTCTCAGCTAGTAATGTTATAAAAACACAGCCAATTTCCAACTTTCTCTGCTGCCTGAAGCCTAGGCAATAGTCATCCAACCCTTTGTAGCTTTCTCATTATTACAAGAGCAATTTTATCACTCCTTGGATTGAAGAATGGATAGTTAAGGGTTTCTGTTGTTGTTGTTGTTTTGTTTTTGTTTTTGAGACAGAGTCTCACTCTGTCGCCCAGGCTGGAGTGCAATGGCATGATCTTGGCTCACTGCAACCTCTGCCTCCTAGGTTCAACCGATTCTCCTGCCTCAGCCTCCCAAATAGCTGGGATTACAGGTACCCACCATCACACCCAGCTAATTTTTGTATATTTAGTAGAGATGGGGTTTCATCATGTTGGCCAGGCTGGTCTTCAACTCCTGAACTCAGGTGATCTGCCCGCCTCAGCCTCCCAAAGTGCTGGGATTACCGGTGTGAGCTACTGCGCCCGGCCTAGTCAAGGGTTGTTTTAAGAGGCTACTGCGCCCGGCCTAGTCAAGGGTTGTTTTAAGAGGCAGTAATTTAAATCTACACAATGATAAAAGTGACATAAAGAAAGGGATAAACTCAGGACCTGTGGAAGCATATGGCACCTCGCTGTTGAGTGCCAGCTTCTGATTTCTCTTTCTTGGCAGCATGCTGAGGCTTGCCAGACCCTAGTCAACAGGGCAGCAGCAGTGTATCAAACCCAAAGTTTGGACATTATATTTGCTAAATGCATGTATTCTTGTTTCAAGGAGTGTCACTTTTATTAAAAGTAATGAATCTCCTTTTTCCTTTTCTTTTTTTTCTTTTTTCTTTTTTTTTTTTTTTGCGATGGAGTCTCGCTCTGTCACCCAGGCTGGAGTGCAGTGGCGTGATCTCGGCTCACTGCAACCTCCACCTCCTGGGTTCAAGCAGTTCTCCTGCCTCAGCCTCCATAGTTGGGATTACTGGCATGTACCACCATGCCTGGCTAATTGTTGTATTTTTTTTTTTTTAGTAGAGACGGGGTTTCACCATGTTAGCCAGGCTGGTCTCGAACTCCTCACCTCAAATGATCCACCCCTCCTCCGCTTCCCAAAGTGCTGGGATTACAGGCGTGAGCCACTGGCTGGTTATATATGTTGTAGTTCTTGTTGGAAGGCCATCCTCCCTCATGAATCTCCTATTAAGTGAAAGGTCATTGAAATTAATACATTTGCTTTTAACACACTCATGATGAAGAAAAGTTGAACTACAAGTTGAAAGAGATACTAAATAGTAATATTAGGTGCTTAATCCCTCAGCAGCTTAACAGGAAAACAAAAAGAGGCCCAGGTTTTCGAACAAAGTACCCTCAAGCAACTTCAAATGGATACAAGTTTTTAAAAATCAGTGTTTGATTGACATTTGATTCTATGGCCAGAGACTAGTTACTGGCTAAGATGCTTAAGCACAACTCAGACTCCCAGTTATTGATTCTTCTGTAAAACCTCCCTTTTAGTGCCAGTGAAAGAGAGTTGTCGTAGTCTCCTAACAAACCAGGTAATTTCGAGCATTATAAAATAGAACTGTATTTGCCATGTGCCAGGGATTGTATTAAATGCTTTACATACATTACTCTTTCCTCAGAACCACAAAAGTAGGTACTGTTTTGTTTTGAGACAGGGTCCTGCTATGTGGCCTAGGCTGGTCTTGAACTCCTGAGCATAAGCAATCCTCCTGCCTCAGCCTCCCAGTAGCTGGAATTACAGGTGCTTGTCACCATGTCTGGCTCTGGTTCTATTATTATACTCAGTTTCTGGATCTGGAAACTGAAGCTCAGAAGGGTTAAGTAGCTTCTCCAAGGTCACAAACACTGTGACAGAGCCAAAATTTAAACACAGCACACTTGATTCCAATTACACTGTACTGCGTTGTTTCCTTTAGGCCTTTGCTATCCGGTAATGTAGCTACCAGCCACATAATGAACCAGTAATATAGCTACTAGTCCAGTAATGTAGCTACTAGCTATTTAAATGTAAATTAATACAAAGTAAATAAAATTTAATATTCAATTCCTTACTGACTAGCCACAATTCAAGTGCTTAATAGCCACATGTGGCTAGTGGCTTCCATACTGGACAATGCAGATATAGAATCCATTATTGCAGAAAGTATATTTAGAATCATAAGTAACTGGGATATTCTCTCTTTCTCTGTCCTGATAATGCAAATAACACAAATTACCTTGGCACTTTGTCAGAAAGTTCAATTTCAAATTTAAGCTTAAGTATGGCAATACCTTAGCCCTTGTGATCAACATATTCATGCCCATCTTTTTCTTGGTCCTGACTTTCTACCTGTATTTACTTATTATTGTTTCATTGTAGATATTCATGTTATAGGTTTTCTCCAATCCTTGTGGGAAAAGGCAGAATATAAATATAAATAAATAAAAATCAGGACACATGGTCTGATTTTTGTGTGACTTCTTAGGATAAGATACAGACTAGGACTCATGAGCTATCTATATGCTGTCCATAGGAAACTCACTTCATGGATAACAATATAGGCAGGTTGAAAGTAAATGGATGAAGAAAGTTATACATGCAAACATGAATCAAAGGAAAGCAGAAGAGGTAACATTAATCTCAGATAAATTGGACTTCAGAGCAAAGAAAATTATAAGAAACATAGAAGGACATCATATAATGATAAAAAGGTCAGTCCACCAAGAAGATGCAGCAACCCTAAATGTGTGTGCAGTGGACAACAAAATTGCAAAATACATGAACAAAAAACTTATAGGACTGAAAGAAGAAATAGACAAATCCACAGTAATAGTTCAAGTCTTGAACACTCATCTCTCAACAGTTGATAGAACAAGGAAACAGAAAATCGGGAAATACATAGAAAAACAGAACATCAACCAACAAGCTCTAATTAATAGTCATAGAACATTCTTTTCAACAACATCAGTGTGTAGTTTTTTTTTTAAGTGCTAATGGAACATATAGAGGTATAGCATATTCTGGGCCTTCAAATGAGCTTCAACAAATTTAAAGGATTTAAATCATACAGTCTATTTTCTGACCATAGAATCAAACTAGAAATCATGACAGGAAGAAAATAGAAAAATCTACAAACATTAGGAAACTAAAAAGCATAGTTCCAATAATACAGAGGTCAAAGGACAAGTCTCAGTGTAAACTTTAAAAATATATGGAACTGAATGAAAGTGAATACCACATATAAAATTTGTGGGACACACCTAAGGCTATGTTGAGAGTGAATTTTATAGGATTAAATGCATAAACTAGAAAAGAAGAAAATCTCAAATCAATAATATGTTTCTACCTCAAGAACCTAGAAAAAGAAGAGCAAAATAAAGCTAAAGCAAGTAGAAGGAAAGAAATAAGGAGGGAGTGGGGGAAGCAGGGGCAGTGGGTATGGCTATAAAAGGGCAAGATGAGGGATCCTCATGGTGATGCAGAGGTTCTGCATCTTGACTGTATCTTAAGATATTCTACTATGGTTTTGCAAGGTCCTACCATTGGAGGAAACTGATAAAGTGTTACCATTGGAGAAACTACCACTGGTGGAAGCTCTCTCTGTTATTTCTTACAACTGCATGTGAATCTACAAGTTATCGAAAAATAAAAAGTTTAATTTAGCAAACAACAGAGTAGACTTTACGACACATAAGTGAAAATGATAATTATCCAAAATATATAAAGAATTTTAACCAAAAAATACACAAAAAAGGTAACAATAGAAACAATGAGGAAAAGATTTGAAATGATACTTTACAAATGGGTAAAAGTACAATGAAATACTATTAATATTACACACACACTAGATTGGTTATAATGAAACAATTTAACAGTATCAAGTGTTAGCAAGGTTGTTGAGCAAAGTATCCTTCCATACTAGTGACACCTGTAAATTGGTACAACCCCTTTGGGAAACTCTTAGACATTACCTTAAAAATTGGAGAGCTATATGCCCTGTGATGATTCAGTAATTCCACACCTAAGGTATCTGTCTTAGTCAGATTTTCTGTTGCTATCAAGGAATATCTGAGGCTGGGTAATTTCTAAAGAAAAAAAAAAGTGTATTTGGCCCTTGGTTCTGCAGGCTGTACCAGAAGCATGGCACCAGCATCTGCTTCTGTGGAGGGCTTCAGGCTGCCTCCACTCACAGTGGAAGGGAAAAGGGAGAAGACGCACACAGAGATCAAACGCGACAAGAGCCAGAAAGCAAGAGAGAGAGGAAGAAAGTGCCAGGCTTTTTTAAACAACCAGCTCCCACGGGAACTAAAAGTGAGAATTCATTTACTCCCACCAAAATGAGACCAAGCCATTCACGAAGGATGTACCCCCATGATCGAAACACCTCCCACCAGGCCCCACCTCCAACACTGGGATCACATTTCAACATGAGACTTGTTGGGGCCAAACAAACAATATCCAAACCATAGCAATCTCCTAGATATAAATTTGTGTTTATGATACATCAGGATAAATATATAACAACATTCATAGCACCATTGTTCGTCATAGCCTCAAACAGGAAACAACCCAAATGTTTATTAACAGAAGAATGGAAAATATCAGCATATTCATATAATTGAATAACATGGAGCAAACAAAGCCAAAAGATGAGACAGCACACATACTAGGCTTTCTAGAATAGCATTGAAGAAAACCAACATATTTCTCCCCCAAATATTGAGAATTGTTAAGTCAAAGTCACTGAAAACACAGAGGAACACTCTGTCTCAGCTTCTACTCGCCTGATGGCAGAACGTAAGTCCTTCCTTACTACAAACAGCACTTGCTTATCCACCCAGAGAAGGCACTAGCAGGCACAGAGAAATCTGGGAACATTTTCCCAGAAACAGATTTCCCAGAAATCTTCCCACATTTTCACACCTCTTAAAAGACAGCTGTGCTCTTCTCTGTCTTGCCATTATGGGATTTATTACTCTTTGTTAAAATGCTATTTAAACAAGGCTCCTAAACCACTGCTTTGAGAAAGATACTTTTGAACTGAGCCCCCTCCCATATAATGTCAACGTATGTCAAACTTCTGATGATTTTTCTCTTGTAAATCTGACTTTGGTTTTGTTTTTTGTTTTTGTTTTGTTTTGTTTTGTTTATTTGAGACGGAATTTTGCTCTTGTTGCCCAGGCTGGAGTGCAATGGTGCTATCTGGGCTCACCACAACCTCCGCCTCCCAGGTTGAAGTGATTCTCATGCCTCAGCCTCCTCAGTAGCTGGGATTACAGGCATGCACCACCACGCCTGGCTAATTTTGTATTTTTAGTAGAGATGGGGTTTCTCCATGTTGGTCAGGCTCATCTCGAACTTCCAACCTCAGGTGATCCGCCTGCCTAGGCCTCCCGAAGTGCTGGGATTACAGGTGTAAGCCACCATGCCCGGCCCTGACTTTGGTCTTAAGGAGAGTGTCTCAACTAAGAATTTATATGGGTCAAAAAAAGAATTATATTATCTTCCCTTCAGCATTTATTGGATGAGTAGTAGGTGTGGAGATCCGCTGTGGCCCATTCCATTTGGAGTCAGCACACAGGAATGAAAGAGAGCCTGGTCCTTGCCTGAATATGATGGTGTAGTGTCTCCTAATCCAGTAAGCCCCGAAATGCCAGTGAGGAAGGCTATTTTTTCACCTTTCTGAGTAAAGGGCTTGAAACATCAAAGAATAGCTGGCCTGACAAGGGCAGCAATCCAATAGATACATGACGTGGCTGGTAGAACCGTGGCCTCTGGTCCGTTACACCACTTCATTTATCAGTTAGGAGTGCACAGGCTGTCTCCTGACAATAGCAGGGGCAAAAGTCTACGTCTTGTTATGGCAGACAAGTGGCCTGGTCAGCATTCTACTAAGACTGATTGCCTTAAGCATTGGCTGTAGCCAGTTTCCATGGAGCTTGAAGGACAACTCCTTTTCTGGGAGGCCAGCCTGTAGGGAAGGCCCAAGTTAGCCGTATTTCTCCACCACTGCAGTTCTCCACCTCCAATCTCTGTGTGGCCTCTATGCATCATACCCTGTTCCATCAGTAATATATGCCACTTCAACCTATAGGCAACTATGGAGAATGGTTAATACAGCAACTATGGCAGTGGTTCTCAAACTTGAGCTATATCAGAAATACCTGAAGGGTCTATTAATACACAGACTGCAGATCCATGGAGGGCCCTGAGAATTAGTATTTTTAAGGAGTTCCCAGGTGATGCTAATGTTGCTGGTCCAGAAACCACACTTTGAAAATCACTGGAATAGAGAAAGCCATGAATAGTCCTACCCTACGTCAAGGGCTAAGGGGGCCCAGACTCGGCCAAGAGAAGAGGTACCAGAGTTCTGATGGGAGTTAGATAACCATTAGACAACCATATGCCTTTTCCTGTATGCAGAATACTGATTATTTTACTTACTGCTAATCACAATCCATAAACAATAAGATGTGTAGATTAGGGTACAGGCCACCCTTTGTCTGTCAGATTATAAAGATCAATTCTATGATCTAAATCCACTTTGGTTAAAATACTAACATTAGTAGCAACTGCAATAATAAATAAAAATAAAACCACCCTGGTTAAGGAGTCCAGGCTAATCCACTGGGTGACTAGACGGGTCCCATTAGCTATTTAGCCTAGAATGACTGCAGATTTTCTATTACTGTCTTTAGTTTCAATTACTCCTGGCCAGGAATATGACTACATTGTGACTCCTAGTCCTCCTCCCTGACTGGCAACTGGGAAGTTTTCTCCTTCGTATCTAGGCCAGATTGTGGCTGTGGGGGCCCGAAGATCCCAGAAAACATGAAACAGCTGAGTATTTACCTCAGGGTTGTAGGTCTTGGTCTCTGGAGGCAAACAAGGCCATTTGGCCACACAGGAAGAAGCTAGGAGAGACACATGGTCCAGTCCAAAGTTATGTGTGTGCACATGCATGCATGCACTGTGTGGAGTAAAGACAACAGTCATGGTTACAGGGCTTGGATAGAGGCTAACTGAGGCCTGTTGGATTGCTTTCAGGCCTTTCCCAATGACCAGGAATTCTGTGTCATCCCAAGAGGATGAGGACAAGCTAGACATTGAGACCTGAGTCCATTGTTGACAGTTTCACAGGCAGGTGGGTAGTCTAGTGTAATTCAACAGAGTAGGAGAGGAAGCTGGAAGTGGTAAAATGTTATGAAACACTAGACTGTTTCCAGCTCTCCCCTGCTGCAGGTAGTAACTGATGGCTGATCCAATATTGTGACAGGTTAGCAAAGGAGCCACTGGCAGCCAATCAGAGATGCCTGGAAGAATGTGGGATAGCCTGAGTGACAATCCTCCCAGAGGGATCTAAGAACAAGGTAGTGCATCTTCCCTCCACTTATCTCCTACAATTTCAGGTATTCCCTTATTTCTGGTGAGGGGCTTCTTCTGAAAAAATCTATAACATCTGGCCCAGTACAATCACCTTAACAGGAAAACAGGAGTAGCCCCATCACCCCCTGTCTTCTTATATGACCCCATAGTAGTTGAACTGCATTTACTTGCACCCAAGGGTGAGGGCAAGCTAGCACAGTGCCCATGTGGCAAGGTATATAATAACATCAAATGCAGGATAAAGGTGTTAGTGTGACCTCAGATAGATCAGCTACACTAGATAGCCATGAGACAGCAGTGCCTTCAGGTTGGTGTCTGCCCACTCTTGGTATAGGGCATTGTGCAGAATTCCCAACTACCAAAGAGAATCAGGGTAACAAAAAAAAAAAGTGCAAAGGTGTGGAAAGGTATATCTAGGTTCAGGTCCCTGCAGTGCAGCTGTACTACTCTAGTTATTTTCTCATCCCCTAATTCCTAAGTCCAGATGGACCCTTGCAGGATGTGTTGGAAAGAATTCTGTTTTTTTTGTTTGTTTGTTTTTGTTTTTTGAGATGGAGTTTCACTCTTGTTGCCCAGGCTGGAGTGCAATGGCGTGATCTCAGCTCACTGCAACCTCTGCCTCCCAAGTTCAAACGATTCTCCTGCCTCAGCCTCCTGAGTAGCTGGGATTACAGGCATGCGCCACCATGCCCAGCTAATTTTGTATTTTTAGTAGAGACAGGGTTTCTCCATGCTGGTCAGGCTGGTCTCAAACTCCCGACCTCAGGCAAACCACCTGCCTCGGCCTCCCAAAGTGCTGGGATTACAGGTGTGAGCCACCACACCCGGCAGCTGGAAAGAATTCTAAGATGACCCACCAACATTCCCAGCCATTGGTGTACACATACCTTCTCCCAGTTATTCAATCTAGGTACTGTGGTGAAGGGGTTTGCAGATGTAATTAAGTTCTCCAATCAATTGACCTAGAAATAGGGATTATTTAGGCAAGCCTGATCTAATCACATGAACACTTTAAAAGTTTTCTCAGGCTTTCCGAGTCCTGGCCCACGGGCGTTGGGTATGAGCAGCGCCCTCCGCCCTCCGCCCTAAGGGTTCGTGGCCCACCGCTCCTTCGCAGTCCCTGCCGCCACCGTCCACGCTCTGCGTTGTAGAGAAGACAGTGGGTCGGAAGAGCGCCATCGCCGCCAGTGTATGTGGGGCCCTTTTTATCAGGTACTGCATCTACTTTTACCACAAAAGACGAAGTGACCCCAATTTCAAGAACAGGCTTCGAGAACGAAGAAAGAAACAGAAGCTTCCCAAGGAGAGAGCTGGGTTTTCCAAGTTACCTGACCTTAAAGATGCTGACGCTGTTCAGAAATTCTTCCTTGAAGAAACACAGCTTGGTGAAGAGTTACTAGCTCAAGGTAAATATGAGAAGGGTGTAGACCATCTGACAAATGCAATTGCTGTGTGTGGACAGCCACAGCAGTTACTGCAGGTCTTACAGCAAACTCTTCCACCACCAGTGTTCCAGATGCCTCTGACTAAGCTCCCAACAATTAGAGAATTGTAAGTGCTTAGAGCTTGGCTGAAGATGATGTGGAATGAGAAACAAATGTCAACATAATAAAATCTCAGTTAAAAATATTTAAGGCCGGGCGCGGTGGCTCATACCTATAATCCCAGCACTTTGGAAGGCCAAGGCAGGCGGCTCATGAGGTCAGGAGTTCGAGACCAGCCTGGCCAACATGATGAAACCCCGTCTCTACTACAGATACAAAAAATTAGCCGGGTGTGTTGGCGGGCGCCTGTAAGCCCAGCTACTTGGGAGGCTGAGGCAGGAGAATCGGTTGAACCAGGGAGGCGGAGGTTGCAGTGAGCTGAAACCATGCCATTGCACTTCAGCCTGGATGACAGGGTGAGACTCTGTCTCAAAAAAAAAAAAAAAAAAAAAAAAAAAAAAAAAAAATATATATATATATATATATATATATATATATAATTCTTGGTAGTTGAGCAGCTCCAGGGGAATAAGGGCAAATATGCTTGTTATGAACTACACTGAAATCTACCAAAGTTAATGTTTACTTTGTGTAGATCCATTTGTCTATTTTTTTCCCAGTGAAAAGTATATTTTGATAGAGAACTTTTCATTTTATAAATACACTATGAGTTACTGAAATATTATGGATTTTGTTTATTCCAGAAACATAGTTAAACTTTACATATGACATGGCTTATGTTAAAAATACCCAGTGGTCAGTTTTGAAAATAGGCAAAAAAAAAAAAAAAAAAAGTATAGGAGAAACTGAAGAATGCACACTTTTTTAGCTCATACATTTTGCTGTAAATCCGGAAATTTGGTAAACTTGGTTGTGTTTGTGAAAACTAGCATTAAAATTTTTGAGCGATCATTTATTTCCATTTAATCTCTTAGACATAAATATGTGAGGTATGCTGCTGTCCTGTGTTAACAACTTCATTCACTTTCTGTATATCGGTCTTGAAATGTTTTGTTTAAATCAGTGGGCTTAATGTGTTCTAGGTATTTACCTCCTTGGATTTTAAATACATGTAGTTGCAAATAGCACCAGGAATTAGAGCTATGTACACCCCTAATCTAGCCTTGTAAGATTCACCAGTTCCTGTGTGCTCACTTTCCCTCCATTTTTTACATGAGAGAATGCGTCCACTGATCACCAAAGTGTCCCTTTCAGCTTCTGATTCACTGGGTTCTGATGAGCATCTTTAAATCCACCTTAACCTAAGGAATGTGTGTGGGCAACCAGGCTTTGCGTTTTTTTATATTCTGAATTTTGCATGCTTGCCTTAGTATTTCCGAATTGATTTTTTTTCTTTTCTTTTCTTTTTTTTTTTTTTTTTTTTTTTTTTTGAGACAAGAGTTTCGCTCTTGTTGCCCAGGCTGGAGTGCAATGGCATGGTCTTGGCTCGCCGCAACTTCCGCCTCCCAGGTTCAAGCGATTCTCCTGCCTCAGCCTCCAAAGTAGCTGGTATTACAGGAATGTGCCACCACGCCTGGCTAATTTTTTTGTATTTTTAGTAGAGACGGGGTTTCTCCATGTTGGTCAGGCTGGTCTGGAACTCCCAACCTCAGGTGATCCGCCCCCCTTGGCCTCCCAAAGTGCTGGAATTACAGGCATGAGCCACCGCGCCCAGCCGAATTGATCTTTTTTTAATGGTATAACTATCTTGTTGATTTTCACTGAAATTATATGGTTCTGTCACTTCTCTGTAAATTAATCTGAAACTTTTAAGGTAACTGGGATGATCTGCTTGTAAAAATGTTTGTTGACTTTTGCTTTTATCATCGGTGTACCAAATCCTACTTCAGCTTGATTAATTTATCTTGTTAAACGATGAGAGTAAGTTACAACCTTGTGACTGAAAACTTGAAAATAATGGAGCAGGTGGGACCTCTTATTCTCAAATAGTGACATATTCTCCGTAGTCACAGATTCCATTTCAGAATTGAGTAAGGATCCTTGGTATTTGGTGGCATCTGTTGAACTGAGTAGCATTTCTCATTGTAAAGACTGCCTTTATTCTGTCTAAAAGTCTGTGGAGAGATCCCAAAGACTTTTCCTGTGTACTAGGCATTTTATTTTGGTTTACTTACAAACTCTTCTTAATCGTTATTAACCTTGGGTTTTTGTGGTATAGTGGAAGGAGAAATCGTTCTAGTTTCTGCCTCTGATTAGCCGCACAGCCTTGAGCAAGTCACATTTCATCTCTGATCTTACCTCTACTATTAGACTAGGTGACTCACATTTGAGGACCTTTCTCAGGTATCTTGAGGGTGTGTGATCTTGAACCCTTAAACAGTGCCTTTTTGGTGACATAGGATGCTTTTGGCAGGGGGGATGACCAGTGCAAACATGCCAGTTAGTTTTACTAGTGGGATCCCAAATCCAAAGCAGTGTAGTGGTGATTGGTCAGTGATTAACCAGTCAGCTAAAAAGTCTTAGGCACCAGCCCAGATGTATATAGAGGGGCAGTTAGAGAGAAAACAGGGGTGGGAAAGGGAGCAACGGGCAGACAGCTCAGCATGGAAAAAAGGGGCTCAGAAAAAGGAGGGCTGGCTGGAGGAGTGAAGAGCAGCTTAGGTCTGGGGAGGGTAGAAACACCATTTCCTTGGGAACTGGAGTGCAGCATGAGCTGAGTATCACTTGGCTCTAAACATACTGGCTTTGCTGTAATCCTTGAAAAGACAGTGATATCTTCATTTTACAGCTCATTAAGCCAAGTACATGTTCTTATTTAAATGACAACTTTGGTGCTTTAAAATGAGGTACTGCTTTTTTTAAAGCCAGCTGTGTCAAGTTAAAGAAAAAAGATCAGCACTTTTTTCTCCCAGAAATGTAATCACCAAACACTATCCGTTCCCATCTTGAGTTTTACAAGGTGATAGAATCAGGTCGTTGTAGTGATGCTGGCCAAATGGTGCTCAGCAAGTGAGAACGAAAAAACCCCAAATTTCAGTGGAGTAATAAACAGCTTGAATGTTTCCATGTGCTAATGTGGCACACTTACTAAAAACAAAAACTTTGGAAATGGGAAATAATGTATTAGTGCAACAGTTGACATGCTTCTTTGGGCAAAGATCCATTGTTTTGGTCCACAATTTGTACTTAGGGTGAAAGAACATTTAAAACATAGACTTACTGGCTGTAGCAATGCTGGGCCTGTTAACTGATAACTAGAACTTAGGTTCACATTTATGTAACGTGTGTAAAACCTAGTGGAACGTGCATAATAGGCAGTCAGTAAATGTTTGGTTCCTTTTGCCTCTCAGTAAGTTTATTTTACCAACTTCCTGCCTGCCATTCTGACTTTATTAAATCAACCTGTGGACCAGAGTGTTAATGAAATGTTACTGCAGAAGAGATTAGAAAATTGGTATATCATGCACATATCATAGACAATCTTTTTGTAATGTAAAAAATGCAGTTTTAGGGCTGGGCGCGGTGGCTCATGCCTGTAATCCTAGCACTTTGGGAGGCCGAGGCGGGTAGAATCACGAGGTCAGGAGATCGAGACCATCCTGGCTAATACGGTGAAACCCTGTCTCTACTAAAAAATACAAAAAAATTAGCCGGGCCTTGTGGCGGGCACCTGTAGTCCCAGCTACTCGGGAGGCTGAGGCAGGAGAATGGCGTGAACCCAGGAGGTGGAGCTGGCAGTAAGCCGAGATCACGCCACTGCACTCCAGCCTGGGCGACACAGCGAGACTCCATCTCAAAAAATAAAAAATAAAAAAATGCAGTTTTTATTATTGCTTGTGCCTCAACTGTTTAAGTGAATATTAAGGGGCTTGGAGAAAAAAAAAAGTTTTCTCTGGCTAGTTGCAGAAGCAAAGTCAGAGAGATATGTTCTAGCTGACCTGGAAGAAAACAAACATGCATTTTGTGAGTTGCCTATGGGAGTCATGTGGCAAGAAACTGCAGGCATCCTTTAGGAGCTGACAGCTAGCATGAAAATAAGATCTTAGTCCTACATCTATAAGGAAATGAATTCTACAAATAACCAGTGAGCCTGGAAGGAGGCTCCCAGCCCCACGTGAACCACAGCCTGAACCAACACCTGGGGGATTTCATTCAGCCTGATGAGGCCCTGAGCAGAAAATTCAGCCATGCTGTGCAGACTTCTGACCTATAGAAACTATGAGATAATTTGTGTTGTTTTAAGCCACAAAGTTTATGGTAATTTGTTATGTAGCAATAGAAAACTAACGCAGGTAATAAATGTATTCAGGACATATAGAATTAGACAAGCTGCAAGTATCTATGAATAGAGAGTTTCAGGGTTCTCTTGCCTTCATACTCTGCAGGCAGTAAAAGATATAGGAATGTGTTGTGTTAAGATGCCTGGGCATGAGGAATGTTCCACTGTCTGAATGGGTACCTAGATATCCTAGTAGTAAGCAGTCATTCCTACAGAGTCTAAATTGTGTTGGAAAGTTCACAGGACAACCAATGCTTCTGTCTTAACACCTAATGAATCAGACAACTCTAAGAATCCAGAGGGGTGATCATTAATGATTCCTCAGTCCTCATCAGACTTACCAGTTTACCATCACTGTCTTAAAATCAGGGTACAGTCTTTGGGTTCTCATCACTCCTGTCTCCTGGATGGGCTATACCATCATCTAGCATTCTCTATATCTCACCCGTAAACTGTCCTTTCAGCAACTGCATGGAGGCACTCCTGTACCTTTGGGGTTTTTTCCCCCAATAAAACAACATTGGGGGTCACCAATCTCATCACTTTTGACCCCTTGATCTAAAAGTCATTACCCCATAGCATAGGAGCTGTCAGCTCAGGCCGGGTGTGGTGGTTTATGCCTGTAATCCTAGCACTCTGTGAGGCCAAGGTGGGTGGATCACTTGAGCTCAGGAGTTTGAGATCAGCATGGGCAACATGGTGAAACCCTGTTGCTATAAAAAAAAAAAATAATAACAATAAATAAAATAAAATAAAATTAGCTGGGTGTGGTAGCTCATACTTGTAGTCTCAGCTACTTGTGGGGCTGAGGTGGGAGAATCACTTGAGCCCAGGAGGTGGAGGATGCAGTGAGCTGAGATCCCACCACTGCACTCCAGCCTGGGCGACAGAGTGAGATCCTGAGCTCAAAAAAAAAAAAAAAAAAAGCTGTCAACTTAGTTGGTCTCCCTTAAGGGTTGTCTCTTTTACCTAGAATTGGAGTTAAGAAGGGTGACAATTTTTTTTTTCTTTTGAGACAGATTCTCGCACCATCACCTGGGCTGGAGTGCAGTGGCACGATCTCGGCTCACCGCAACCTCTGCCTCCAGGGTTCAAGCGATTCTCCTACCTCAGCCTCCCAAGTAGCTGAGATTACAGGCACCTGCCACCACGCCCAGCTAATTTTTTTTTTGTGTTTTTACTAGAGACGGGGTTTCACTATGTTGGCCAGGCTGGTCTCAAACTCCTGACCTTGTGATCCTCCTGCCTCGGCCTCCCAAAGTGCTCGGATTATAGGCGTGAGCCATCACGCCCGGCCCCGAGGGGTGACAATTTTATGAGTCAACTTGACTGGGACATGGGATGCCCAGATGGCTGGTTAACTGTTACTTCTGGCTGTGTCTGTGAGGGTGAGTTCAGAAGAGGGGCACATTTGATTTGGTGGACTGAAGAAAGCTGGTGGCACGCCCCAGCATGAAAGGGCATCATCCCTTCTGCTGATGGACTGAATGGAACAGAAAGGCAAAGGACGGTTGAATTTGCTTTCTGCCTGTTTTGAGTTGAGACATTGATCTTCTTCTGCCCTCAGAGCTCCTGTCCTCAGTCCTTCAGACTCAGACTGGAATCTACTCCATTGGCTCCCTGGCTCTCCAGCCTTCAAACTATGCCACCAACTTTGCTGGGTCTCAAGCTTGTGGAGCAGATCCCAAGAGTTAGCCTCCATAATCACATGAGCCAATACCTTATACAGTAGTCCCCGCTTATCTGCAGGAGATATGTTCAAGACCTCCAATGGGTGTCTAAAACCATGGATAGTACCAAACCCTGTATACACTGTTTTTTTTTTTCCTACACATATAGACCTATAATAAAGGTTAACATATTAGGCACAGTAAGAGATTAACAACAGTAATAAAATAGAACAGTTATAACAATACATTATAATAAAACATGTGAATGTGGTCTCTCTCAAAATATCTTATTGTTCTGTGGGTTACTAAAACCACGGAAAGTGAAGCAGTGGATAAGTGGGGCCTACTGTACTAGATATCTTTTTTGCATCTCACATAGACCACCTCTTTAGGCCTTCCTAATCTTTGCTTTTTAGGAAAGAGCAACACCTTAGTAACACTGACATCTCAAGCTGCTCCTCACTCACAGCCAAGGGAGGAACATCAGGGAAGGGTCCCATTTGATTGGCTCTGCTCAGGTAAGGTCATATGCCATTCTTTACACAAGGGGCATGTCATCGGGGGACATATTCCACATTTTAGTTTAAAATTCATCCAGTACTGATTCAGCCTTACTCTCAACAAACCCCTCCTGGGAGACAGCTTCCTCCAAGGTCATTAGTAACCACAGAATTCTGTCCCTGAAGAGATCATCACTTAAGTTCTACCTCAAGTCTCTGGTTCACAGTGAATCTAAGATTCTCAGGAACTTAATCAGAGCTAGTAGTCCAGCCTTGCTGCAGTGAAAGTCTCCTCAAAGGTGACTCTAAGGTTCTTAAAAACAATCTTGGAATACCATCCTGGGTGACATCCCCCACCCCTAGATCTCCATTCTCAGAAATATAACTCTTAAATTCCTTGGCTTGGCAGGTTTTGTTCCTGCAACCAGTCAGTGACCCACAATCCCAGTCTTTGAATATGGCTGGCCAGCTCCTGTGCCAAGAGGGCATTTTCTCACCCAAGGTGAATCTTGGTTCTCTAATTCCTTGGTTGGTTTCCATAATACACAGTTACTGCTGCCATTATGAAGTGTGCAGCTGATGAGGCAGTATCCACTCCAGACCTTTTGGAGCCTGCTTTATTGGTGGAAACGTGTGGTTATAGGAACATTATCCAGAGTGTGGAAACTCTAATGCCCATCACCTTCTGGGGCAAAGAAATGTAGTAGGGCCCAGATATCATACTCCGGAGAAGGACTACAGGCATTGAGCCATGGGGATTATATTTTGCACACCTAAGAAGCACTACATCTTCTCTAGTAGTATTAGGTGCTGGGATCCAATAGTAAAACCACACGACAGAACACTGGCCTCTAGCTCTGTTGTGCCATCTTTGAGAAGCATTTTCTCTGGTGTGATCAGAGCTGGGGCTCAAGCCTTATGGTTGTAGCTGTAGGATGTGATAGACCCATGGCCTAATTAGCCACCTGAGAATTCTACCAGGTATGACTGCCTTGAGCAGTTGGCTGTAGTCCATTATGATAGAGTTCTGCAGAAAACCAAATCCTTTGGGAGGCCAGTCCTCAGGGAATTCATCTTGGACAAGTTAACTTTCCTCTCAAGTGCCTACAGCCGGAATAATACATGAACTAGAGCTACACACAAACTAGGTACATATATTTTAAAAACATAATCTTGAGTGGAAACAATAACAGGCACAAAAGAATATATCTATTATGATATGTTTATTTAAAGTTCAAAAACTGGCCGAACTAAAATCTACTTGTATTGGAACACACCTGAATGTGATGAAAGTATACAGAAAAGCAAGAAAGTTATTTAAATAAAAGTCAAGATGGTGGTTACCTCTTAGGTGGGGGCTATAATGAGAAAGGAAGGACAAGATAGAGAAGGTTCTTACTGTCAGTGTTCCATTTCTTGATTTGGTGGATACAAGTGTGTTTATAATTATTCTTTAAACAATACAAATGGTTTTGGCCCATTTCTCTTAATTTATATTTAAAATAAAAGTGTTAAAAAGAAAGAATACACATTCAGGTATATAGTGGTAAAGGGGCATTCTATCTGCAACTTACCACTCTCAAATGGTTCAGGAAGAAACTACTCATTATTTCATATAAAAAATTAGAAAAGGAAAGAAAAAACGAAGAGAAAAAAGAAAGGCATACTCCAATAGAATATTTTCATCTCCTTTTATTGACAGAAATAGAAATTTGTGCTGCAGAGGCAGTAGTACCTCAGAGCATGAGAAGGTAGTCAATGGGGCTGACATGACAAGCCACAATGCTGGCCAGGGGTCCTACCATAGTGGGAGAACCAAAACCACAAAAATAGCAGGAGGTAGCAAACATCCCCAACACCCAGTGTAAGCATTTCCATTTGCAGAGAGCTTGGCCATGCATCTTAAAAACGGGGTCCCCTCACAGCTGGCAGGGTATCATGTCAGGCCACCAAATCCATCCAGAACTAACATGCAGTCTCTAATTTGGAGACTCTTTATTGTGACCAAAAGATTTGGACCATTAGAAGATCCAAGTTAATCTTTCAGCTCCTTATCCTAGGCAGAAAAAGGGGCTGAGTTCCTGAAACATCACACAAGTAGAGCTGGACAGGTGCTGATGCCCAGCCTTGCTCTAAAAGTAGTCACCATTTTCCCCGACTTCTCAACACTGCTCTCACTCAGTATGTGCCCTAGAAAACCTCTCAATGTTATAAACAAGGGACAGGATAGGGGCAGCAGCCTAGGGTATGCAGGGAATCAAAAGCTGCTACATAGCCGAGAGCATTTCACAAGAAACAGCATGGGAACACTATTGGGTCAAGGTCCTCCCGAACAGCTGCTAGAAGCACACACAAAGAAAAATGTGGTTGTTCTCCCATGTCAGGATCAGCTGAGCCAAAGTCATGGTCCAGGAAGCTGAGCCTCTTCATGTCCCTGGCAGATTATCAAACCCCATGGCATTCCCAAGCTGTTCCAGTTTTCAAGTACAATGAGGTGTCTGGGCAGTTGAGTCACAGAAAAGCAAGCACTAAAGAAATCTCAATTGATTACAAATTGATAATATTATCAAACCATAAATTTATATAGTCAAGAATTAATTGTGGGAGATGGTTATGAAGGAGGTGAGGATTTTGACACACGGAAGACTAGAAACATTTATTTATATAAACCCTTAATCATAAACCACCCTCATATCCATGAATTGGGAGGAAATTCCTTATTTAGAAATGGCCATCATCTGATTAGTCATTCAGTTGCAGTTCTCTTCAATGCTGGACACACGGTTTCCAAGGATCAAAGTCTTGAGGAGTGCTAGATCAGGAAATGGGAGAAGCAAGGCAAGGAGAAGAGGGCATCAGGAGTTGGAATTTCTGAAATGTGCATTTATCTCACAGAAGGCTTGGCACAATGAGGCTGGGGTGAGTGTGGTTTTAGTGATTGTTCTTTGTTGCCTCCTTAGCTGCAGCAATCAGTGGAGTGAGGCTGGAGAGGGGCTTGGCAATCTTCAGGAATTGATGCTAGAAAGGAGAAAAATAGCAAAAGACACATGACTATTTAACATTCTTCCCCAGTAACCATTACAAGACATAAAGGCATCTTTGTTTGTAAAGGGTGCTGTGTGGAAAGCTTCTGATCATCCCCAAATTGAAGGACATCTTAAAACAGACCACTTTGGAAAACTGTTTGGCAGCATCTACTTACAGATAAATACATCTACCTATACTCTAGTAATTCCAATCCTAGGTATATTCCCAAGAGAAATTAGTTTGTATAGCCACCAAAAGACATACACAGAAATGTTCATAAAAGATTTGCTTATAATAGCCAATAACCAGAAAGAACCCAAATGTCCAAGAGAATGGAAAAATGAATAGTGTTATATTCATATAATACTATACAGAAAATTACACAGCAATACAATAAGTAATTGGTACACTGACAAATGGGTTGAATCTCACAGACACATTAAGGGAAAGAAGCCAGACAAGCAAGTTCATATTGTATTATTCCATTTCTTCCGAGGTAAGCCTAACCATGGTGATAATCAGAATAATAATTACCTCTGGGGAAGGTATTAATAGATCATGACCCAGTAGTATATCGCAATACTGCATTTTAGGAGCATTGATCTAGGAATTTATTGTTCTATCCTCAAATCCAATAATGCTAATCATTCAGTAAAAAGTTCAGTAGCTTGGTCCTTTCCCAAATCACTTTCACTGGGCTGTACTTTGGGCCATACCTTCAACATTTAATGACTATTTAGGAGAAAATATTATATGAAAATTGCATCTAAATTTTCAGTAAAACTGTTACAGAAAGCAATTCCTTTTTTTTTTTTTTTTTTGAGACGGAGTCTCACTCTGTTGCCCAGGCTGGAGTGCAGTGGTGCGGTCTCGGCTCACTGCAACCTCCGCCTCCTGGGTTCAAGCAATTCTCCTGCCTCAACCTCCCGAATAGCTGGGACTACAGGCGCCCGCCACCACACCTGGCTAATTTTTGTATTTTTAGTAGAGACGGGGTTTTGCCATACTGTCCAGGCTAGTCTCAAACTCCTGACCTCAACTGATCCACTGGCCTCAGCCTCGCGAAGTGCTGGGATAACAGGCATGAGCCACCGTGCCTGGTCTAACAATTCCTTATGTAATTCTCAGAGCCTCTTAAAAATGGTGCTTTTTTTTCTTTTTAAACATTTAGTAGTAAAAAAGCTTTGTGTCTTAAAGCTGTAGGATGTTCTTCTATTTGATAAAAAATATAGGAGCTATCACATTTCCTTTTCTGCCCTGGCTACCAGGAAATTGAGAACCAGATTTGACCTCTAAACATAACTACTCAACTCACATGAGCATATCTGATTCTTCTGCCATACTTACAATTCCCTTGATTAGTCATATTGTATATATGTATACACACACACACACACACACACACACAGAGAGAGAGAGAGACAGAGAGAGAGAGAGAAAGAGAAAGAGAGAGAAACATATATACTAATATTCTTTGCTGAGAATTGCTGCAACTTCTGTTGGGACAGAGATAGTATAAAGAGCTACTGAGAACAAGAACGTACTATTACTATGAAAGGAATAAAAGATCCTAGCTAAATCATGAAGATATGAATTCCAATATATATCATTCTATGTATTTCTGTCTATAAGTGTGTTCTCACAGGAGAAACAGATGTGAAGCTTTTATGATTTGTGATTCTCAAAGTCATGGTTTTCAATATTTACAATGTACACCAACAAGTTAAAAAGCCAGCTTTCTCAGATCACATGTTTCTGCAATTCCCCTAAGTTGAGAGCAGCATGATCCAACATCGAATTGGGAGGCCTCAGTTTCCTTCTCTGTCTAATAAACAAAACAGACTAGATGAGCCCTAAGGGCTTCCAGTTGTGATACTCTTTGAGCCTATTAAGAGCAGTGGCCAAGAGCATACACACTTGAGAGCCAAACAGGCTGAAATCCTGGATCTGCTACTTACCAGCTATCATGGAAAAGTTACTAAACACTTGAAACCTCAGTTTTCTCACCTGTAAAAATGAGAATAGAACCTATGACTCACAGAGTTGTTGTAAAGGACAATATATAAAGTGCTTAGTGCCTAAATATATAAAGTGTTTAGTGCCTAAAATATGGTAAAGATTCAATATAACCCATTTATTACTAGTTATATTACTATATCAGGAAGAAAACTTTAGAGGTCACTAACCTTTCAAGAACTATAATTTGGTATTTAATTAAGAATGGTATCTTTACTAATCGCAGGCTTAGCATATAGTATTTACACATTTCCCAGTGCCCACAGTTTCCAGAATACAACTCTCATGAACAGCAAAAGGGGTCCTACATTGTACTAAGAGACTTTTAGTTCCAACAGATACTAGAGACTAATGGGTTATACTTGGCAGAACCCAGATCTCATAACTAATAGGCCAGTATGCCATAATCAGTAACCTCAATTACAAAGACATGCTAAGTATGTTCCAGAGGGTGATATTCCAATGTGGGTTCTTCCAGTAATTTCATTCAATTCAATAAATATATTTTGAGTACCTATCCTGAGTCAAGTCCTAGGTAAAACATGAGACTCAGGGATTAACAAAATAGAGGTTATAATCCAATAGGAAAGAGATTCATAATTAACACAGGGCAGTATGCCCTGCCCTGCCCTGCCCTGCTCTGTCACTTCTGGGCTTCATAATACGAAAGCAAATGACAGTGCATGCCTTCATAAAGTTGCATGTGATACTTACTATTAGATCACTAGTGGGCAATACAATAAAAGAACACTAGTTATAAGAAATTGTACTTGAAACATATATGTTAAATACAAATGATGCGGCCTGCTAAAGGCAATTTTTGCAACCATATAAAATTATCAGGATTAGGCAGGCAGGAGTATAAAAGGCCTAGTAAACCCCTGACTCCGGGTTTCCCCACAAACTGGCAAAATCTCACTCTCAATAAGTAGAGTATCATTGCCATTATCTGAGGATTTCCAATGAATAAAGTGTAAAGACTCCAAAAGCCACACTCACTAATTATCTTCTAAACTTATGTTCCATGGATGGGCATGGTGGCTGATGCCATGCCTGTAATTCCAGCACTTTGGGAGACTGTGGTGGGCAGATCGTTTGAGCCCAGCCTGAGCAACATGGCAAAACCCTGTCTTTACAAAAAATAGAAAAATTAGGCAGGTATGGTGGTGCACGCCTATAGTCCCAGCTACTCTGGAGGCTGAAGTGGGAAGATCAGCAGAACCTGGGGAGGTTGAGGCTACAGTGAGCCATGATTGCGCCATGCACTCCAGCCTGGGCAACAGAGAGAGATCCTGTCTCGAAAAAACAGAGCAGAAAAACTGGAAACTCTAAAAATCAGAGCGCCTCTCCTCCTCCAAAGGAACGCAGCTCCTCACCAGCAACGGAACAAAGCTGGATGGAGAATGACTCTGACGAGTTGAAAGAAGGCCTCAGATGATCAGACTACTCTGAGCTACAGGAGGAAATTCGAATCAATGGCAAAGAAGTTAAAAGCTTTGAAAAAAAATAAGATGAATGGATAACAAGAATAATCAATGCAGACAAGTCCTTAAAGGACCTGATGGAGCTGAAAACCAAGGCACGAGAGCTACGTGACGAATGCAGAAGCCTCAGGAGCCGATGCGATCAACTGGAAGAAAGGGTATCAGTGATGGAAGACGAAATGAATGAAATGAAGCGAGAAGAGAAGTTTAGAGAAAAAAGAATAAAAAGAAACGAACAAAGCCTCCAAGAAATATGGGACTATGTGAAAAGGCCAAATCTACGTCTGATTGGTATACCTGAAAGTGACGGGGAGAATGGAACCAAGTTGGAAAACACTCTGCAGTATATTATCCAGGAGAACTTCCCCAATCTAGCAAGGCAGGCCAACATTCAAATTCAGGAAATACAGAGAATGCCACAAAGATACTCCTCGAGAAGAGCAACTCCAAGACACATAATTGTCAGATTCACCAAAGTTGAAATGAAGGAAAAAATGTTAAGGGCAGCCAGAGAGAAAGGTCGGGTTACCCACAAAGGGAAGCCCATCAGACTAAAAGCTGATCTCTCAGCAGAAACTCTACAAGCCAGAAGAGAGTGGGGGCCAATATTCAACATTCTTAAAGAAAAGAATTTTCAACCCAGAATTTCATATCCAGCCAAACTAAGCTTCATAAGTGAAGGAGAAATAAAATCCTTTACAGACAAGCAAATGCTGAGAGATTTTGTCACCACCAGGCCTGCCTTACAAGAGCTCCTGAAGGAAGCACTAAACATGGAAAGGAACAACCAGTACCAGCCACTGCAAAAACATGCCAAATTGTAAAGACCATCAAGGCTAGGAAGAAACTGCACCAACTAACGAGCAAAATAACCAGCTAACATCATAATGACAGGATCAAATTCACACATAACAATATTAACTTTAAACGTAAATGGGCTAAATGCTCCAATTAAAAGACACAGACTGGCAGACTGGATAAAGAGTCAGGACTCATCAGTGTGCTGTATTCAGGAAACCCATCTCACGTGCAGAGACACACATAGGCTCAAAATAAAGGGATGGAGGAAGATCTACCAAGCAAATGGAAACCAAAAGAAGGCAGGGATTGCAATCCTAGTCTCTGATAAAACAGACTTTAAACCAACAAAGATCAAAAGAGACAAAGAAGGCCATTACATAATGGTAAAGGGATCAATTCAACAACAAGAGCTAACTATCCTAAATATATATGCACCCAATACAGGAGCACCCAGATTCATAAAGCAAGTCCTTAGTGACCTACAAAGAGACTTAGACTCCAACACAATAATAATGGGAGACTTTAACACCCCACTGTCAACATTAGACAGATCAACGAGACAGAAAGTTAACAAGGATACCCAGGAATTGAACTCAGCTCTGCAACAAGAGGACCTAATAGACATCTACAGAACTCTCCACCCCAAATCAACAGAATATACATTCTTTTCAGCACCACACCACACCTACTCCAAAATTGACCACATAGTTGGAAGTAAAGCACTCCTCAGCAAATGTAAAAGAACAGAAATTATAACAAACTGTCTCTCAGACCACAGTGCAATCAAACTAGAACTCAGGATTAAGAAACTCACTCAAAACTGCTCAACTACATGGAAACTGAACAACCTGCTCCCGAATGACTACTGGGTAAATAATGAAATGAAGGCAGAAATAAAGATGTTCTTTGAAACCAACGAGAACAAAGACAACATACCAGAATCTCTGGGACACATTCAAAGCAGTGTGTAGAGGGAAATGTATAGCACTAAATGCCCACAAGAGAAAGCAGGAAAGATCTAAAATTGACACCCTTACATCACAATTAAAAGAACTAGAAAAGCAAGAGCAAACACATTCAAAAGCTAGCAGAAGGCAAGAAATAACTAAGATCAGAGCAGAACTGAAGGAAATAGAGACACAAAAAACCCTTCAAAAAATTAATGAATCCAGGAGCTGGTTTTTTGAAAGGATCAACAAAATTGATAGACCGCTAGCAAGACTAATAAAGAAGAAAAGAGAGAAGAATCAAATAGACGCAATCAAAAATGATAAAGGGGAGATCACCACCGATCCCACAGAAATACAAACTACCATCAGAGAATACTATAAACACCTCTATGCAAATCAACTAGAAAATCTAGAAGAAATGGATAAATTCCTCGACACATACATCCTCCCAAGACTAAACCAGGAAGAAGCTGAATCTCTGAATAGACCAATAACAGGATCTGAAATTGAGGCAATAATCAATAGCTTACCAACCAAAAAGAGTCCAGGACCAGATGGATTCACAGCCGAATTGTACCAGAGGTACAAGGAGGAAATGGTACCATTCCTTCTGAAACTATTCCAATCAACAGAAAAAGAGGGAATCCTCCCTAACTCATTTTATGAGGCCAGCATCATCCTGATACCAAAGCCTGGCAGAGACACAACAAAAAAAGAGAATTTTAGCCAATATCCTTGATGAACATCGATGCAAAAATCCTCAGTAAAATACTGGCAAACCGAATCCAGCAGCACATCAAAAAGCTTATCCGCCATGATCAAGTGGGCTTCATCCCTGGGATGCAAAGCCAGTTCAACATACGCAAATCAATAAATGTAATCCAAGGTATAAACAGAACTAAAGACAAAAACCACATGATTATCTCAATAGATGCAGAAAAGGCCTTTGACAAAATTCAACAACCCTTCATGCTAAACACTCTCAATAAATTAGGTATTGATGGGACATATCTCAAAATAATAAGAGCTATCTATGACAAACCCACAGCCAATATCATACTGAATGGGCAAAAACTGGAAGCATTCCCTTTGAAAACTGGCACAAGACAGGGATGCCCTCTCTCACCACTCCTATTCAACATAGTGTTGGAAGTTCTGGCCAGGGCAATCAGGCAGGAGAAGGAAATAAAGGGCATTCAATTAGGAAAAAAAGAAGTCAAATTGTCCCTGTTTGCAGATGACATGATTGTATATTTAGAAAACCCCATCATCTCAGCCCAAAATCTCCTCAAGCTGATAAGCAACTTCAGCTAAGTCTCAGGATACAAAATCAATGTACAAAAATCACAAGCATTCTTATACACCAATGACAGACAAACAGAGAGCCAAATCATGAGTGAACTCCCATTCACAATTGCTTCAAAGAGAATAAAATACCTAGGAATCCAACTTACAAGAGATGTGAAGGACCTCTTCAAGGAGAACTACAAACCACTGCTCAATGAAATAAAAGAGGATACAAACAAATGGAAGAACGTTCCATACTCGTGGGTAGGAAGAATCAATATCGTGAAAATGGCCATACTGCCCAAGGTAATTTATAGATTCAATGCCATCCCCATCAAGCTACCAATGACTTTCTTCACAGAATTGGAAAAAACTACTTTAAAGTTCATATGGAACCAAAAAAGAGCCCGCATCGCCGAGTCAATCCTAAGCCCAAAGAACAAAGCTGGAGGCATCACACTACCTGACTTCAAACTATACTACAAGGCTACAGTAACCAAAACAGCATGGTACTGGTACCAAAACAGAGATATAGACCAATGGAGCAGAACAGAGCCCTCAGAAATAACGCCGCATATCTACAACTATCTGATCTTTGACAAACGTGACAAAAACAAGCAATGGGGAAAGGATTCCCTATTTAATAAATGGTGCTGGGAAAACTGGCTAGCCATATGTAGAAAGCTGAAACTGGATCCCTTCCTTACACCTTATACAAAAATTAATTCAAGATGGATTAGAGACTTAAATGTTAGACCTAAAATGATAAAAACCCTAGAAGAAAACCTAGGCAATACCATTCAGGACATAGGCATGGGCAAGGACTTCATGTCTAAAACACCAAAAGCAATGGCAACAAAAGCCAAAATTGACAAATGGGATCTAATTAAACTAAAGAGCTTCTGCACAGCAAAAGAAACCACCATCAGAGTGAACAGGCAACCTACAGGATGGGAGAAAATTTTTGCAACCTACTCATCTGACAAAGGGCTAATATCCAGAATCTACAACGAACTCAAACAAATTTACAAGAAAAAAACAAACAACCCCATCAAAAAGTGGGCGAAGGATATGAACAGACACTTCTCAAAAGAAGACATTTACATAGCCAAAAAACACATAAAAAATGCTCATCATCACTGGCCATCAGGGAAATGCAAATCAAAACCACAATGAGATACCATCTCACACCAGTTAGAATGGCGATCATTAAAAAGTCAGGAAACAACACGTGCTGGAGAGGATGTGGAGAAATACGAACACTTTTACACTGTTGGTGGGAGTGTAAACTAGTTCAACCATTGTGGAAGTCAGTGTGGCAATTCCTCAGGGATCTAGAACTAGAAATACCATTTGACCCAGCCATCCCATTACTGGGTATATACCCAAAGGATTATAAATCATGCTGCTGTAAAGACACATGCACACGTATGTTTATAGTGGCACTATTCACAACAGCAAAGACTTGGAACCAACCTAAATGTCCAACAACGATAGACTGGATTAAGAAAATGTGGCACATATACACCATGGAATACTATGCAGCCATAAAAAATGATGAGTTCATGTCCTTTGTAGGGACATGGATGAAACTGGAAACCATCATTCTCAGCAAACTATTGCAAGGACAAAAAACCAAACACTGCATGTTCTCACTCATAGGTAGGAAATGAACAATGAGAACACATGGACACAGGAAGGGGAACATCACACACCCGGGACTGTTGTGGGGTCAGGGGAGGGTGGAGGGATAGCATTAAGAGATATACCTAATGCTAAATGACGAGTTAATGGGTACAGCACACCAACATGGTACATGTATACATATGTAACAAACCTGCACGTTGTGCACATGTACCCTAAAACTTAAAAGTATAATAATAATAAAATGTAAAAAAAAAAGAATTAAAAAAAAAGAAAGAAAAATAAAACATAAATAAAATAAAATAAACTTATGTTCCTTTGCTAAAAATGTATCCTTTGAGCTAATCCCAGCAAAATATAAGTTGTGTAAGATTTGGGTGTCAGAGACCCGTTTCTCAACAAGACTCAAACAAACTCTGCCAGACTAATTCAAACAGAACAAAGGAAGTGCTAATGAAAGATACAAGCAGGCTGGTCATGGTGGCCCATGCCTGTAGTCCCAGCACTTTGGGAAAGCGAAGTGCGCAGATCGCTTGAACCCAGGAATTTGAGACCATGCACGGCCAACATAGCAAAACCCCGTCTCTACAAAAAAGTTTTTAAAAAACTAGCCAGGTATGGTGGCGTGCACCTGTAGTCTGAGCTACCTGGGAGGCTGAGGTGGGAAGATCACTTGAGTGAACCCAGGAGAGGAAGACTGCAGTGAGACAAAATCACGCCATTGCACACTCCTGCCTGGGTGACAGAGTGAGACCCTGTGGGGCGTGAGAGGAAGGGGGAGAGGGAAGAGGGGGGGGAAAGGGAAGGGAAGGGAAAGGAAGGGAAGGGAAGGGAAGGGAAGGGAAGGGAAAGGAAGGGAAGGAAAGGGAAAGGAAGAAGAAAGGAAAGGAAGGAAGGAAGCAAGCAAAAAAGCTACAAGCAAAGCTCAATAGGTGCTCAGAAAATAGATTGTAAACTGAGCCTAGGAGAACGTGTAGAGTTTTAACAGGCTGAGAAAGGCTAAGAAAATAAATGAGCAAAGGCCCAGGGATAAAAGGGCAGTAGGAACAGAGTGAGTGTAGGAAGTGGTAGAAGAGAAGCCTAGTTCTATAATATCCAGTACCTTACAAACATGAAGTAAAAAAGGCCTGGTTTAGTGATTCCCTGAATTAGGTGCTTCCCTGCATAAGGACAGTTACCTGTAGCAGCTCTTTAGCTGAACCTCTCTTCTCCACATCCATCTCGAGACAGCGGTTCAGAAAGTCCCGGAAGATAGCTGACAGCTTCTCTGGGTTCTGAAGTTCTGGGGTCCCATTGGTGGCAATGAGGTACAAGGCCTGGCAATAAAAATGGTGAATCACCTTGAGCTCCAAATGAGGCTCTCTCTTGTTCCCCATATACAAGTTCTAGAAATATGGTCAGCTGCTTTATGCTCTAGGATGCAAAGTAGCAGCTGTGTATATATACTGGAAAGAGTATGACCTAAGGATCAGGTTGAACATTTAAAGGCCATGGGACTATGTACAACTTCCCTGTCTGTAAAGTAGGGATGATGATAATGCCCATCTCACATGTCTGTAAAAATAAAATAAGATAGTGTATTTGAAAGTACTTTGTAAACTTATGAAATATGTTACAGACCTAAGGGTTTATTCTTCTTCTTCTTTTTTTTTTTTTTTTTTTTTGAGATGGAGTCTTGCTCTGTCGCCCAGGCTGGAGTGCAGTGGCACGATCTTGGCTCACTGCAACCTCCACCTCCCAGGTTCAAGCAATTCTCCTGACTCAGCCTCCCAAGTAGCTGGGATTACAGGCACCAGCCACTACACCCGACTGCTTTTCGTATTTTCAGTAGAGACGGGGTTTTACCATGTTGGCCTGGCTGGTCTCAAACTCCTAGACTCAAGTGATCCTCCTGCCTCAACCTCCCAAAGTGCTGGGATTACAGGCGTGAGTCACTGTGCCTGGCTTTATTATTATTCTTGCTTACACATCTGAAGGGTTTATTATCCATTTAGCCTGTTGAGTTAAACATCTGCCCAGCTGCTGGCAGAAATTATTCCTGGTGCCTTCACCTCAGTCATCCAAGAACTGATCTCTTCTAGCAGGAAAGGAATATTAAATGTAAGTGAAAACTGTTGCCACCCTAGTCCCCTAAATGAAGCGTCTCCTGGGAAAGGTAAAGAAAAACAGTAAGACTAAATCTTTACAAGCACTCAGCACTTAATTCAAAGAGTACTTACATAAGCACTGTCTAATTTAATGGCCACAATTAACTCTGGGTAATAGGGCAAGACTTATCATCTTCACTTCACAGATAGGGTCCGGAAACATAAAAAGATATGTCTAGGGCCGGGCGTGGTGGCTCACTCCTGTAATCCCAGCACTTTGGGAGGCTGAGGTGGGTGGATCACCTGAGGTCAGGAGTTCGAGACCATCGAGAACAGCCTGACCAATATGGCGAAATGTGGTCTCTACTAAAAATACAAAACTTAGCTGGGCATGGTGGCAGGTGCCTGTAATCCCAGCTACTCAGGAGGCTGAGGCAGGAGAATCGCTTGAACCTGGGAGGTGGAGGTTGCGGTGAGCTGAGATCACACCATTGCACTCCAGCCTAGGTGACAGAGTGAGACTCCATCTCAAAAAAAAAAATAAAATAAAAATAAAAAAATAAAAAAATATGCCTATGTCTAGGATCATTCTGTCTTATTTCCAACATATCCCAGCAATTATCATCTTCAAATATCTGCAAGGCCGTTCTAAGGGAGGGAAGAGTATGTTGTATGTGGAGTCAGAGGCAAAGCTGGGATCAAAGGATAGAAACTACAGAAGGTAGTTTCAGTTTGGTGCACTGAAGCAATTTCCAATAATCAGAGATATTCAAGGATGACATGAGCATGTAGATGACCACCTACCAGCAACAGTGCACAGGGAATTCCTGCACTGGATGGGAGGTGGGAATAAATGAGAAAATAAAAGCAATCAGAATAAATTTCACATTTGCCCACACCAAGATTACCAACCTATTTGCACCTGTGTTGAGATGCTCTGTTACAAGGGATAAATTGTCCATGCTAATCTAATGTCCTTTACTTCAGTACTTGATCGAACCCCTCTCATCGACTTAAGGATATCACTTCTATGGTTGTCACTTCCTTCTTGTACATGACCATTTTCCTCCTCTCCACTAAATCATTCCCATTAGCACACAGACATCATCTTTTAGAAAAACCCTCCCTTGACTCCATTTTAAGATAGTGCTCCATTTTTGTTACCCTTCCCAGCAAAATTCCTTTAAGAGAAAAAAAAACCTGTTTATACATGCCATCTCAATGTCCTCTTCTTCCACTTTCATGAATTTAATTAGACTTTCATCCCCATCTCTCTACTGATAACTGATTATTAAGGTCATTAAGAACCTCTACATTGGCAAATCCAATGTTCATTTCTCAGTCTCATCTTAACCTATCAATCACATTTGACACATAATCTACCCTCCTCCTCCTTCGGGAAGCACACTGTTCTCTTCATCTCCAGGACACTTCACCTCCAAGACACTTCTCTGTTCTCTCACACTAGAAAGGCCACTCCTTGGTCTACTTTGCTAGTTCTTCCAACCTGTAAACAGTGGAATAACCTAGAGCTCAGTACTCAAATCTCTTTTCTTTAACTGTACTCATTCCCTAGGTGAGTGATCTCATCTACCTACTATATATACCAACTATATATTATCTACTAATAAATTTATGTTTATAGTCCTGACTTCTCACCCTTGAACTCCAGACTCTTAAGCCAAACTCTACTCCAGCTCCACTTAAATGTCCAATTAACACTTCAAATCAGCACATTCAAAACCAACTCTTTATTACCCAACTTAAGTATGCTCTTCACCATTTCAACAGATGGCAACTGAATTTTTTCAGCAATTCAGACCAGAAATCTTGTAGTCATTGCTGATTCCTCTTTCTCTAATATTCAGTTCATCTTGTCAGCTAGTCCTTTAATTTCCTGAATCTGACCACTTCTCACTTCCACTCCTACCAAGACACCACCACTCTGAACTATTACAACAGTCTCTCGCAGTCTATTTTCCATAAAAGCGGCCAAAATGATCTGTTTAAAACATAAATCAGATCACATTACTCCTCAGCTCAAAACCCTCTAATGACTTCCCAACTCTGCAGAATAAAATAACTTATAAGAGAGAACTTCCCTCTCTACTCTAAAATAGCACACCTGTTCCTCCATTACTCTGTTAACTCCCTTACTTTGCTTTTTCTCACAGCATTTACCATCTGTTACTACATATTAATTTATTTTATTTTCATTAGAATAGTTTCTTGCACTTGACAGGGACTCAAATAATTGTTGAATAAATGAATGAGTGACTTCTAATATTCCTTTTCTTTGGCCATTTATACTTTAAGTTCAACAGTGACTAGTTGTATCCAGAAAAGGGATCTCCAGGTTGAAAACCACAGAGAACACCCTGGATTCTTATTTCCTGGGACTAGAGACAACAGCCCAAATAACTTGAAATAGAACTGGTAACACTCACTCTCAGAGGGTTTTCATTGAGGTATGGAGGCTCCCCTTCAATCATTTCGATGGCCATGATGCCCAGGGACCAGATGTCAACCTTGGGCCCATAGGCCTTTCGTGTCACAACCTCTGGTGCCATCCAGTATGGGGTTCCTACCATGGTGCTCCGTTTGCTCTGCTCTGGGGTTATCTGTGCACAGAATCCAAAGTCAGCTAGAAAAGAAAAATAAGAGAAAGAACATACATTTAGGATATACACTCACTTCAGTAAGTGTTGACTGTGTACCTACACATAGGTGACAAGATCCGCCTGGCTTCCAGCTCTGCTATCCTTTGTCTCTCCAAAGTCACTTGACTACCACCTTCATGTCTAGCTCCTAGCCTATTTCCTATTGAACCCTGAAGAGAAATAGAAGGAATATAAGAAACACCATCTCTGGCCTCCTACTTCTCCTCAAACCAGGGGACTTAGTGTTAAAGTCCAAGCTGCCCATTTTGGTCTTGATTGCTCATCCCAATTCTGCTTTGTTCTTGAAAAACCATTCCCATAATCCCAAATCTGGCGACTAGGTCCTTGTCTTATTCCTTGGGCACGAGTCCTTGATTTAAACCCCAATCACCTATGACTAGGCATGGCCCTGTTTTTATGCCCCAGACCCAGGGCTGCTAGCAGTCCTTCCATAAACTGCCCATCCACCCATGACACAGCCTGTTTGTCTGGTCTACTGGTCTTTACACCTTTGAACAAAATGCTCTACCTGCCATGGTTTTTACATTATATTGCAATTATAAATTTATTTAAATTAGGAAGCCTTTGAGAGTATGGATTATGTCCTCTTACTTGTCCTCATATCCCTAGAAGGACCAGCATGTACTGGACATTCAATAAAAGTTTGCTGAATAACTGAATGAAAGAAATTATACAAAACTCTTTTTTCTAATTATCTATTACACGTTTTCCATACTAGATTGAGAAGGTAGGGAAAATTTACTCTCAGTGCCCATCACAGGACCTAGCACAGAGTAACCATTCAGCAAAGTTTTTTGTGGTTGTTGTTAAATGTATAAATGAATGAAAAAATAATGAAATGATATCCTATGATTAATACAGAAAATATAAAACAGCCCTCATATCCCATGAAATCATAAAGACCCTTTGGTGAGTGTCGTAGTTACTATTATATGATGACCATCTCACAGGAGACAGGGCCCCACAGGCAGAGAAGTATTATCATTCCTAAGGCTCCTACTTACTTAGCTTGACAGAGCCATCCATTCCCAACAGAATATTGTCACTCTTGATGTCTCTGTGAATGACCTGGTTCGAATGCAAGAACTCCAGAGCCTGCAGACACTATTGAAGTGGTGTGGGCAGGGGGAGAAAGAAAGGACATACATATAATACAGAAGACTTAATAGAAAATCCACTAATTCAACCTCTTCACTTTAAAATAAAGGAAGTAAGGCCCCAGTGAGTAAAAGGACTTGCCCCAAATCAATCGCAGAGCCAGATCTAGAAACAAGTCTTCCATCTCCTAGCTAAACATTCTTTTAACACTCCATGCTGCCTTTCACCTTAAAACAGTTTTTTTAAGTAAAGGAGTTCCTCCAATGTAATTTTTTTTCTAATTAGATCCTTGGTAAAGGACCTAAGGCCCAAGAGAAATTACTGAAGAAAAATGGAAAGGATCTTATAATGACAGACCAGAGGAAAACAACAAATAAGGGTCATATTTGAGGAAGCAGACATATGGAAGTGATACTAGAAGCAGTAAGTTAGCAGGATAATCTTATTTTGGTGAGGAGATATTTTGTACTATTTTGGATATGCTGAATTTGATATCTGAAGACAAATGTCTGGTAGGCAACTTAATTTATGATAAATTATGGTAAATATTTACAAGTCATTTGGGAAGAGATGATTTTTGTTTAAGTTATAAAAATGGTTGAACCCGGCAAAGGGTAAAGGAGAAAGAGAAGAATCTTGGAAAACACCTATACTTAGCAGGCAGAATGAGTAATAAAGAGACACAATGGTACAATTAAAATGCCTGGTTCTGCTGCTACCCCATTGACTATATAATTCTGGACTTCCATCTATAAAATTTGGGAATCAGATGAGATCATCTCAGCTTTTCTACTAAATCAATAATTTGATTTCATTGACCCAAAACTAATTTTTTAGAAACTTCTACCAATTAAAAAACACTAAAGATATAAGTGAACAGGAAAATACTATTTAAATGGTCCTAACCTAATACTTTACTTTCTAAGAATATACCAATGGCTAAAGTAAGAATAAAACAATATCCAGAATTGGATTTTCCCTGAAAATGTAAGAGCTGCTCTTCTTAGAAGGGTGGAGAAACAGGTCTCAGGATGTCAGAAATTATGATGAAAAAGAATTATCTTGAGAAACTGGAACCCTCATACATTGCTGGCAGGAACGTAAAACAGTACAGCTACTACGGAAACAGTTTGGCAGTTCCTCAAAAGTTGAGTATAGAGTTGCCATATGACCAGCAATCCACCTGTAGTTATATATCCAAGAGAATGAGAACATACCTCCACACAAAAACTGGTATATAAGTGTTCATAGAGTAATTTTTTATTTTTTATAACAGCCGAAAACAGAAACAACCCAAATGTCCATTCTATTACTTGGCAATAAAAAGGAATGAGGTACTGATACATGCTACAAAATGGATGAATCTTTGAAACATAATGCTAGCTAAGTAAAAGAAGCCAATTACAAAAGAGCAAATATTACATGATTCCATTTATATAAAATGCCCAGTACAGGGAAACTACAGAGGTAGAAAATAGATTAGTGGTTACATAGGGCTGGGAGAGTCAGGGCAGGGGACATGGGGAGTGACTGTTAATGGATATTAATTTCCTCTTTGGGGTGATAAAAAGGATCTAAAATTCATTATGATGGTGGCTGTACAACTCTATGAATATACTAAAAACTAGTGAATTATATACTCTAAATGGGTGAATTATATCTCAATAAAGATTTTTTAAAAGGAGAAGATGATCTCTATTAGAACTGAAGAATAGTAATACCATCTATTATACAACATTAACATTTTTTTCCAAGTGCTTTTTGATCCATATAGCACCCCTAAGGTATATATAGTGTGAATGTTGCAATTTCCATTTTACAGATTAATAATGAGGCAAAATGATTTCCCAAAGTATACATATGCATGTATTCTCAACTAGTGAAACTTCGTTCCTGAGGGTAAGGGGGTGGGGTGAAAAAAATCTTAGGTATTACAATGGTTTATGACCCAAACAGCTTAGCTATATATCTGTGATATTACAATTTCATGGCAGGGAGTATGATTAGGAAAAAGCCTCCTTAAGAAGGAGATAATGAAAAGAAGGTTACGAAATACTGCATTAGTAGTGGAACAAAAAAAAAAGTCAGAACCCCTAAGAATCCCAGCCTGGTATTAATTCCATTAATTAATTCCAATTACTTGTGAACATTCTAGATCCCAAAGTTGTTTGCAAAGGGGACCATTATTTTCTAGGGCAGTATTGATTTCACATTTTATTTTTCTTAACACTGATTAAATATATAACTACATAATTTCAGCAGTATGCCTTCAGCTCTTGCACCATCAAACCCCCATCATACTATTATACTCATCTCCACAAAATTCTGAACCTCATCTCATCTTCTATGCTTCCCCTAATTTCCTAACTTTTCTACTAGGTTGGTGCAAAAGCAATTGTGGTTTTGGTATTTTTTTTTTTTTAAGTAATGGCAAAAACCGCAATTACTTTTGCATTATTGGGCCATCAGAAAGTCCAGTCTGTCATCAGCAAAACACCCAATATCCTCAATGTCTCTGAATATTCCCTTCATCTTTTTGCTCTAATGGAAATGAAATGTGGTTATTCCCTGAGGACACTGTCCAGGCTTTCTGGAGGGCTTTTCTTCCTCCTACATCAGCGTATTATCAATTCTAGACATTTAATAGCAATGAGGAGAAAGGGAGTATCTATTTGAGCTTTGTTTTCTTTTTTTATTTTCCTGGAAGTATTTTACCCTAGATTTTTGCTGGCTTGCTTTTATATATCATTCAGATGTTTACTCAAATCTATAGCAAAACCTTCCCTGACTGTCTTGTCTAAAATAGTACTTCCTCCATCACTACCTTCTTACTCTGTTTTATTTTCCTTATAGCACATAAATAAAGCAAGAAAGCAGAATAAAAATGATTGAAATATATGCCCAGATAAAAGAGATAAAGGAATATATTATAACGTGCTTAGGCAAGTGGTTATCTCTAAGACTGGAATTATGAGTGACTTTTTACAATATATACTTTCTAGTACTTTATAATTTTTCTACAATGGGTAGAATAAAGTTATCGTTAAAAAAAAAATCATGGTGATAGAAATGACAAACACAGGTACAATACAGGAATGATAGCAGTGTCAGCACTAATTTCTACCAATTCCACAGAGCCCAGGCTGAGATCTCACTGTACAGGGAACTTCAGGAGACAGGAATATGGAGGCAGCTTTCTACCCAAGACTGCTTGGCCCTTGGCCTTACCTCACGGCACACAGCTGCAATTTGGCCTTCATCCATGCAAGTTTCTGTCACCACATCTGTCAAGGAGCCTCCAGCCAAGTATTCCATAACAACCCACAGCTCATCTCCCACGAGGTAACTGCAGGAATACAGATAAAGGGTGAGAGAGAACAATCAGAGTACACTGAGCCATAGCACTGGGTTTCAAAGGCTAAGCATATACACAGAGTGAAACTACGTCTTAGCACAAAGTAAAGTAAAAGGTTCTTTACTTTGGGGAAAAGCAGAATCTGGGGAACAGAATCACTAACTTTGAATCTCTCAAGGATGCTCCTGGAGAAAACCAAGTATACATGTTCTGTGAAGCCCCAAAGGGCAGAACTAAGATCTCTAGCTTGAAGTGATACAATAAAATTATATTTCATCACAACACAAAGGAAGACATCCTAAAATTAGAAAGACTGACATGATTCCCACACCTCTAGAAGCATCCAAACATTTGACAAAGATAGGATTTAGAGTCCATGTTACCCAAAGAAGAGAGAGCTACTAAACCTCCCAGAGAGTCCTACCAGATCTGAGATCTATGAGACCAAGTATTGGGTCTTGTTCAAGACTCTATCCTCAGAGTCCAGCACAGCAGATGCCAATATTTACTAAATAAATCACTGAAAAAATAAAAGATAACTATAAATATTAAACGAAATAATGTTTATAGGAGCCCCTTAAAAGCTGCAAAGTGTTGTATACATAGTCATTATGCTGACAATTGACCTCTACTTTGAGTGTCTGTGGTTCAAGAATGGAATGAATTTAGCAAGGGCTTATGGAGCCAAAGCCTTCTGATAAGCCAAGACTACCATTTAGTAAGATATCCCCAGAGAGATTATGGGCTGACATGAGTTAGAAGTGATAGTTTCACTCAGGAGTTGGATCACTCAACCCTATTACACGATAAATAAAAAGGTCACTTAGCCTATTTGGTCAATGTTTCCTTACTATAGAATCAGACAAATAAAAACAAGGCGAGCCTAGAGCCCTAAAGTCTTCTGCCAGTCTTGGACAAAGAAGCTGGATTGGAAAAAAACATTTCTTGCATTGGCTTGAACTGTGTGGTATCATCTTATCTTCATCCTGATATTGGGAATACTGCTGGACAGATGTGGAGACTGTTGGAAGATTTTAACAAATGCAATCAAGCAAGGGTAAGATTTGAATCCTATTTTTTTGACTACTAATCGACAGCTCTTTCCATAAAACTCTGTGTTCTGATTTATAATTTTTTAATGTCCTGACTAATAAACATGACAGACTAAGTGTTTCTTCAACAATCTCTTTTGAGAGAGAAGACTATGGGGATTTGAACTGCTATGGTCTGAATGTTTGTGTCCCTCAAAATTTATATGTTGAAAATCTAATCACTAATGTTATTAGGAGGTGGGGCCTTTGGAAGGTGATTACATCATGAGGGTTCTGCCCATGAGTTCATCCATATGTGATGGAGTTCCCCTCTGGGACATCTCACAAAAACCACAGACCCTCATTTGCAACACCTTCACTGAATGCTCAGGTTAATGTCCTCTTCCATGACCTTACAGAGGTATTTTTTTTTTTTCTATACCAGACCAGGAACTATTTGAGGGCAAAGATAGCATTATTTACTTCTAATTTCCAGAGTAAAAGTCTCTGGGAATACTGGTAAAGATATGATTAATAAACAAATCTATAAGTCTCTTAATCCTACTCCCAGAACACAAATTCCTTCAATAACATCGTTTTATCATGTAGATGCATCCACTGATGGGGAACTCACCATTTTGTGAGACAGGCCATACCCTTACTGACAGCTTTCATTTTTCCATATCCTGAACCAAAATCTAATACCCCTGTCGCCTTCAGTAGTTTGCATGAGCTATATTCTCTGTATAATAAGTTCTGAAAGAGATGATAAGGTACTAACTTTCAGAGGATTCTTCAGAGCCAGTCAGGACCCACATTAAGGAGACACAGCCATCTCAAAGAAGAAGGCTTTATTCTTTATAGTGTTGGGAATGTCAAAGTTCAACTCTTTTCTTCTTTAAGGAAACTGAAGCTTACTAGTGTTTTAGATGCAGAACAAGAAGGCGCCCTTATGAAATCTACCAGTAACAGGAAGAGGTAGCTGGTCATGCAATATAAGAGGTAAAGAAATTAGAGTCCAAGATTTAGTCCAATTTCACCTCCACCTACGATGTCTCTGAACCCTGGGCAAGAAGCTTAACTTTTTTTTTTTTTCAGGTATCGGAGAAAAGAACATGATAAAATAGAAAGGTGCTAGATATTGGTGCTAGGAATATTCAAATTCAAAACACTGCTTTGCTGTTTTATGGCTTACTACTCTTGGACAAGTTATTAACGTCTATAAACCTCAGTTTCCTTGTCTGTAAAATATGGATAAAAAAACCCTACCTCACAATGAGATACTGTTCATGAAAGTGCTTGGTACAAAGTAAAGCACAATACAAATATTATATACAACCACTATTACTATTTTGCAAAAAAATTTTGATGGGCTGGAATGATGGGCTAAAATAATAAAAATGGGACTTAATGAAGATAGTGAAAAAGTTCCACATTTCCAGTTTAATGCAAGCTTACGTAAAAAAAAAAAAAAAAATCAGAAATTTTAGTTGACTGCAAACTTACTGGGAGTCAAAGCAGACAACCTAAAAGATAAAACAAGAATGAAATCATTAAGCTGTGTTGAGTTTAGAAAGAGTCCCACTCTCTCCATAGTGGTCAGATCTCAAATGAAACATCTAGTTCTGCACACTGCATTTTAAGAGAACATAAACAAACAACAAGTTATTCAGGAGGATGAGCAGAATAAGGAAAGATTTGGGATGTAAAATGAGTTAAGGACCTAGATGTTTGACTCAGGCAGATGGGTTGGTAGGTTTCCCTTAGGCAAAACAAACAGTACGAGGATCAACTGTTAGAAGCTACACGGTGGTAGAGTTCAGCCTAACACAGAAGGATTTCCCAGCAAAAAAGGTGTCCAGCATTACACAGGGTCACATACAGAGAGCTCAGCATCACAGAAGACTCATAAATGGAGGCAGTTCTGAGGGCTGGCACTGCCCTCTTCTCTAACAGCTTCACCACCAATCAGTCCCAAAGGCCCTTTCCCTCTGATGGGACCCACCACTCCATACCTGTCCAAGTAATTCACAATGTTTGGGTTCTTGTTTTCCCTCATGACCAGGATCTCATTAATAATCAGCTCTTTCTTGGGCTGCTGCTGAAGATTCATCTGCTTAATGGCCACCTGAAATCAAGAGTATATTCAATGTGCAACCATAGTCATTCCCATTTATTGAGCACCTGCTAAGTACCAGACCTTAAGTACTCAGGAAACAAAGATGAGTAAGATACAGTCTTAGCCCTCGAGTAATTCACAGTTTGTCTATGTAGACCAGTGGTCTTCAAAGTGAGGTCTCAAGCCAGCATCATCATCATCTGGGAGCTTGTTGGAAATAAAAACCTCGGGTCCCACCCCAAATCTACTAAATCAGAAGCTCTGTGATGTAAAAAGTCCTCCAGGTCACTGTGATACACATCAAAGTTTCAGAATCAAACTTTGGTGTAGAAAAATACTTTTAAAAAGTCACAACAGAAAAGAGATGCTATAACAGAGGCTCATACAAAATGCTAGCGAAACATAAAATACGGCAAAAGCCAAGAATGCTTTCAATCTGGCTAGGTATAGAGGCTTCATAAAGGGGGAAGTGACTTTCTGAACCTGGCGTAGAAAGATAAATCAGAGTTGATCAGGTTAAGAAAGAAGAGAAAAGGAGGATGAGAGCTCTATCTACAGAAATAAAAACAAATTTCCAGACAACATGAATATATGGTATACGTTAGTTTCTAAGGTACTTGGTATCAATTCCTTCTATGTGTAAGGTACTATTATAAGGTGTTCTCAAATTTGTTATTTCATTTAATCTTCAAAGACACCTTGTGTGCTAAATATTACTAATGATTCAACAGACGGGGAAACTGTGTTTCAGAGAGGATGTGACTTGCATACATAGCTATTCAATAGCAAAATCAGGATTAGAACCCTCAAAAGGGATGTCAAGTTATCCTGTACATGTAGCCAGATTAATTTTCCCCCACAGTACACATTTGATAACCTTGTTCAAAAACTTACATGGCTCCTGGTTGCCTAGAAATGCTTCTCAGTACAACATTCAAAGTTCTCATGATCTGGCCCCTACTTTACTTCCAACTCTATTCCTTCACAGAGGAGAGTGTTCATGGAGAACACTCCATGTTCTCCCTGGTATCTAGTCCCCCTTCCTTTGTTCAGAATCTTCTCTTCATCTGGAACAGCCTGTATCATTTCCATACATTCAAAAGCTACTTACTCTTTTTGTATCAGGCCAAAGGAAACTTCATTCTCCAAACCCAATATGCCTTTTCCCTTCTTTAAAGCCCTATAAGATCATATTTATCCCTCTCTTATGGAACTTACAACTTGCTATCATGTATAATGATTAGTGTGTATGTTTGTGTGTATTGAGAGGTTTGAGGGCTTGATTGAAAGCCCAGAACCCTCAATGCCAAACACAGGCCTTTACACACAGAGTTGGTGCTCAACAAATGTCTGTAGAAAGGAAGATGGCAAGAGAGAAATCAGTAGGTTGGAAAGTACTTTGTTTTTAAATAAAAACAAAAAAAAAATGGCAATGGGCTCCTCTATCCCATAGAAGTATACTTTAAATTATTTTCTAAGTGTTCATTCTCTAGAGATATTTTTCCTTTTTCCTGCTTAGTGGACAAGAACACGAACATCTAACAGAACTAAGTTGTCTTTCTAGAAGCAGCAAGAAGTATAAAGAAGGAATGATTCAAACTTTTATGTGACAAATCCCTGACTCTATTATTTCTTCAAGTCAAGAATGGACAGTCTCTTGCAGAGACCAGGTTAATCATTTAGAATAGAAGTAATTCTGTAAAAAAATCTGACCACCTCCATTCCCTACCTCAAGTAAGGAAAAATTGCTTTGGAGTGGGGTTTCCTGTTAGGTCAGGCTTCTGGTCTGGCTGCAGCTGTCTATAACAGCTGAGCATTAGTTTTTCCTAACGTTTGAAAAGCAACATGTTGATCTAAAGATATTAAGTATAGTTAGCCCTTATAACGCACATTAAGGACTGGAGCCAGAAGAATGTCTTTTGAGTTACTCATGCCATCTTGGAGGATGGGACACTGCTTACGAACCACACAGTGGTCACTGCTGGCAGCAGCAGGGGAGGAGAGGCAGAAAGAGGCTAACATGGAGGCTAGGGAAGGACATGGGAGTCCTTTTCTTTTTACTTTTTCTTTTAATACAGAGTCTTGCTCTGTTGCCCAGGCTGGAGTGCAATGGCAATCTCTGCTCACTGCAACCTCTGCCCCCAGGGTTCAAGTGATTCTCCTGCCTCAGCCTCCCGTGTAGCTGGGATTACAGGCATCTGCCATCGCACCCAGCTAATTTTGGTATTTTTAGTAGAAACAGGGTTTCACCACGTTGGCCAGGCTGGTCTCGAACTCCTGATCTCGTAATCTGCCTGCCTCAGCCTCCCAAAGTGCTGGGATTACAGGCATGAGCAACCGCGCCTGGCCAGGAGTCCTTTTCAATAGCTACTAACTATGGGCTAGGCTAAGTGTCCTTCACCTAAGCCCCACCTATATAGGCTAGGAGATAGCATTCCTGTAACAGAAAAAGAACTGGACTTGAACTCTGAGGACTTAAGCTCAGGATCTGACTGTCACTTACTGACCTTGACCAATCACAAGCTCTCTGAGCCTCAGTCTCTTCATCAATACATTGAAGATAATCTCAACCTTGATTCCCCTCTTTTCAGGATTGTTTTGAATACCAAGTGAGACAATGGCCAATGCATTACTCACATATAAGTAAATAATTTAAGCAATAAATTTAGACAATAACAAAAATGGTAATCACAGTAATAACAGCATTTAATAAGTACTTGGCACAGCAACTACTCTCCCACCGCTACTGTTTATCAAATACCAACTGTGTGCCAGGCTCTGTGCTAGATGACGTACTTATATTATCACAGTAAAACCTAACCACACACAACCCTACAAAGTAAGAATCATGATCTGCATTTTCAGTAAGAAAATTGAGGCTAAGACTCATAAGAAAATTCTAAGGTCATAATCAATGCCTACAGGTCCATGTGACTCCAAAGCCTCTTCCAGTCTGTTCTTTCTATTGTACACATTCTCTCTAAAAACACACTTGAAAAATAATTGTTGGATATGTTAACTGGAAGACTTCCCAGCACTAACATTCTTCCTATATGTGAGACACTAGGTCTGCCCTTCTCAGCTGGATAACCCCCAATAAGCAAGAACTCACAAAGACTGAGAGCATCCCATGGACTCCAATAAAGATTTATTCTCCCTGGGGCAGGAAATGAAGCCTTCCTGACCACACTGCATTAGCCACCCTGATGGACTCCCTTCCATTCATAGTTTTGTAACCACAAGACACGCATACAATGAATTTAAATTTCTCTTTCCTCTGGCCAGCTTCTCACACAGCCAGCCTCCAGGGCTTCCAGGAACCACCATCATCACCTACCTGCCTCCCATCAAGGACTGTGAGGCCTGAGAGGCCAGAAGGGACTCTAGTATCTAACCTCAGCTCTGTTGTGCTCTTGCGGCCCAAAACACACAGGATTAGGAGTCAAAGATTCTAATCCAGTCCCTGGTAATTGCTGACAGTACAACTTTGCAAAAAAAAGTTATCTATACACCCTGAGCCTCAAATTCCTCAGCAGTAAAGAAGAAATAATATTACCTACCTCATAGAGTTCTTTTCAGGATTGGTATAGCCTTCTTTATTTTAATCTCTGCATCATATTCACCATCATTAAAATGCCATGATAATATTATCCTTCCTTCCTCACCATTATTTTTACTTTAAGGCAGATTCGTGTCAATATTACAAGGCTTTTATATGTACACAAAGGAAATTATGGTCTCTTACATTTACATATGATTTTAATGTCTGTGAACTTTCACAGAATTCTTAGCATAAGGTGTGGCATAAAGCAAATGCTTTGTGGAATACATACACATGTATATGAGTAAAAATGAATAAATATGAATATGTAGTTCATAAAGTTTATAATGCATTTTCACATGTATTGCTTTACTGAATTCTTTCAACACTTTCGTGGACATTTTATTATGCACATTTTATAAATATATAAAATTCAGGCTCAGAGAGGTCAAATGACTTGCCCAAGGTTATATAAGTAGCTAAAGGCTTATAAGCATCTAGGTCTTTGGATTCTCACATCAAAGAATAATGAATAAATCCTTAACCATAATAATGATTTTTAAAACTTGGCTTACCCTAGGTGGAGCCTTAATATTTGGCTTTAACACTTGTAAAAACTCACAAGAGCCTAGTGAGATATGTGCTACCCCTATTAACCATGACTTCTCCAGGGTGCCACGTGGTTTCAACCACCAAAAATATAGAAGCACGTTTCTAGCAGCCTCCCTCACAGAAGCCCAACTCTATTTTCATTGGAAGAGGAGGTGCCTCTCTCAATTATTGTGTACTGGTACTCTTTGAAGTAAGAACTTCTCTGGGGCAGCTGCCATCCACAGTTCATTGGCTGACACTCCTACTCTGCAACCAAATATTAAAATGCAAGGAAACCTCAAGTACTCTATATTCCCTTCATATCTTTCTTCTACTGAATATAAGACCTTGGGTCAGCAGGCTTTAGCTATAGTTCTCATGGCTTAATGAAATGAGAGGGACAAAAAGCTGCCTCCAAATAAATGAGGATTTCACTGTTCAGTGGAAAGTAAAGGTAGCACCAGTAGATTAGGAGTCAAGAGACATGGTTTAAATCTCCTGTAGATCAGATTTCTCCCCCAAGCCCCAAAGTTATGTAAGCAACTATCCACTTGGCAATCAGGCAGTATCCAATTTCTTTTTCCTTTCTCCTTGAATAATATCACCCACTTGTAAGTAATGTTCACATTCAATCATCTAATCCTGTTGAACCTACCTGCTAAGTTATCTCTCAAATCCATCCACTTCCCTCCATCTAACTATTTCACCTTAGTCCAAACCTTAAGTTTCATAATGTTATCCTGCTATTTGGCTTTTGTATGCTACAGTAAGAAACTAGATATGTTCCAGCTGGGCACACTGGCTCATGCCTGTAATCCTAGCCCTTTGGGAGGCCGAGGCAGGAAGATCACCTAAGGTCAGGAGTTCGAGAGCAGCCTGGCTAACATGGTGAAACCTCACCTCTACTAAAAAATACAAAAATTAGCCAGGCATGGTGGCAGGTTCCTATAATCCCAGCTACTCAGGAGGCTGAGGCTGGAGAACTGCTTGAACCTAGTAGGCGGAGGCTGCAGTGAGCAGAGATCACGCCACTGCACTCCAGCCTGGATGACAGAGTGAGACCCCATCCCAAAAAAAAAAAAAAAAACCTAGAACTGTTCCTGTTGACCTAACAAGGGCTAAAAATTAATCCCAAATAAAAAGAAACAGAACTAAAGGAGCAACAGTGGGTGGTGGATACTCACCTCCTGTCCTGTGGCCACATCCATTGCTGTGTACACGGTGCCTGAAGCACTGAACAGTAAGGTGGCGGAGAAAGAGGGAAAAAAACACAGTGTTCAATAAAGTGATATTTGTCAAATGCAGTTCTACACACAATCTGTGAGTGTCAAAAACAAGAGCAGTAAAAATAATCCTCTCCCTGCAGCATCCATTCTCACATTTAAGAAGCTATAAGAGGTAGTACAGAGAATGTAGGCTCTAGTGGCCAGGAGACCTGAATTCCAACCTGGTACTTCTACCTAGTACCTACTAGGTAGGATCTTAAGAAAGTTATTTAACTTCTTTGAGCTTCACTTTCCTCATTTGTAAAGTGGACATAAGAGAATACAAGATAATTTAAATTGATTAGTTCATGTAAAGTACTTAGCCAACTGCATATCATATAACAGATGCTCAATATATATTAATTTCCTGTTCCTGCTTGCTTCTCTCCTCTCCTCCATCACCCTTGGCACGTGGCTCTAATTTCTTGTGGCTTCAAACTCTTCATCTATAAAAGGGATAAGATTAGATCTATGATTTTCAACTGGGGGGGTGACAGGTGGGGAGAAAGGGGCCCTGCGGAGAATTTCAGAATGTGTTTGGGGGTGGGCCAGCATATCTTATTTATTTATCAAAAAGGAATATGGACTTCCAGGGTGTCGGTAATGTTCTTTTTCTTAATCTGGGTACTGGTTACATAGGCGTGTTCACTTTTTGAAAATTCATTGAGTTGTACACTTATGTATGCTATCTTTAGTGAAAATTTACTTTAAAAAACTATAAATAGTAAAAAACTATAAAAACTTGAAGAACCACACTGAATAATCTAATCTCAAAGTACCCTTCCCACTCTGATATTACAGGATACACTTGGATCCTTTAAAATAAAATAATGGTTTTCAATCATTTATTCCATCAACAGGATATGTGAATTTTGTTTTCTGTAGTTTGTATTATAAAAGTGGTTTTTAGTTTTCATTTTTCAAACATAAAATGATATTAAATATACTCTTTCAAACATACATGCTCCCAGAAGATCTGAGGGTACCTCTGCCCCACCCCCAAGGTAAGAATGACCCCACTTGACACATGTGTGTACACATATGTATGTTAAGTATATACACATTCATATATACAGACAGAGAAGGGGGGAAGAAATGCAGAAATAATGCTAGGAAAGTAATAATTCATTCAAAATAACTAAATCCATTCAAAATAACTAAAACCCTCATTTTATGCTTAAGACCATAAACCCTGTGTATTTGTAGGTAAGTAATTTGTAACACATATTTGTACCTGTACATGCCATATGTTAGGTACATATGATGCAATTTGAAGAAAATTAAAATTCTGCTCTATTACAAGACTGCTTCCTAGGCAAGCCCTGAGATTATAATTCCAGGTCAATCCAGGGGGAAAAGTCATGTGTAAGCATGCCTTGCAGCTAGAAACTATGGTCACCAGCTCCCTAATCATCACTCTTTAGTTGGGACCCTAGCTACATGCCTAGAAACTGTGACTATAACATACTGGCTATAAAATAAGGATTGGATGACTTGTACAGGCAGTTATTTCTTCACTGCCTGATTATCCTGCCCCTAGCTATCTTCTGTTATAAAGCTGGTATCTGTCTTCCTATCCCCATCCCTTCCTGATCCTACTAGATGTAATATTCTTAAAGGACAAACATGCCCAAGCCTCAGGGGACTGTCTCCATGATTACAAAGTTGTAGAAAGCTACTTAGGCCCACTGCTTAATACCTATTTCTAACTTGAATAGACATATAATTAGACATATGAATTCCAAGTCCAAAAGAATAATAATCTTCAGGTCTTAAAGGAGAAATAAAAGCAAGCAAAAATTACAATATTACCAATTCATCATATTGGTGTGACAGTTATATTTTAAAAATTATGCAATGTGGAAACATCAGCATAAGTGCTTAATTAATATTTCATTCTTCCCTTAGCACTAACAGACCTGTCAAGTAAGCAAGGAAAGAACATTATGCAGATGTTGCCTATTTATAGGTCTCATATATCAGTAACTAAAAAAAAAAAAAAAGTCACAAAAGTTCTGGAGGTAAAAGGTCCTCAATTCACAATCTGTCTTCCTTAAATTTACAGGAAGAAACTCCAGTCCAGAGAAGAAACCTGACTTGCCTATGCTTGTCCATGTACATTTCTGCTACATTCTTAATATCTCAATTTCACTACCTAAAGGAAATACCATCCCACATTACTCTGAGGTAAGCAAAATAATTTTTTTCTCAAGGTGTTAAATACCTTACACCAGTTCAAACTCACAAAAGTATGTCTATTTTGAAAAACACTGGAACTAGAAAAAAATAAGATCCACTCAAGCCCAGAGTTGTTCTGAGGATTAAACAATAAATGCAAATAACAGATGTGAACTGTAGAATGCTGTATAAACAGAACCTCCCTATATTATGCAATCTTTTATTTTCAGAAATTCTTGGGTGTATAATTTAAAAAAAAAAAGAAAATTTCAATGACATCATTAGCAACAATGCTTTCATTCCACTAACACTGAGAGCCAGACATTTTTCTTTTTCAGTTTCTTTTTAATTTTATCTCTTTTGGTGGGTCTTTAGAAATCTCATTTTTTTTTTATAGAGAGGTATAACTTAATTTGCACAAATCTTAAGTGTACAACTTGATTTTTATATATGTACACACCCATGTGTTCACTACCAAGATCACCCCCAAAGATTCCCTCATGACTATTCCTACTCAACATCCTCCTCCCAGAAATAACTACACTGTTCTGACTTCTATTATCATACATTAGTTTTGCTTGTTCTTGAATTTCATATAAATAGAATGACATAGTATCTGCTCTTTTATATCTGGCTTTTTTCACTCAAAATAATGGCCACTTTCAAAAGACACTACAGTCATTACCCCCGAAGATTCCTTCATGCCTATTCCCACTCTACATCCTCCTCCCAGAAATAACCACTATTCTGACTTCTATTATCATATATTACTTTTGCCTGTTCTTGAATTTCATATAAATCAAATGAGACAGTATCTGCTTTTTCATATCTAGCTTCTTTCACTCAAAATAACAGCCAAACACTTTAAAAACACAAGACAGTCATGTGTCACATAACGACGTTTCAGTCAACGATGGACCGCATATGATGGTGGTCCCATAAGATTATGATGGAGCTGAAAAATTCCTATCACCCAGTAACACTGTAGCAGTTGTAACGTCATAGCACAATTACTTTGTTTTTTAATAAATGTACAGTCTAAGTGTACAGGGTTTATAAAGTCTACAGTAGCGTACACAGTAATGTCCTAGGCCTCGACATTCACTCACCACTCACTGACTCACCTAGAGCAACTTCCAGTCCTACAAGCTCCATCCATGTTAAGTGCCCTACATAAATATACCTTTTTTTTATCTTTTATGCTGTATTTTTACCGTATCTTTTCTATGTTTAGATATACAACCACCATTGTGTTATAATTGCCTACAGTATTCAGTACAGTAACATGCTGTACAGGCTTGTAGCCTAGGAGCAAGAGGCTATACCATATAGCCTAGGTGTGTAGTAGGCTATACTATTTAGTTTTGTGTTCACTCTATGACGCTCACATGACAAAACTGCCTAAGGATGCACTTCTCAGAACATATCCCCTTTGTTAGGCAACATATGACTATACAATTGTTTGCCTATCTTTTTCTGTTGACTTGAGGTCCTTGGAAGCAGAGATTGTCTCTGAATTCATAGTGCCTTGCACACAATAGGAACTCAGTTAAGACTTGCTGAATTCATTACACTGAGGGCAGCATATAAGATACAGAGAAGGATGAATGCAAGAAGGATAAATTCTGGCATCTACCTAGAAAAACAGGTCCTATCACAGTAGTAGAAGGATTTATAGTTTTGGGTCTTCCATTTTATATTAGTGCTGGTGGATCTCAGCACTAGGACAAACAGGGTTCATCCGGAAAAGCAGAGTTGTAATTTGGGAAGTTGGTTTTGTGCTAAGAAAAAAAACCGTTCTCTCACTGTCACTGCAGGGGTATTTTTAGCAACATGGTCAGCTAATGGCATCTCTCTCATATTAAGCATAATTCTGCCAAATCTCAAGTCAGTCTCACATAACAACTCCAGATGGGTGAGGGGTAAAGTGGAGAAAGAAGAACAAGGTTTATGAGAGGCAAAAAAAAAGCAAAATCATATATGCCGGCACACACACTTTAAAGTCATTTCTCCAGGGAAAGAAAATGCCCCTACTAACCCTTGTCCAATCTTCTCAAACCGTGTATATTTCTTCTTAGGATCGCCCACACTCACTATGCTTCCTTTGAAAGAAACAGAGACCATGAATCATTTTTTCCCAAATCAAGATACAAAAAAGGTTCCACATTTCCCCAACCCCTGTAGCTGGCAAGGGTTAAAGAACTACCTCCAATAGCCAAAAAGCATGCTAAACAGGCCCTCAGCTTTTCCCCCATAAGTCTCAACCAAAAGTTTCATCACCTTGACTGCTTTGATTCATAGTAAGCTATTCCATTTCTAAACTCCTAAAAGTCATTCATTTTTTAATTAATCCATTCAGTAAATATTTACTCATTTAATACGCACCAAGCCATATGTTGTGTTAGGAATGAAGAGATATGACACAGTCAAGGCAGTCCCTGCTCTCAAGAAGGTCAATTTCATGGAGGAGACAGATAAGTAAGCATAAAGTTCCATGAAAATATAATAATTGCTGTGATAAAAGCCAAAGGGGTACAGAAAGAGGCACACACACACAAAAAAAAGACTGGAAAAACTTCAGAAAGGTGATATATGGACTGATTTCCACTTTAAGTAAAAGCCAGAGAGATAAAGTAGAGAAGAGGTTTACAACAAAGAATATTTCAAGTGCAACGACATAGAGGTTTTCCACTGGGTTTTATAACTTGTATTTTAGAGATGGAGAAATTGAGGCCCACAGAAGGGAAGAAGATACTTCCCCCCCAAGGTCACACAGCAAATTGGTGTCAGAGCTAAGATTAGGAGTTTCATTTTTAGTCTCCCGGTCCAATGTGCTCTCCATTAATACCCAATTACTAGGAATTGGTACTTTTCACATATATTACCTCATTTGATTTGCAAATGAGACAAGTATTAACATCCCTATTTTAAAAATGAGAAAAATGAGGTTTAGAGAACAGTAGAAAATTGCCTAAGACACAAGTCAGTGGCTGAGCAGAAGCTTCAACTCAAGTGTCCTAACTCCCAGGCCAAGTCTTAATTCTAAGTCATAATTCTAAGTGTTATTGTTAAAACAAAACAAAACAAAAAACTCTGGTTTAGAGAACAAGACTACATACAGGAGTAAACAGATGACTAGGTAAGTGGCTTTTCTTACTTTGTCATTTTATGAGGGATCCAGAAAAGGGCAATTTTTAAAACAGTGAAAATTTGTTTTAAAGTCATATAGGAATTAATCAGGAAGAACTAGAGAACCACAAAGCAATGCCAGTTTGCAGACGTCGCCAAATCGGTCACATCAAATCCTTTTTGGAAGTAAGTAGATACAGTGAATAAATTAAAGCCCTTGTCAAATGATTCTTCCAAGCCCACAGATCAACCTAGTTCTTCCTTCTAACATGAATTCTTCTGCAGTTTACTGAAACACAGAAATAAGCTACCCTAACATACCCCCATTTCTGGCAGCTAAAGAAAGTAAAATGGAAGTTTCCACTTGACAGCAAGAGGCAGTATGCTCTACTTACAGGAACAAAAACTGTGTTCTAACCTCAGCCATGTCACTTTTTAGCTGCGTGATTTTGGGCAGGATATTTAGCCTCCCTGAGCCTCAGATATCTTCATTGCAAAAATTAGGATCATAATGCTTTTCTTCACAGGGTTAATAAGAGAATTAAATTTAAAAAAAATCAAGAAAATATTTTGCTTGTCATTTGATACATACTATAGGTTCATAAAATGTTAACTTCCCTTCCCTCTTTTCCTACAACCAAGATGGCAGATGCGTCTTCTCCTAGGTCAATGGCAAAACATCAATAATTGATCACAGTGCCCTTTTCCACTAGGTCCTCAGTCTTTCTCAACATGGCATTCTAGGCTATTCATTAGAGAAAAACTATTTGTCTTCGCTATAATACATGCCTAGGGGTGAGGGATGCCCTGCCCTCAAAGTAAGCTATCCACACTCTCACCACATCTCCATCCTAACATAGTATCCAACCAGGGCTGTGAGACAGGGAAGGGAGGTTCAGGGGCAGGGTGAGGAGAAGCAGTCTGTGCCTAAGGTACCAAGCATGGCCAGCCAGCTGCATGGACCAAGCCTACGACCAGCAAATCTCTGTGCTTGACCAGTCATAAAACGAAGAAAGGTTCAGAAAGCTACAAATTCCTTACGTAATTTCTCCAAGATCTCCTCATCAGACATTTTAGGCTTCTTCTTCTGCTTCTCAGTATTCCGGGTCAAAGCATCTGGTGGAGTGGTGTTATTTTCAGTAGGTGAAATGGGAGATGTAGCCACGTCCCGAGTTGGAGTGACAGGAAGTGGTTCAATCACAGACCGTGTGTATACCTGCATTATTAGTGCAAAATTTTGGCAAGACCAGCCTTTGTTAGCATAGGGGAACCTCTCCTAGATGTGAGGTTAGAACATCCACAGAGCAAACCCCAATAAACTCATCCTTTCTCTTATGTCAAAATCTATATTACTCCTCCTCTGTGCCCAGGCCCACCCATTCTGGGTAAAATGGCCTTCCTTACTCTCACTGTAAACAAAAGAAGTGAGAGTCTCAGCACTAAAGATATTCAATAGAGGCTAGACAACTATCAAAAGAAATTAGTTAAAGACAATTCTATTAGATAAGAATCCCCTTCATCTGTAATATTTTATGCTTCCCCAAGCTAAAAGAAATATCCTGTATTCCCCAAGCTAAAAGAAATATTCTGTAACAAAAGAAATTAGTTGAAGACAATTCTATTAGGTAAGAATCCCCTTCATTTGTAATATTTTATGCTTCCCCAAGTTAAAAGACATATCCTGTAGTAATGCAAATAGCACTTTGCATTACTAGTACAACACCAACTTCTATTGAGTTACTCCCTCCTTACATCCTGAACCCTTGCAGGGAAGGAACTACTTTTGTTCTTCATCAAGAGGTAGTAGAGTGTGATGATTTAGAACATGGACTCTGGAACCTGACTGCCTGAACTTAAATCCCAACTCTTATTATTCTTACCTTCTGCATGACTTTGGGCAGGTTACTTAACTTCTCTGTGTTTCAGTTTCCTCATCTATAAAATGGTGATAATAATGATAACTATCTTTTGGGGTTGCTGTAGGAGTAAACTGATTAATATGTGAGGTAATCAGACTCATCCCCAGCAGACATTAAGCACTCAAATTTTACCTTTTAAAAATATTAAATGTCCTATTCATTCATTTACATAACAAACATTTACTGAGAATCTATTTGTTGCCTCACCCTGTACAAAATGCTGCCCCAACCTCTCATTCTTATAAAGGAGGTGAGAAAATCATAACTACAAGGCAGAAAGTGATACATGTTATAAAGAAATAAGCAAGCTATATACTACTGAGGTTCAGAAGTGATCATAAATTATACTTCCTTTCCCCAGGAGATGCTTCAAGGTATTTAACAGATTTTATCATAAAAATATCACAATTATCTTTTGCATAGTCCATAAACAGTATAAGGACAGGGAATGTGGGTCATTCATCCGTGAGTTCCTCCATCTAACCACTTACTAAAAGAAAGCAAGCATTCAGGTAAATATTTGATGGAATAAATAAACAAACAGGATCCTGCAACTGGATCCTGAAGGACGGATAGGTTTCTACAAAGATAGAGGATCATTTATCTATGATGATCATTTATCTGCGATGATGCAAAGCCATTGGCAACAGTGGGACTCAAACCCATGGCTCCACAGAGACTAAAGCCAACTACATCCTGCACCTTGGACTGCTTGACCATGCTACCTTTTGACTGGACAGGCTTTTAATAGGTGGAAATGGGAGAGAACATTCCAGTAGTGGGAACAGCAATAAGCCAAGACGCTGAGATCAGAGGCAATGGCTTCCTTCCTGATTACTACTCTAGCATAATGATTTCTCAATTTTCTATTCTTGTACCTGTAGACAAACTATATCCCAGGCACCTAAACCTGTACTTCCATGCCTTGTCCTCTTTTGCCTGTCCTGATATATCTCTTTGAAGACAGAAACCTTGCCTTTTCCTTCTTTAATAGTCTCCTTCTCTGGCTCCTAGCACAGGTTTGTACACACAAAAATACCACTGTGCTATGGTGGAAAACAACCTGGAGTTGGGGTTAATTACCTGCTTTCAAATCCTGGCTCTTTTGTTTACTAAGAGACTGGGCAGATCAATTCACCTCTCCAAATCTCAGCTGCTTCTTCTATAAATTAGGAATTACCAATACCTTTTTAGAAAGAAATGCTATGAAGATCAATTAATTAATTAATTCAATATTTACTGTCCTCTGATATTTACCCACCTCTGCAGGTGCCAAGAACTATGTTAAGCACTAGAAATACATACATATGGATTTCCTCTACTTTTTGAGGTGTTCATGGTTTAGTGGGGAAAAAAATGTTTTAAATGAACATGTCTACAAACCAAAAAAAACCATATCAGTGTTAACGACTCTCCAATTTTGAAGCGCATTTTCCCTTGAGGTAACTTTGTGACCTACAGAGATGATTCCACAGATTCTGTTTGTAAGTTCTCATCCTAATAGGTCATATAATTCCTTTGAATTTCCTCCACAGCATCTCCAATAGTCATTCAACCAATTTCTGTTTGAACACCTCCCTGAATGCTGTATTCCAGAGGTAGCCCTTTTTTTTTTCTTTCATGATCACAGAAGTGCTAGATGGTTCCTTCATTATGGAGCTCTCATCTTAGTAAAAGACCTAAACAAAGAAACACTAGTAGAGTATCATCTGATGGTAGGTCAGTGCTCAGTGATGCCAAATTAAGTAAAAGGCACAGGGACTAGATGTTTCAAAGCAAGGTTAGAGGGACCATGGCTATTCTCAGAGATGCAGGAACCTCAAAGGAAGTTAAATAGAAATCACTGCCAACATCCGGCATCAAAATGCACTCCTGATGCCCAGCATATTAATAGCACTAATGTATTTATATATTCTCTTGGGTCTTTCAATATTATCAATAATGCTCTAAGAGGCTGAACACTGCACATTTAACAGAGAAGAAAAGATCTGTAGCAAGACAATTTGTTGCTTCCCTGGAGACTGGAATAATTTATGTTAGTCCTGCACTAAGTAGCATCAATCCTATATATCTTCCTGTCCTATCTGTGGAGAACCGAGACTGGACTGGTATAAACATCAATTACCTAGGACACTTTGGGACTATCTGCAAACCAATGATAAATAAACACATGATTTTTTGTCTTTAATCATACAGAAAGTACCTTTAGTCAAGGTAGTTCAGTGATTTCACCAGCTCCAAAATCTAAGGACGCCTACCAGAATATTAAACTTCTAGGTATCAGCACCAACTCCTCCCTCTCCCCACTTACTCTAATAAATCACAAAACTGGCCAGGTCCCCAAAGACTCACAGATTTTGTGTGCTCTGGGCGTGGAGCAATCACTGGTGGTGGGGTAGCATCATCATCATCATCATCCTCATCTTCTGAAACTGGTGGCACTGCAGGAGTCTCAGACACAGCCTTCACATTCTGTGCAAAGAAGAAAAGCAAGATGCATCTGGTCCAGCTGCCATGGAACTTAACTATCAGGATCACCAAACCTCCCACGAGAAACCCCATCCTGATATCCCTTCTGAAATACACATTAGCCTCCAAGCTCTCACCTTTGTGTAGCTAGTCTCAGAAGCTCAATCTGTTTCTCCCTCTTCTTTTAGCCATCACTATCCACTCAGTCCCTTGGGGCTTCCTTCTCCCACTCAAAGCCTAGCTGTGAATGGGAAGCTAGCTTACAGCTTTTCTACCTGCCTCTCCCCCAACCCAACCCCTGAAGACAAGCTCACAGTACCTTCTTATTCTATGAATTTTTCTCTCCACACTGAACAGGAAATAAAGTATGAAATGTAGGGAAGAGATCAAAAGTTTCTAATTTTTCAAAATTCATCACTATAATTTCTTACTCTCTCCTGATATGGTAAATGGCAGTCTAAACAGGCTTTTGCCCTGCCCTTTTCCTCTCTTTGCAAAAATCTCCTGAACCCATTACATTACCAGGGGTCCTCACCTCAACCTGAAGATAAAGAACATCAGCATCAGGATCATGTTATCTAAAGAGAACAATGAATTTCTCCCCAGACTGGATACTATTTCCCTAAGTTTCTGCCCTACCCTGGAATGGAACTTACCACTAATTAGATCTGCTTACAATCTGTGACAACCTGATTTCCCCATGCAAACTATAAGAGAGCTGGGCCAAGAGTGGCAGGTTTTAGGGCAGGTCCAGGCAAAAATAGCATACCATTACTGTTTATTACACAGAATTAAGAGACAAAATGCCTCCAAAATATGAGATTTTTGATAGATACCAAATGATTCTATCATTTGATCAGCAAAGAACTGGAGAGGCAATGGGGATCTTTTAATATATACTGATATAATTCAACAGTTTCAGGTATTTTCAGAGCACCTACTTTGTGCTCAGTAAGACTGTGATAGGTACTGTTGACATAAATGTACAAAGATGAAAAAGATGGTCCATGTCCTAAAGTAGTGACCATCTGGTATAGGAGATAGACAGGATGAGAGCCCCTCCTGCCTGACACCTGGAGCCTCCTAAGAGGAAGGTCCAGAGTCAGAATAACGGGATAAATGGAAGAACTAAGGAATAATATACTAGAGGTACTGACTGTGGGAGACTGTCTTTTACCACATTTGACATACTAAAGTAAGAAAAACTGGCATAGATTTTAACAGGGCCTCCAGCACAAAGCATAAGTTAAAAACTGACAGTGCCGGGCATATATAAGCAGTTGTGGTGACCATAGGCAATAAATCTGTCCTCTTGGTTTGAAGTTTAATCACCTGAGGAATGTGAAGGAAGAGGAGTGTTATAATTTGAAAGATGACCTTAAATCGCTTTAAGTTCCAAAACTCAATAGAGGTCCTTTCCCTGTCAAAATATGTATTTCGATATTTTTCTGCTCTAATTTATTTTCTCCCCACTATTCCACTCAACAAAATTTAACTAAAAACCTAATGTGGGAATACAGTTGACTCAGCAAGGCTCTTCATCATCAGGTAGCCCTGGAGCTCCCCTGATGTATACTGTAAACACTAGGTTTGTTTGCTTTATAAAACTGTAGAGAAGGGGATTTCAACACCTTCCTCAGTAAAAGATTCTGTTTTCCATAGGTGATAGCTTTGGGCAGTGATATTAACATCTGTCAGAGAGAGAAAGGTCTAGGTTATTACCCAGATTTTTACTTCTTAGCCCTGTGTCCTTGGGCAAGGGTCTAAGTTAAGTCTCACATTTTTAATTTATAAAACAGGGGTAATGACTACAGCTCTCTGCCTACCTCAGAAGGCCACTGAATGGATTAAATGAGGCAAAGTGAGCATAAAATCACTGAAAATGGTAAAGAGCTAGAGAGATGTAAGGAATCAATTAAATTATCATTATGTCTAATAACCACAAATCTCTGTTTCAAACAAAAGCCAGACATTCCAATTCATCATCCATCTACCCATATAGCCATCCATCCATCCATCCATTCACTGTGTGCCAGACTCCATTCTAGGCTCTGGGGCTACATAAAGAATAAAACAGATAAAGTCCCTGGTTCTATGACTTACATTCTAGAAGAGAATAGAGTAAAAAACAATCACCAAAGTGTCTGCTCCATATAGGAGCAGAGATTGGTTGACAAGGTGGGGAGATACTATTTTAGATACGATAGGCACAGGCAAGCCTCTCTAATAAAATGTCATATAACAGTGACCTGAATGAATTAAGGGAGCAAGCCACGGGGCTCTCTGAGAAAAGGATATTCCTAGCAGATGGAAGAAGTTAAAGACTCTGAGACAGAAACATGCTTGGTATGTTCCCACAACCCTTAGGAATTCTACCTATGTGGGTGTAACAAAGTTAGTAAGGGGAAGTAAGGAAAGAAACAAGGTCAGAAAGTTAGCTGGGAATCAGATTATGTAAAGTCAGAGAGGCGGTAATAAAAACTCTGGAGTTTAGACCTAGAATAAGAAACCACTGGAGGACTGTGAGTAGAACAGTGATGTAATCTATACATTTTTTTTCTTTTTAAAGTGCTTTATTAAGATGTTTCTCACAAATTAGAGAAAAGGTTTTTTTAATCAATGGCAATAAAATACAAATTCCTATTTTATAACAAAATAGTGAAAAGCACCAAAGAAAATTTGCACCTATAACTCTAACAAACTCAAGGGTTCTTGGTTCTCAGTTCTTTTAAAGTATAGTCTGATAGAGTACTCAAAGCTTTTAGAAAGAGTACCAAATTTATTACTTCCTGAAATGTTGTATGAATAGCACTTTTATTCATCATATGTTCATACATATATACTAATATACCATCTCCACTGCCTTAAATACAAAAATATTCATCACAGGCAAGTTTTCTACTGCAAATAGGCAAGAATATTAAATATAATCTGTGATACTGTCTACTTTTTTGAAAACAAGATACTAGAACCAAAACACTGTAGAACACAAATGTTACTAATTTAAGATTACTAATGTTACTAATTTAAGGTTACTAACTTCAGATAGCATCAATTGTTCAACAATATTTTAAAGGTGTTTCTATATAAATTTATCCACCGGTTTGGGTTTTCTTTATTACAGAAATGTATGAATAGTACCCTGGATTATATCCTTGCAATTTGGGCATTTGCTTAAAGGTGTATATTCTTAGCATATAACCAGTTGACAATAAGGAATAAATACACTGGAAACTTCTTTGTAACTACTTTGTAAGTTCGTTCTTCTTGCAACTTCCTCAATTGTTCTTCTAGTGACAGATCTCAAACGTCCTCTGTTGGAATATACTTTATGTACTTTTCCACTGATACCAATTTTTAGTTTGATTTTCTTTTTTCTTTTTCTTCTTCATTAGAATTACTAACACAATATCACTGGCTACTTTATAATTCTCTCCAATTAAGGTTTTATGTTGAACTGTCTGTTTTATCAGGCAGGATAGAATAATACTTAAAAACCAACATTTTGGAATCAACTAGCTTAGGATCAAATCACGCCTTTATCACTTACAAACTATGAGTTCTGCGTAAGATATTAATTCTCTCACTTTCCTCAGTTATGAAATACAGCCTGTATTAGTACTTACTTTAGTGTTAGTGTGAGGTTAAATGAGATAAAGCTATGTAAAATTCATTTTTAAAATACTCAAATATTAGCTATGATAATGATGTTGGCCAGATGATTAGAAAGTGCTCAGTATAGGATTGCTAAATGAATATGTCTTATCCAATAGTAGTATAAACTGGAATGAAATATCTAAATGATGGGGCACTCAGTAATTGAAAAAGTGGAGATAATGGGAACAGGATTGTGAAGGAAGATGCCAAAATGGCGAAGAACTGTACTATTAACTGACTTAAACCATTAGCCTACATTCTACAGTAAAAATTAGTGGGTCTGATGGTTTTTTTCATATCCTATAAAAGCTTGTTTGCTTTATTATATCTTCAACATGATCAAAACCAGCTCTCAACAGGTCAGGTTTTTAACAGGCCAGTTAAAAACCACCTTGGGAAGGCTCCAAGGTTCAGCTAAGACAGTCAAGGATAAGACTATATCCTAAGGAAATTTTGGGTGGCTGCTGCCTGATCAAATAGAAGTTTTAAGGTCAAGGAAAATAGTGAAGAAGAAAATGACTAGGTACTGGAATCAAAACTCAAGGCTCTGGGCAGCTCGGAATGATATAATGCAAACAGATTGAAAATGGCCACTGAAATGTGACAACCCAACCCAGAGAGGAGATGAGATGGTAGCCAGGGTGTGCTCACTAAGCATTCTGTCCCAGTAGGAAGACTATGCTCACCCTACAAGATCAACTTGATACTTTTCCTTGGGATAGGGAGACCAAGGATTGATACCTGACTAAACATAAAATCCTTTCCCCACTCCCTCCATGAGAAGCAGTATGATAAAAAGGAAAATAAACCGTATCAGGATTCAAAAAGTTCTTTCCATTAAACCTTCTGTTCCTTAGCCTCATAACCACTGCTTTCACTTAGGCACCATATTCTCTTACCTTTACCAATCCTTTACAAGTCTTCCTCATTGCTTTTTGGGACCCCAGTCTTGCCTTCTCTAATGCATCTTTTATTACAGCCCAGAATAATCTGTCCTTTATCTTTTTAAAAATATTATAAGCAGACTGCCAGGTATGGCAGAGAGAGAAGACTGGCAAATCCTCTCCCCAACAAGCAACTATAAATCTGGACAAAATTGACAAAAACCATTTCAGTTCCCTGGAAATCCAACAAAGGTCAACAAAATATTGAGAAGTGCTTATGACTGATAAACTCCTGAACTTTGGGTTAAAAATAGAATCTCTGGCATTCTGGGCAAGGGATGTTCCCATCCATCCGAGCCCCAACTCCAGAAGTGTGGGGGTTCCATCAGGGCAGACCAGGGTATAACTGCATAGTCCAAGAACATTCACTTTGTGCTGGAGATATGGGCAATGCCCAGGCCCAGTGGCACTGTCATTGGAAGTGACTTCCAAAGGTGGTAGCGGCAGAGGGTCAACTATTCAGCTCTATTAGCCTGAAGCTACAGTCCTGAGTAGGGCAAACTAATTTCTGGCTAAGGCTGTTCACAGGCACAGCAGACGCTAGAAAAGCCTCATGCTAGTCACACATGCCTGGCTATGTGCATACACATAAAAGATTCAAAAGAGCCCAACATAAAGTAAAAGCTGGAACAGACTTGAAAAAGGCCTAAACAGTAAATGTACTCCCCTACCTACACATAGATCCATCAACAGAGGAAAGAAGCCTTACAGAGTTGAAGTTTTTGAGCACCATCTGTGTCAAATCATTGGCTAAAGATTCAGCTAAGCAAACATAGAAGCAATCTCTGGAAAGCCAGGCTGCAACAAAACAAAACAACAACAACAAAACCACCACAAAAACAAACAAAAAAACAACAAACACTGAGCAATGACATCAATGACCACAGACAGAGACTATGTCACAGATTTATCCCTAGTAAGATAATACAAAACCAACAAATAAAAAAGCTAGCAACTTTTTTGGGGGAGGGGGCTATCAGTATCCAGAATTGGTACAGAATATTATCTAAATATTGAATTTTCAACAAGAAATTATAAGACATGGAAAGAAACAGGAAAGCACGACCTAGGGGGAAAAAAGCAATCAACAGGAACTCTGAATGTCCCCAAATGTTGGCTTTAGAGAATAAAGATTTCAACTCAGATATAAATACATTCAAAAAACTAAAAGAAACCATGTTTAAAGAGTTTTAAGAAAGCCTAACAACGAGTGAAATTCTCAGTAGACATTACTTCAAATGAACCAAATGGAAATACTACAGTTGAAGAATAAAATAACAAATGAAAAACTCACCAGAGAGCTAAACAAGGGATTCTATATGGCAGAAGAATCAATGAATTTGAAAATGGAGGTGGGGAGCGGTGGCTCACACCTGTAATCCTAGCACTTTGGGAGGCCAAGGTGGGCGGATCACGAAGTCAGGAGTTCGAGACCAGCCTGGCCAATATGGTGAAACCCCATCTCTACTAAAAATATAAAAATAAAATTAGCTGGGTGCGGTGGCACGTGCCTGTTGTCCCAGTTACTCAAGAGGGTGAGGCAGGAGAATCGCTTGAACTCAGGAGGCAGAGGTTGCAGTGAGCTGAGATTGTGCCACTGCACTCCAGCCTGGGTGACAGAGCAAGACTCTGTCTCAAAAAAAAAAAAAAAAAGAAAAAAGAAAAAAGAAAATGGACCCATAGCAATTATCTAATATAAAGAACTGAGGTAAAAAAAAATTAAAGAAAAAAACAGAGCATCAAAGAGCTGTGGAACAACATAAAGCACACCAGCATACATATAATGAGAGTCTCTGAGGAAGAAAAAAAAAAGACACAGAAAAAATATTTAAAGAAATAAGGATAAAACTTCCTAAATTTGATAAAAACATTAAACTACAGATCCAAGAACCTCGATAAATCCCAAAGTAGGAAAACACAAAAAGATTCACACCTGGCTGGGAGCGGTGGCTCATGCCTGTAATCCCAGCACTTTGGGAGGCTGAGGCAGGCGGATCACTTGAGGTCAGGAGTTTGGGACCAGCCTGGCCAATATGGTGAAACCCCATCTCTACTAAAAATACAAAAATTAGCTGGCTGTGGTGGCATGCACCTGAAATCCCAGCTACTCGGGCGGCTGAGGCAAGAGAATCGCCTGAACTCAGGAGGCAGAGGTTGCAGTGAACCAAGATCGCACCACTGTACTCCAGCCTGGGCGACAGAGCGAGACTCCGTCTCAGAAAAAGAAAAAGAAAAAAAAAAAAATAACACCTAAACGCACAGTCAGACTGCCAAAAGCTAAAGTCAACATGAAAATATTTAAAGCAACCAGAGAAAACTGACATCATGTACAAGGCCAGTCAGTATAATTAACAGCTGACTGCTGATCAGAGTATTTTAAAAATCAAAACAAAAACTTCTGATCAGAAAAAATGGAGGTCAAAAGGCAGTGGGATGACATATTCAAACAGCTGAAATTTTTAAAAATTGCCAGTCAAGAAATCTATACCCAACAAAACTATCCTTCAAAATGAAGACGAAATAAAGACATTCCAGATTAACAAAGAGAAAGAGAATTTATTGCTATCAGACCTGATTTACAAGAAATACTCAAAGAAGCCCATCAGACTGAAACGAAGTAATACCAAATAGTAACTCAAATCCACAAGTAATAATGGAGAGCAGAGGAAACGGTAAATATGTAGATTAACATGGAAGACTCTAAAAAAATACTTTTTGTTATTTCTTCCATTGACTTCTTTAAAAAACATAATTGTATAAAGCAATTGTTAGGCTTCCAATATATACAGTACGTACACGTGCACACACACATATACACATACAGATTCATACACATTCATGTATATGAAAGAATGGCAGTAATAGAATAAAGAAGGGGCAGGGAATGAAAATATACTGGGGCAAAGTTTACATATTTTACTGGATTTCAGTTACTGTTAATGTGAAGTAGATTGTATATAAATGGCCAATAAGCACATGAAAAGATGCTCAACATCATTATCCATTAGGAAATCCAATAAAATCACAATGAGATACCACTTCACACCCACTAAAATGACTACAATAAAAAGACAGACAACAACAGGGACAGGCAAAGATAGGCAGAAACTGGAACCCTCATTAATTGCTAGTGGGAATATAAAATGGTGCCAGCACTGTGGAAAAAAGTCTGGCAGTTCCTCAAAAGGTTAAACATAAAGTTAACCACATGCCCCAGCAGTTCCATTCCTTGGTATATACTCTGAAGAAATGAGACCACACAAAACCTTGTATGTGAATGTTCATAACTGCATTATTCATAATGACCAAAAAGTAGGAACAACCCAAGTACACATCAACTGATGAGAAGATAAATAAAATGTAGTGTATCCATACAAGGGAATATGATTTGGACATAACAAGAAATGAAATACACCATACTGATACATGTTACAACATAAAGTTCAAAGCTAAGTAAAAGAAGCAAAACACAAAAGACTACATGTTGTATGAGTTTATTTATATAAAATGTCTAGAAAGACAAATTTATAAAGACCAGAAGCAGATCAGTGGTTTCCTAGGGCTGAGCATGGGAGTTTGAATGAATGGTAAAAGGGCACTAGGGAACTTTTTCAGGTGATGGCGGCACAACTCTATAAATTTATTAAAAGTATTGAATTGTCCACCACCAATGAGCTTAAAATTCTAGTGAGCTTTTTACTACCCCAATCATAAATATGAGCAGACCTCTGAATACGCAAGGAAAACCTCTAACATAAAAGTGTGAAACCAAAACAAATGAGGCAAAGGGCCACCTGGAAAAAACAGACTAAACAGGAAGGAAAAAACATCCAAAGAAAGCCTATCATTACCTTCCTTAGAGATAAGAAAATATATCAATTCTGGAAACAAGAATGCTATATATTTTCTTAAAATAAAAAAGTGATTGAAAATTAAACATGAGAATAGAAATGAAAAATTAAATTGACTGAAAGATGAAGTTGAGGAAGTCTCCTAATTCTTCAGAATAAAAACCAACGCAAGGAAAAGAGAGAAAATCCTTTAAAAAATGGAGAATTAGTTTAAGAGGTCCAAGATCTAGGGCTGGGCGTGGTGGCTCACGCCTGTAATCCCAGCACTCTGGGAGGCTGAGGCGGGCAGATCACAACCTCAGGAGATCGAAATCATCCTGGCCAACATGGTGAAACCCCGTCTCTACTAATATACAAAAAAAAATTAGCCTGGCATGGTGGTGCGTGCCTGCAGTCCCAGCTACTAGGGAAGCTGAGGCAGAGGAATTGCTTGAACCGGGAAGCGGAGGTTGCAGTGAGCTGAGATCACGCCGCTGCACTCCAGCCTGGTGACAGAACGAGACTCCGTCTCAAAACAAACAAACAAACAAAAAGGTCCAAGATCTAAATGATGGAGGTTCCATGAAGAGATAACAAAAGAAGCAAGGGGAAGAAATCATCAACAAAATAATTCAAGCAATTTCCTAGAACTGAGGGCAGAGTTTCCAGGCCGAAAGAGTTCACAAAGCTCCCTGCAGTATAAATAGATGTAAATAGGAATATAATTGTGAAATTTCTAAGCAATGGTGACAAAGACGACCCTACAAGCTTTCTGAGTAGAAAAAAAGATTGGTCACATACAGAGAAGGATAAATAAAATGGCTTTGGACTTAGCAGTACCGAAAGCTAGATGACAAAAGTGTAATGTTTTCCAAATTCTGATGAAAAAATATGTGTAACCTGCAATTCTATAAGCAGCTGAAGTATTAATTAAACGTGAGGGTAGCATAGAGAACGCCCCATTTTGAGACCTGAAAGGTATTATTAAATGTTTACTTTCCATTTACTTTCTTAAAGCTACTAGAGGATATGCTCCACCAAATTCAAAAGTAAACAAAAAATAATGTAGGCGTGGCATAGAAAAAATAGGAATACCAACACAAAAATGCAAAGGGATTGCCAAGACAATGGTGAAGGAAGATCCCAGAATGAGAGCTACTTATTACAAGTCCTACTTGACTTTTTAATCAAATACCTGGATAATAATATTTTTTATTTATTTTTTTTTTGAGATACAGTCCCACTCTGCGGCCCAGGCTGGAGTGCAGTGGCATGATCTCGGCTCACTGCAACGTCTGCCTCCCTGGTTCAAGTGATTCTTTTGCCTCGGCCTCCTGAGTAGCTGGGATTACAGGCACACAACACCAAGCCCAGCTAATTTTTTTGTATTACAGGCGTGAGCCACCGCGCCTGGCCGGTAAAAATACTTTTAAGTGAGTATTCTTAATCACCATTAACCCCAGAGGTAATTGATGTTACTATTTGGTATTTAGCCTTTCAGAAGTGATCTGTGGGTGGTAAACCTTGATCTTCACATGTCCAAACATACCTTTATATTGACACCTTATAGTTAAATGTTAGTTTGATTAGGTACAAAATTCTTGGTTCTAAACAATTTGCCTCATCCCTCTGAAGATACTGCTGTTTTTTCCACTATTTCTAATGAGATGTCTGATGCTAATGTTCCTTTGGACATGAACTATATTCTCTTTGGAGGCTTTTAAGATTTTTCTCTTTATTCTTGGATCTCTTTTCAATTATCTGACTTGGTCATTAACAGGCCCTTCATCTGAAGACTCATGCCTTTCTTCAGCTGGGAATTTTTTCTTCTATTTTTTCTTTATTTTTTTACTCTACTGCCTCTGTTCTCTGCTTATGCTTGAATCCCCCTGACCAACCCTCTATTGTCATTTATTCTCAAATTTTCTATCTTTTATATTTTATATTATTAATTCCCTATTCACTTATATGCATTTGTTGTTTAAACCTTATACATTTCTTTTTTTTTTTTTTTTTTTTTGAGATGGAGTCTCGCTTCGTCACCCAGGTTGGAGGGCAGTGGCATAATCTCAGCTCACTGCAACCTCTGCCTCCCAGGTTCAAGTGATTATCCTGCCTCAGCCTCCCAAGTAGCTGGGATTACAGGCATATACCCCCACACCTAGCTAATTTTTATATTTTTAGTAGAGATGGGGTTTCACCATGTTGGCCAGGCTGGTCTCGAACTCCTGACCTCAGGTGATCCACCCGCCTCAGCCTCCCAAAGTGCTGGGATTACAGGTGTGAGCACCGCACCCAGCCATAAATTTATGTCTTATGTTTTTAATACTAAGAACATTCTTTCCTCCTCTGATTGCTCTAATAGCAGGGTGTTTTTGTAGATGAAACATCTACAGATCCTCTCTGAAAATACTAGATTTTTTTAAAAGTTATTTCCTGACTTATCTACTTCCTCTGGGGCTAATTTTCCTTCCTTATCTTGGTTCCTCTCTTTAATGTTGTGTTTCTCTCAAATGTCTGCAGATCCTTAGCTATTCATTCATATTTATAAGTGAAGGATAGATTAGTGTATGTAATTAGCATTAGTTTTTCTGAAACTTATGTAAGTCTGTTTTTCCACTGTCCTACTCTGAATGGGAGGTCTGATACGATCTGTTTGTGAGTTATAGATAGATGGTTATTGGCAAGTGTTACTTTAGGGTATGTAGGCATGGAAAAGTAGAGATTCCCCTCCTCCCAGGTATCAAAAGTATGAGAAATTTACTCTTGGGATGGAAAACTTTAATGTATTTTCCTTCACTGCAGAGCTACTTCTCCTGTTTCCTTTTCTTTATATCTGCGGTAGAATTTTGCAGTTAACTCAGGTTCCTCTGTTTCTCTCTGAGGCCCCTATACCCACAGCAAGAGCTTTCCTCAAGTAGGCAGTTTACTTTCTTCAGAAAATTAGCTGATTTTAGCTTAGAATCAAATGCACCTGCTGCCTTTTGTTCACTGTAAGGAGGAGGCTGCCCCTACTGTTTCAAAGGTAGAATTAAATTAATTTACCCTTGAAGATGACCCATGACTCTTTCCTGCTTCTTGTATATATTCTTTCAGCCCATTTTCTCTGGAGCTACTTTCATTTTCCTAGGCATCTTCTCTTACACATACTTTAAGCTGTGGCTTCTTCTGCTCTGATCAATCTGACCTTTTCTGCTTTCTATCTTCCATGAATTCCTCACAACAGTTGATTTATGTCATGCTTTTGTTTCAGAGCATTGCTTTTAATTTGGTTTTTAAGAAATCTTTTCTGAAATTAAGAAATTTGAGATAGCAAGAGAGATGGGCACATGAATTCAGTTTACTATCTTGATCCAATTTCCAAAGAAATCTAAGATGTTAGTTTAGACATCACATATCCAACTACATCAATCTTCTACTTAAAATAGTCCCTCAGCTCCAGCACAAAGTCCAAGCTCTCTGGCCTAACATACTGGATCCTTAACCCAACTTTTGTTCATGCTGTCCATCAGACAGGAAAGCACTGCCTTTTTCTCTGCCTGGTATCATTACCTGATGCTTACTTAACACTATATTATAAATCCTTGTTTACATGTTCTGATTCATCACAAAAATTGTGAGACCAAGAGCAGAGATCTTACTAGTCCTTGACTTCTCAGCACCCAAAGAACTTATCATGTGGTAACTATTCATTTTATAAATGAGAATCAGGCATTAAAATGCCATGGAATCTTAGAGTCAGATCTCAGACCAGTGAACCACAGATAACAGAATTTAGAGCTAAAAGGGACTTTAAGATTATGTTTGTTAAACGAACAAAGCTTTAAGGCCCAAGAACTCTGCAAACTTCCTTGTACTTCAGAGCAGAATAAATCACTCCATCAAATATAACCCTATTGTACATTATTCATGCCTCTCTTGCAGCCCTTATCTCCCCAGTCTGTCATTAATTTTTTTTCTCAAGGATTAAGACAGTGCACGTTCATTTTTGTGTCACTTGTATTTTGGCATAAAGAAGATACTAAGTCAATATTTAGGGTATGAGTGAATACATGAATGCTCAGGAGAGCAGAATTTTGTGCTGGTTTCTACTACTAACTCATTCAAACGTAGGGAGTGAGTCACTTAATCTTTCTGAGTCTTAATTTCTTAGGCAGCAATTATATTTGATTATTTCACAAGTGGAATCATCTGTTTGAAACCAACATGGAAAATAATGACATGCTACCATAATACAAAACATATCCTCCATGTAAAACTAGTAAGGATATATAGAGCACTGAGCTAGTGCTGGACAAATGTTCTGAACTAGGGGAGAACAATGTCCTTGACAGCCTTAGTGGTTTTAATTGTAGATACTAAACCAGTACAAGTTTTTACCAAGCAGGTGTTATCCTCCCTGCCATATGGCATGAACCCCAGGGCTCTTCCTCCTCAATAACAAACAACATAGCTACAGCTTTACTGCAGTCTCCTTTATAAGACCTCAATGACATCTTTTTTTGTTCCTTGCCACAGTGAAAAGAACCCTAAACTGAGATTCACAAGACTCAGTTGTAATGTGGTTCTAATTATAAGTCTTCAGGAAACTCTGTTTTTCTGCCTATGAAATGGAGATGACAATACTTTGTACATAAGTAATTGTGAGGCTAATCATGCTTACATAAAGTTTTTAACACCGTGCATCGCAGGCACTCAATATTGATAGCTATCACTCTTCCTACAAAAGCATAAAGACATTTGAGCCACAAAGCACAATTCGGCTTAAAGCCTCTTCTTTAATAATTTACTATTCAAAGATCCTATATTTGCAAATTCTTTCCCATCTTTTAATCACATCTCTTCTATTTGATGAAAGGCAGCACAAATCAGGGGAAAGCAGTATAGGCTGGGAATCAGATGCCTATTGCCATTAACTCTTTTCCATTTCAGTTTTATCATCTACAAGGATAATAACTTACCTCAGTAAGCTCCTGTGAGGATTCAGAGAGTCAGTAAGAAAGGATCCAACAGGTTGCAAGGCACTGAACGTGTGAATATTGTTTTTTATAATCAATATGTGTAAAAATGACTCCGAATAAACCAGTCCCCACTGGTGGAAGCATGGTTCAAAGTATTTTGATGGTGACTCGGTATTGTGTTAGAACTTAACCACTCTTCTGCTTAAGTTCTTTAAGCGTCTCATCACCTTTAAGATAAGTCAAACTCCTACATGATCTGTCCTGCTTACCAATCCTCCTCATCACCCACCTCTACTTCCTTCACTATTCACATTCTAGTCATAACCACTTCGCAGTTCCCTGTGCAAGTATGCCTCATGAACTTCCTTGCCCACATACATGCTATTCTCTTTCTGTGTGGAATACCCGCATTTCCCCTTAATCCCTGCTCTAGATAACTAACTCATTCAGCTCAGACTTTACCATCAGGAAGCTTTCTCTGACACATCCAACCTTTCATTCAGTAAATGTTTACCAAATGCCAAGACTTGCCAGATGCCAAGGATATAACAATTAACAAGTCAGAGACAGCCCCTGGCTTCATGAAGGTTAGCATGCTGCACTATAATTGTCTGTCTGTGCCTTCAAGCACAAACAGGAATCATGAAGAACTGGCTGCTTGAGGTCTTCAACCTCAAGACTGGGAGGTTCTTAGGTACTGGGACATGTCTGACCATCTCTGTAATGTCACTTATTCACACCGGACTTGGCATAGGATAAACTAGGGCTTTTGCAAATGTTTAGTAAATCAATATGGCATAACCACCTATGTACAAGAGACAACATCAGATGTAAAAAATAAATAGCAACCAGGTGTGGTGGCTCACACCTGTAATCCTAACACTTTGGGAGGTCGAGGCAGGAGGATCACTTGAAGCCAGGAGTTTGAGAACACATAATGAGAACCACATCTCTACCAAAACTTTTAAAAAATTGTCTGTCTGACAATTTGACATCACACTCAATAAGCTGAGTGTGATGGCTTATACCTGTAGTCCCAGCTATTCAGAGGGCTGGGGCAGGAGCATCATTTGAGCCCAGGAGTTTGAGTTTACACTGAGCTATGATCACACCATTGCACTCCCGCCTGGGCAACAGAGCAAAACCTCGTCTCTTTAAAAAAAAAAAAAAAAAAAAGCAGTATTCTCTTATATGCATCACATTTTACTATTTATAGGACCCTTTCAAATACATCAACATCACATTTTATCCCTGTAAGTGCCCTGGGAAATAGAATTTGTAAGTTAAGAGAGACAGAGAGATCATCTAGTTTACTCTCCAGCCAATTCTTCATGATTTCTATAACATCCATTTGAGTGTCAAAGCATTCATTACAACTTCAGAGGACAGAATGAATGACTTTAAATGAATAAAATCTGCTCCCTTCAACAATTAGTACTAATCTTGGTTTTGCAGACTCCATAGACCAAAGAGGAAATTTTCTTCTAAGTGTAGGTATCTGAAGACATGTCCAGGTGAGGGCACAGTGTATCATCCTCATTTTATTGATGAAGAAATTGAAGCTCAAAGAGGCAAACTGACTTTCCCAAGGTTCAAAGCTACAAATTAAAACTGAGTCTAAAGCCATACCTTCTGGTTCCAAAATTAGAATTTCTAGAACATTTTACGACTATTATGAATCCATAAAAATTAAAAATAAAAAAATTATCACAAAGAAAGAATTTCTAGGACATTAAAGCTGAAAGGGATACCCCCTATTTATTATATCTAATTTCTTTATTGGATAGATAGGAATTCTGAGGCCAAGGGTGCAGGAGTGACTAATATGAGTGCCTCCCAGCTCAGGCTCTGCCTCTACCACACTGTCTTGATCCTTACCTCCACATCTGCCCACATCAAAATAGAGTAAATAAAGACTTACCAAGGCATTAGAAGAATTGTAATCCTCAGCTGACTTATCTGCACAGGAAGAAAAACAAGGGACTTAGTCAATAACAGTTACAGTTAAATTTTTCTGGACAGCAAAAGAAGTCTATCTGGTCAAGCACGTGCCAGATTCAGAGAATAGTAATAGTATGACTGGTACTACAGGCTAGATATCATGCTAAATGCATTATACATATCACCTTCTTTAATCCTCATTATGGCTCTGAGTACTATTATTATATCTACTTTTATTGATTTGGAAACAAGTTCAGAGATGTTAAGTACAGTTGGGTGTGGCTTAGCAATGGGGTATGTTCTGTGAAATGTGTCATCAGGTAATTTGGTCATTATGTGAACATCATAGAGTGTACTTACACAAACCTAGACGGTATAGCCTGCTACATACCTGGGCTATATTGTATAGCCTATTGCTTTCTAGGCTACAAACCTGTACAGCACGTTACTGCAGGCAACTGTAACACAACGGTAAGTATTTGTATATCTAAACATAGAAAAGGTACAATAAAAAATATGGTTTACAAGGTAAATAAAAGGATACACCTATATGAGCACTTACCATAAATAGAGCCTGCAGGACTGGAAGTTGCTCTGGGTGAGTCAGTGAGTGAGTGATGAGTAAATGTGAAGGCCTAAGTAGGACATTACCAGTGTACACTTAGGCTATGCTAAATTTATTTTAAACTTCAGGAATCACTAGGTGATAAGAATTTTTCAACTCCCTTATAATATTAATTATCAGACCACCATTGTATATGCGGTCTGTTGTTGTGGCACATGACTGTTATTTGCCCAGGGTACACACAGGTTAAAGAGAGGAATTAGATTTGAATTCTGGTCTCATTCTAAATACTACGCTAGAACTGTATCCACATCATCAGCTATATCACTGTCAGGCTTAAATGGCCAAGAAAATCTGCATTCTAAAAGAAAAGGAAAGAATCCATAGCACCATCCTGAGTCATCCATGCCAAAACATGGCCAGTCTCCAGTTTCAGCTTTCATAAAGGATCCTTCTATATCCATATCTACTGCCCACAAGGACAAAAGGACTAAGGTTGAGGAAAAGAGAGGTATTGATCCTGTCAAGTCTAATTAAAGGTAGGGTCTTGTTTTCCAAGAATAGAATCAAGCTCCCTCAATGAAGCAATTACCATGTTTCACTGATTCTGAGATGTACATTTTTTCACATTAACGTCTCTGAAACAGAGGTGTGTCCTACTTTCTAAAGCATGTTATGGTTTAATTGGCAGCTTTATTTTCTTTGATTGGTATGCAAATAATTGTACATCTTACAATCAGTGGTATCTTAGACTTCATAAAATTTGAAAGAGAGACCCAATGGAGATCTTAGGAAGAAAGTAAGTTTAAAGACCAGGTAATGTCTTCAGTTTTGTTCTTTAATTCCCCTGGGTCCAAGAAAAACTGACTGCCAATTCACCACTAATAGAATTAAGGAGGGGAAATATTCTACCAAATCCAATATATTCCTCACCAAGAACCAAGCCCAGAGAATGTACAATTCCAATTCCATCATGTAAAAAAGTGCTAGATACAGCTTCTTTGACACTACAGCAAATCATGAACCCACAAAGCAGGAAATAAGGCAAGCTCTGACAACTTGTTCTTATAACAAATCCAGAATAGCTAGCAGTATTCTGGAGAAATAAATTCAGGATATACTTTAAACATAATTCGTTTGTTTTTTCTTGTCCAAAAGACTATAGACTATCAACTTTGGCAGAGTACAACACTATGCCTTCACTGCACTACCCCCAACTTTACGTACTGCTAGTATTTTTGAAGATTGGGTATTTTGGTAATAGGCATACTTGTTATGTCATATAAAAATAAGTAAACACTCCCTTTAAAGGTGATGAACTTCTATATATCAAAATCAAATTCCAAAGCACAGAATGATGGAACAGAAAGTGCTTCCAGCACTTTCATTTTACAGATGAGCAAAATGAGGTGCAGAAAAGGAAAAAGATTGGTTCAAGGTCACGTAAGTCAGTGGCAAAATAGGGCTAAGACCCAGTTGAGTTGTCAATCTAGTCTACTTTTTCCCTATTACATTAGCTACTAACAGGTATAAAAAATTAAGTGTTGCCAGGCACATGGCTCACGCCTGTAATCCCAGCACTTTGGGAGGCCAAGGTGGGTGGATCATGAGGTCAATAGGTCAAGACCAGCCTGGCCAATATGGTGAAACCCCATCTCTACTACAAATACAAAAATTAGCCAGGCATAGTGGCATGCACCTGTAGTCCCAGCTACCTGGGAGGCTGAGGCAGAAGAATTGCATGAACCCAGGAGGCAGATGTTGCAGTGAGCCGAGATCGCGCTGCTGCACTCCAGCCTGGGTGACAGAGTGAGACTCCATCTCAAAAAAAAAAAAAAAAAAATTAAGTGTTGAAAAAATAGAAATACTTGACAAAAAAATTAGCATGGAAGATTGTGCTTCGGTTATAGGCAGCAAAGGAGTTAAAGGCCCAACTTAAAATACATTTCCATCATGTATCAGCTGAGTCACTTGGGGTATGTCATTTAACTTCTCTGAGCCTAATTAATTTCTTTGAGTATATAAAATGAGCATAATAGTCCTTGCCCTGCCAATCTAAGGCCATCATAAGAATCACATGAGGGAGCCAGGCTCAGTGGCTCACACCAGTAATCCCAGAACTGTGGGAAGCCAAGGTGAGCAGGTCACTTGAGGTCAGGAGTTCCAGACCAGCCTGGCCAACATGGTGAACTGTCTCTATTAAAACACAAAAATTAGCTGGGGGTGGTGGTGCATGCCTGCAGTCCCAGTTACTCAGGAGGCTGAGGCAGGAGAATCACCTGAGCCCAGGAGGCACAGGCTGCAGTGAGCCAAGATCACACCACAGGACTCCAGCAAAAGAATCACATGAGGTAATTCACATGTGAGCATATACAAATGAGGTAGTATTATCATAACTAATAGTATAAGAGGATGGTAAATAGGGAAAGGAGAGATATGACACTTAAAAAAACCTATACCAAATATGCAATTTTGCCTAGAGTTGGCCCTAGTCTTCAACTTATAGAAAATTAAAATTCTTGCATACATATATATACATGTGCACAAATTTATACATACAAAAGTAGATGTACACACGTATCTGTACATATACACTCAATATTATTCATATGTGCATGCATGAATGAACATACACATAATTACCTGAATGTTTATATTTATACATATGTTCGTTCATGAATACCTGAGTGGACTTTATCTTTGTTCATGAATACTTAAGTAGGCTTTAATTCCAAATATATGCAAACCCACAGGGCTATGTCTCTGTTTACATACACATTTACATGCCACTAGCACATATTTACATACATACATGCAGGAAAGATCCTTGCAAAGACTTGGCCACTGAGGTTTTCAAAGACAGCCTCTAACCTGATGTTTCCATGACAAGTTCCTTAAACACAAACTCTAATTTCCTGACTAGAAAACTTTCCCACTCAGTAGCCCTCCAGCCCAATTCCTCCTTGAAATGACTCAGTCCCTCAATGGAGTAAGTGAGACAGACTCAGCGGGGCCAGACGAGAGGAAGGAAATACTGCTGGGCACATGCATGGCCCTCTCCTGGGCACCACCATAGCAGCATGAGTGAAGCTGCAGCCTGTCATCTCCACCATCTGTGCCCTTGAAACAAGCCAGATACTGGCTGGGGAAAGCATCCTTCAAAATTCACTAGTTCATCCTGGTTCTCACCTTCCCAACAATACTGCCATTTGAAGGAGGCAACATGAGTAAAGAGCCTAGAAATTAAAAGATTAGCCCACTATTAATTTAGCATATTAGAAAGGCCTTCTTTGGTTCTCACACCTGCAAAACAATGGAAAGCTGGTCCGCTGTGGAAGGAGAGCCTCCAAATAACATTATTAGGGGCAAGTAGTAAATTCAAAAGGTGATGTTACAGGAATTAGGAGACCTGGGTTCTAATCCCAATTCTGCTATTAAAAACACTCTGAAAAATATAGTCCCTTCTACCGAGGGTACATCTAAAGAAACTTATTCTTTATTGGCCTGTTTTTCATTTAACTAATAAAAATTAGTTCCCTGAGGAAGACATACATTAATGTTATTAAATAACTAATAATAATATTAACAATAATGATGACAATGATAGCTACATTTCTATGGTGATGTTTTACAACTTATAAAGAACTCTCACATCAATCAGCTCACTTATTTCTCACTATAACCTCTTTTTTTTGAGACAGGGTCTCACTCTGTTGCCCAGGCTGGAGTGTAGTGGTGTGATCCTTGCTCACTGCAACTCCACCTCCCAGGCTCAAGTGATCCCTTCTCCTCAGCTTCCCAAGTAGCTGGGACCACAGGGATGCACCACCACACCCGGCTAATTTTTGTATTTTTTGTAGAGACAGGGTTTTGCCACGTTGCCCAGACTGGTCTCGAACTCCTGACCTCAAGCGATCCTCTTGCCTTGGCCTCCCAAAGTGTTGGGATTACAGGCGTGAGGCACTGCGCCCAACCATTTCTCACTACAGCCTCTTGAGATAGGAATTCCCATTTTGAGATGCAAAGAAATGAAGTGACTGGTAGAACCTAGTAAAGGTCAGAATCTAGACCTTCTAGCATAAAACCTGTGTTCTCTCTATATAATACCATGCTATTTTTAAAAAAACGTGTGCAGTGACAGAGTGAAGACTCAAGTTTGATGCAAAGTCCATCATCTTGGCTGTCAAATTCCAAAATTCCACGTTAAAGTGCCACTTCCACTCTTTCCACTACTTTCTTCTCTCATCCCAGACTAATAGGCATGTGAGCTTTCCCACCCAGATTAAAACCATCTCTTGCTGAGACTGCCCTGGACGCAGTTCTCATACCTGTAAAGCTCATGTATTTCTGGCTGTTGGATGTCTTCTTCGAGTTGTAAAACTCCAACACATCCAGAACAGCCTGCGGGTTTTTCTTCTGCTCCGACTTAGTGATATTTGATGTCTGAAGCAAGCGGGCCCACTGCTCTGGCATTCCCTGTAAGAGAGACATGCAAGACTAACAGGAAGGCACAGTCACAGGGGAGCCTGAAAGAACATCAGAGCTAACTTTGACACTTGCTAGCAGCAAAAGATGCATTTATTAGTCATTCCTTTCTCTCTATACTCTCAGAGTTTACACAAGCCTCTTTTATAATATCTTTCTCATTGAATTAGTCATTTCTTAAGATGTCTGCTCCTTCACCAGGCTATACCTCCAGGATGGTAGGATAGGATGTTGTTCCTGCATGATCAGTGCCCCACACAGAGCCTGCTACCAAGCCTACCATTTAACAGAGGTTTATTATTTAAGGAACGGAGATGGAAAGGCTTCTCTGGATACAATTTTGGCGATGAAAGTGTCCCACTCATGAACGTGAGAAAATTGTAATCAGGGTCTCAGGCAAAGATAGAAGCATCAGGAAGATGAGAAAGGGTTGAATCTAACAGTGCACAGCCAGAACTCTAAAAGACTAAAGACCTTTCTGTGACCCAGGACTTACCGTAAACTCCCCTGTGACAGCATCAAAACCGACATGAATTGTGTGTTCAAAATCTGAAGGGAGAGAAATCTCTGGCCGCTCTTTCTCTTTCTTTTTATTTGCTGCAAGAGAAACAGGCAAAAGGAAATAAAAAACAGGAACATTATTGTTTTTAGGCTTATTTTAGCTCTTTATTGAGCTGTAGTCTCCTTGAGAGGGCAAAGTCTATCTATTAATATTTCACATATGTAGAAGAGCTCAGTTACGGATCTGGATTGGAGCAGATACTCAATGCATGTTTAAAGACTTAATTTCTTGTTGAACTAAAGTACGGGAGGTGGCCGGGCACGGTGGTTCATGCCTGTAATCCCAGCACTTTGGGAGGCCAAGGCAGGCAGATTGCTTGAGTCCAGGAGTTCAAGACCAGCCTAGGCAACATGGCAAAACCCTGTCTCTGCAAAAATACAAAAATTAGCTAGACATGGTGGTGCATGCCTGTAATGCCAGCTACTTGTGAAGCTGAGGCAAGAGGATCATTTGAGCCCAGGATGTAGAGGTTGCAGTGAGCTGAGATCACGCCACTGCATTCCAGCCTGGGTGACAGAGTGAGGCCCTGTCTCAAAAAAACAAAAAACAATAAAATAAAGGGAGAGGCAAAAAGATCGTCTGTCAGAGTTAACAGTTCTGGTTTTACCAGTAACTAGCCAGTTGATATAGAGTAAGTCATCTTTTTTGTGAAGCCCTCCTTGATCTCTAGGCTGGGTGGTTCTTTACCCTCTCTGTTCCCACAGCACCCAATATATGTAATAGTAATTGACTATTATAAGTGTTTATCTTCCATACCAGACTGAATTCTAAGTGCAGAGGCCATGTCAAATTAATCACAGCTTCCCAGAGGCTAGCACACACCTGGACAAAGTAGGTGCTCAGACAGTAAGTGAAGAAAGGAAAAAATGACCAGACATTTAACTCAACTGGGCAAGGAGTTTAAAGAATCTGCCTAAGACACAAAAATTCTCTCCAGGGCAGGAATAAATGTTCATTTCAGCAGCTCTGGCCTGACTTTCACAACACTTGTTACCCAGCACCTGTGAACCTTATTTTAAAACCCTGCTGTCTGGGAGCTCAACACACTAACCAAAAGAAATTCTGAAGTTCTAACACCTCCACAGACCCAGCAAAACCCTGATAAAAGGTAGCAAAATGAGAAGGAAAAAACAAAAAGGTCTAGAGTTCAAGCCAGTTTCACCTCTACCTCACCACAGAGTGTGTGTGTGTGTGTGTGTGTGTGTGTGTGTGTGTGTAGAGAGAGAGAGAGAAAGAGAGACCAGGATCTCTGCTTTCTCATCTAAACAAGGGAGAGGATGAGCTAGATGATCTTAAGGGTCCCTCAAGCACCTACATTCTGTGAATCTATGAAAACAAGAAACTATGCTTTCTCAAAGCTCTGCAGTTAAGATTCCTTCCTGAGATGGCATCCCACAGTTTTAAATAGGTATTTCATACATATCATCTAATACAATCACCACAATCCTGAGGTAAGTTTTACTTGTAGATTAGAAAATTTGGGAGCAGACTTGCCTACAATCATTAAGTAATTAAAATCCAAAAAGTCTGGCATCAAAGCCAAGGCTCTTCACATTCTATTTTACCTCCCCTAAAAAATTTCAAGTTGAATCAAGAAAACATACTTCAGTGTAGTAAGAAGAAATGACATTAAGAACTTGCCATGTATACAAACCATGATGTCAATATAGTATTTTTCTTCATTCTTACAATCCTACAAGATAGATATTACTACCGTCATTCTTACAATCCTATGAGATAAATACTACTACTGTCATTTTACAGATGAGGAAACTGAGTAATTTACTCATACAGCTACTGAGAGCTGGGATTTGAACCCAGGTCTGATTCCAAACGTTCATTCTTCAGTATCTTAATGAGAACCATTTGCCTACATGCCAAGTGCTAGGGTTTAAGCTATTTATGCACTTGGCAATTTCCCTCTCAGAAGCAGCTGCTTTGAGAAAGAGAAGGCTAAGGGGTATACCAGGGCCCCAAGTCAAGCAGTCCTTTATGACGTAAGTCCATCTGTCTTTCTCATAGCCAGAATGCACTGGAACATGTGGCAGGGCTTTGGAACTACTTTCTGTTTCTAAATTCCCTCTGATCTAGTCACTTAGGGAAGTACAATTATATTTGTGTTTTATTTCAATTTTTATTTTCTATATCTATGCATGTTTATACATTATTTCTATTATATATAATTGATATACTATATAATACATCACAGGCATGAACTGTCAAATGCATAAGAAACTTTGGTAAAGGAGACCCAAAAAGAAAGTTAGCTCAAAGCATGAGTGGTTTACAGAAAAGAGTTCCAGAGAAATGAAATCATTTAATACATGAACACACAGGGTAATGCTAAAGTCAGCTCTGCTTCTACTGAGCACTCTTTACCCTGCAACCTTTGAATATACCTCACATATTCCCACCTCCAACTTTTTGCTTGCTTTTTCTTCTCCTTGTTTGGAATGCTCTCTTCTCCTTCTCCCTATCTCAGCAATCTTTTAAAGACTGGCTCAGGTCCCACTTTTTCCAGGAAGGATTTCCTGACCTTTCTTCTTCCTGTTAATTCCCAAGACACTGAGTCTGCTACACCACCAAGCATCTAGTCATTTCCTATCTTATATAATTCCTTGCTAGTTTAAAAATCCAAAATGTAAGCTTCTTGAGGACCAAAATTACCACTTCCAATTACAATCCCTGTACTTCTGAATTTCAATACAGCACATGGCTTACTTAGTTGAAGAACACTCTAGAAAATATTAGGGAATGGCCGGGCACGGTGGCTCACGTCTGTAATCCCAGCACTTTGGGAGGCTGAAGCAGGCGGATCACTTGAGGTCAGGAGTTCAAGACCAGCCTGGCCAACATGGTGAAACTCCATCTCTACTAAAAATGCAAAAATTAGCTGGGCGTGGAGACACATGCGTGTAATCCCAGCTACTCAGGAGGCTGAAGCATGAGAATAGCTTGAACCAGGAGGCAGAGGTTGAAGTGAACTGAAATTGTACCACTGCACTCCAGCCTGGGTGACAGAGTGAGGCTGTGTCTCAAAAAAATAAAGAAAGAAAATATTAGGGAGTGACTCTAGAGACCATGATCCCATTCCCTGAGGAAAGAGGCCCAGGGATGTAAGTTGACTTGTCCTGATTCACAGAGCACAGGACTGTAGTCTACCTGATCAAGTCTTTCACTCTTTATTATACCCCTGATCCCTACTGAGATTTGACTGGTATCAACTACTAACTGAAATAACAGTTTAACATAGATTAGACGCGGAGTACAAGAATAGCAATGACTTGGTTGAAGTGGGAGAGGAGAGAAGTAAAAGGAACGGGGAAATCTAGGTGGCAGGATTTAGCTTGGGTACTGTGTAATTTTTTTTTTTTTTTTTTTTGAGACAGAGTCTCACTCTTGTTGCCCAGGCTGGAGTACAATGGCGTGATCTCAGCTCACTGCAACCTCCACCTCCCCGGTTCAAGCAATTCTCCCTGCCTCAGCCTCCCAAGTAGCTGAGATTACAGGCACCCGCCACCATACCCAGTTACTTGTTGTATTTGCAGTAGAGACAGGGTTTCACCATGTTGCCAGGCTGGTCTCGAACTCCTGAACTCGGGTGATCCACCCACCTTGGCCTCCCAAAGTGCTGGTATTACAGGCATGAGCCACCACGCCCGGCCTGGTACTGTGTAATATTTAGACTGAGTATTCACCAGTTGGGGATCACCAGCAGAAAACAGGATTCAAGAGGCAGGAATACAGGAGAGAAATGGAGAAGTCATACAGTCCCAGAGCCACCTGGAACCCAATTAATCCCTTCTTGGAAGTAACAATCATCCCCTTCACCTGTGTACAGCCCTTCACCAAGCTCTGCCAGTCACTGTCTCACTGGCTCATCACCACAAACCCAGGAGCTAAACAGCTGAGGTCAGGGAATTAAAAGAAATTTCTGTTAGTGGAAAGAATCTCAGAGGAAGGATTCAGTATTATTTTTGCCAGTAACTCACTGGGTGACCCAGGGAAAGTCTGAGTTTCAAGTCTTCAATCTGCAAAATAGGACAATGGTGCATGCTCTGTGTACAGAAGAAGGTAAGTAATAAACCACTCTTCTGGAGAAGATAATACCTGAAAGAAGTCATAAAGGATGAACAGGGGTTAGCCAGACCGAGATGGGAAAGGGCATTTCCAAAAGAAACAGAATAAGCAGAGGCCAAAAGAAGTAAGCAGTGTGATCTTTCTTCCATCTTTCCACCTGCTCAGCAAGTCAACCAAATTTCATAAACTCTTACCAGATTCACAAAGCACATGACTGCAGGCAGGAAGGCACTAAGAGCTTCGGACTGAGGGAAGACACAATGGAGAAAATAAAGCAAACCTAGGATCCTGATGGTCCCATATCCCAGGGATATAGTATCCCTGGGACTACTGCTGCAGTTGCAAATTTTTTATGATGACTAGAAGTATGTCTGCAGGAATCTGATGAAAACTTATGTCTACACAAAAACTTGTATGTGAATGTTCACATTAGCTTATTCATAACAGTCAAAAAGTGAAGGCAACCCAAATGTCCCTCAAGTGACGAATAGATAAAATGCAGTACATCCATATACTATTATTCAGCCATGAAGAGAAATGAAGTCCTGATCCATGCTACAACATGGATGAACCTTGAAAACATTATGCTAAGTGAAAGAAGCCAGTCACAAAGGGCAATATACTGTGTAATTCCATTTATATGAAATGTCCAGAATAGGCAAATCCATAGACACAGAGTAGATTAGTGGTTGCCAGGGGAGAAGGGAGAAGTGAGGAACGACTGCAATGAGTATGAGGTTTCTTTCTGGAGTGATGAAAATGTATTGGAATTAGTTGTAATGGTTGTACAATCTTATGAATATACTAAAAACCACGGAATTGTACATTTTAAGATGGTGACTTGTATGGCATGTGAATTATATCTCAATTTTTTAAAAAAAAGTGAATGTAATTTACTATATTAAGAAAATAAAGAAGAAAATATATATAATCAATTCAATTAATGCAGAAAAAAGCATTTGCTGAAATGTGATATCAATCATGATTAGAAACTCTTAGCAAACTAGGATTACAAGGGAATTTACTTAATCTAATAAAAGGTAATTACCAAAAACTGGAGCAAACATTATACTCAATTCTAAAATGCTGAAAGCTTTTCCTGAGATTAAAAACAGGAGAAGGGTATTCCTCCTCACCACTTCTATTCATCATAGTACTGAAGGTATTAACCAGTGCAATTAGGCAAGAAAAAGAAGTAAAAGGAGAAGGATTACAAAGAAAGAAAAAGAACTATTACAATTTACAGATCATGTGCTCATGTACGTGAATACAGAAAACTCAATAGAAAAACCTTCATGTCTCTGAGTAGGTAAAGATTTCAAAAATAGAACCACAAAGCATTAGAAAGGAAATAATTAATAAATTTGACCACATTAAAATTCTATCTCACATCATGCCAAGCATCTGTCTAAGATTACAGGGGAATTTACTTAATCTAATAAAAGCTAAGAGCACAGAAGATATTTGTAACATATATAACTGACAGAAGACTTATATCTAAATAAGGATTCCTACAACGATGTTAAGAATTCTTGGCTGGGCGCAGTGGCCCATGCCTGTAATCCCAGCACTTTGGGCAGCCGTGGCGGGTGAATCACCTGAGGTCAGGAGTTCAAGACCAGCCTGGCCAACATGGTGAAACCCCGCCTCTACTAAAAAATACAAAAATTAGCCAGGCGTGGTGGCAGGTGCCTATAATCCCAGCTACTCGGGAGGCTGAGGCAGGGAGAATTGCTTGAACCCAGGAGGTGGAGGTTGCAGTGAGCTGAGATCGCGCCACTGCACTCTAGCCCGGACAACAGAGCGTGACTGTCTCAAAAAAAAAAGAATTCTTTAAGTTACAGGAAATATATGTGCTTTGTAAACTAAAGAACTTTACAAACATGAGTTGTCATTAATATAAAAAACTGTTAGGTTTCTCAGCCCATTCATTAAGACAGAGAAACTGTGGTTGAGGTGAGAAAGAGGAAAGAATCATCTTGATTTCATGTATCTAGAGATCTTGGGATTGAGAAAATAAAGCGGGAAAAGAAGCTTCCAACCTCACCCATCCCAACTTTAACCCTATCTTTGACCTAGACCACTTGGCTTTCTGATAGCATGGGAAATGAGGCTGACACTGCAAAATCCCATGTCTTGGTATAGCCATCAAAGTTTCAGCACAAATCACTGGCCTTTTTTAAAAAAATGATTTTTAAGCAGCACCTCTCATTGGCTCCACTGAGCTAATCTGAGCTCAAGGCAGTAAAACGTTCCAAACTTGGAGAGATAAACACTGACATAGTCCAATGTTAAAATTAACTTTGCTAAACTCTTCCCAAGCTCAGAGAATTCCACTTTGCTTGTGAAAATGCAGCCAGAAAAAGATTTCAAACTAAATGCTGAAAGACTTCTTAGAATAAACCAAAGGCTCCAGATCCTAACCACAGGAACCAGGCTTTCCCACATGGAATTCTGCAACTCAGCATCACCTATTACAGGCCCTCAATTACAGCTTCTCTTTCCAATCATTTATGCATCCCCCAGGCACATACTGAGGCCATGCTAGAGAGGTCAGCATTAGGTAATGCCCAAAGACATTCTACCCACTGGCAGCTCAAATCTCAACCATTACTACAGCCTACAGATCATTCTTCTTTCTCATCTCCCAAAAATCTCTCTAGAGACCCAAGACAACTCCTCTAGAAATTCTGACTCCAAAGGTCTGGGTGGAATGCAGGTATCAGTATTAATTAATTAATTAATTATTTTTGAGACAGAATTTTGCTCTGTCACCCATGCTGGAGTACAGTGGTGTGATCTCAGCTCACTGCAACCTCTGCCTCCTGGGTTCAAGCAATTCTCCTGCCTCAGCCTTCTGTGTAGCTGGAATTACAGGTGCCCACTACCACGTCCAGCTAATTTTTGTATTTTTAGTAGACACAGGGTTTCACCATGTTGGCCAGGCTAGTCTTGAGCTCCTGGCCTCAAGTGATCCACCCGCCTTGGCCTCCCAAAGTGCTGGGGTTAAAGGTGTGAGCCACCACGCCCAGCCTTTTTTTTTTTTTTTTTGTAATGGAGTTTCACTCTGTTACCCAGGCTGGAGTGCAGTAGCATGATCTTGGCTCACTGCAACCTCTGCCGCCCAGATTCAAGCGATTCTCCTGCCTCAGCCTCCTGAGTAGTTGGGATTACAGGTGCCTGCCACCACAACCGGCTAATTTCTGTATTTTTAGTAGAGACAGGGTTTTGCCATGTTGGCCAGGCTGGTCTAGAACTCCTGACCTCAAGTGATCCGCCCGCCTCGGCCTCCCAAACTTCTGGGGTTACAGGCGTGAGCCACTTGCACCCCGCCCTGTATTTTTTAAAAGCACCATAAGTGAGTCCAACATGTAATCAGGGTTGAGAACAACTAAGAGAGATAGTTATGTTACAATGGAACAGATAATTTAGGAAGACTTAGTTCCATACTCAGCTCTCCCACTTTCCACTTGTGAGACCTTGAGCAACTTACTTTTCTCTAAGCCTTAGCCTCCCCAACTAAAAATGAGTTGTTGTAGGTATCAAATAAAACAATAAATGAGGTTTCCATTTTTAAAAAACAAACCTCCTATTTGTATTGCATTTTAGTTTAGAAAATGCTTTTATATCTACTATGTCAAATGACAAAAGCCTACTAATGATATAGGATGAATGGGAAGTGAGGATATTGGAATGAAATTTAAAAAATAAATCAGAGTTAACAAATGTCAGTGGCTGGACTCAATCTGTGTTATAAGTCCAGTTCCAGACATAACTCTATGCAGCTGGTATAAATGCTCAAATACTACATGAAGGGCATATACCACTTCAAAGACTACCAACACTGCTGTGTATCCTTATAGGACTAAGTTGAGTAGCTTACTGGTTGATCAAAGGCTCCAAACAAAAGAAAAACACCTCAGACTTCTTTCATTTTGATGTATGCATTAGTTATAGCCATCAAGGGTCTTAAAGCAAAGGGATGAAACCTATGTGCCCAGGGCAAATATAGAAAATCTGTAACCAAAGGATGAAAGATAGTTAGATCATTTTGCAAGAACTTCTTATAACTCTGTATGTTTTCTACCTCTATGTTTTCAGCCTGCAGAGATGCAGTTTTGATCTTGAGGCTATGAGATGTATTTTCAGATCAGATTTAGCCTAAGGTTACTTAGATTTAGCCTAGGATTTTCTACAGCTGTATCATTGAATAAAGTACTTTACAATGGCCTAGTTTCTTTTCACCTATATAGACAAGCCTGATCTAACCACGCCTTTGCAACATCACATTTATGTAATTATAGGATTCTATTTTATTTTATTTTGTTTTTTGAGACGGAGTCTCGCTCTGTCGCCCAGGCTGAAGTGCAGTGGCGCAATCTTGGCTCACTGCAAGCTCCGCCTCCTGGGTTCACGCCATTCTCCTGCCTCAGCCTCCCCAGCAGCTGGGACTACAGGCACCCGCCACCACGCCCGGCTTATTTTTTGTATTTCTAGTAGAGACGGGGTTTCACCGTGTTAGCCAGGATGGTCTCCATCTCCTGACCTCGTGATCCACCCGCCTCGGCCTCCCAAAGTGGTGGGATTACAGGCATGAGCCACCGTGCCTGGCCAGTTATAGGATTCTAAAGCTAAAAGAAACTGCACATGCCTACTGCTCTCTCTCCTTTTCTAGATGAAGGCACTGACGTCTACAGAGAAATAATTGACCCAAATCAGACAGCCAATTTATGGAAGAACCAATACTATAATCCCAATATCTAGACCCCCACTTTCCCATTTAGCACATAAGATTGTCCCTCCAGGTTCCAATGATGTCTGAAGGCTCTGCTTCCATCTGCTGTTTCAGACTGGAATCTTCTTTTTTAAAAATCAGCTTTATTGAGATGTAATTCACTTACCAAACAATTCACCCATGAAGTGTAAAATTCAATGGCTTTTAATATATTCAGAGAGCTGGACAGGTATCACCAAAATCAATTTTAGAACATTTCATCACTACAAAAAGAAACCCCACCCCTCTTAGTAATCATCTCCTAGTTTTAATTGCCTCTCCCTCTCTGCAGCCCAAGGCAACCGCTAATCTACTTTCTATCTATGAATTTACCAATGCTGGACATTTCCTACAAATAGAATCATACTATATGTGATCCTTTGTAACTGGCTTCTTTCACTTAACACAGCATTTTCAAGGGTCATCCATGTCATGGCACGGATCAGAACTTCATGTCTTTGTTACCAAATATTTCATTGTATGGATATTCCACATTTTATTATTTATCTATTCATCAGCTGATGGGGTATTTGGGTTGTTTCTGCTTTTTGGCTATTATGAATGCTGCTATAAACATTCATGTACTGCTGGTAACTCTATGTTTAATCTTTTGAGGAACTGCCAGACTGTTTTCCACAGAGGCTGCACCATTTTACATTCCCACCAGCAATTATGAGGGTTGCAATTTCTCCACATCCTCACTAACACTTGTTATTATCTTTTTTATTATAGCCATCCTAGTGAGTGTGAAGTGGTATCTCATTGTGGTTTTGATTTGCATTTCCCTGATGGCTAATGATTTGAGAATCCTTTCATGTGCTTCTTGGCCATTTGTATATGTTCTTTGGAGATATGTCTATTTAGATATTTTGCCCATTTTAAAATTACTTGTCTTTCGGTTGTTGACTTGCAATAGTTCTTCTTCACATATTTTAGATACACATCCATTATAAAATATGTAATTTGGGAAATTTTTCTCCTTTCTGTGTGTTACCTTTTTGCTTTCCGGATGATGCCCTTTGAAACATAAATGTTTTTAGTTTTGATGATGCCTACTGGATGAGAATCTTATTACCTTTCTAGTTTGAGTCAGCAAGAACAATTTAAACTTTTTAATTTAAAAAGTCCTCTTTCACTACATGTAGACACTTGGGCTGAAAGCCTATTTATAGAGATCAAGAACACTGGTTGATAAGATACAATATTAAAAATAAATACACATCTAAATTGAGGGATAAACAAAGTGGCTACATATGTGGAAGAAGACTGCAGGGCATTTAACACTGTCTCAGATCATAGCCCTTGTACCAAGGAAGTTGGCAGCTACTATATGAATGAATTAGTCAGGAAATCAAGGTTAAGCACCTTACCCATATCTTTTATTTTATTTATTTATTTTTTGTGAGATGGAGTTTAGCTCTTGTTGCCTAGGCTGGAGTGCAATGGCGCAACCTTGGCTCACTGCAACCTCCGCCTCCCGGGTTCAAGTGATACTCCCAGCCTCAGCCTCCTGAGTAGCTGGGATTATAGGCGCCTGCCAGCATGCCCAGCTGATTTTTTGTATTTTAGTAGAGATGGGGTTTCACCATGTTGGCCAGGCTGATCTTGAACTTCTGACTTCAGGTGATCCACCCGCCTCAGCCTCCCAAAGTGCTGGGATTACAGGCATGAGCCACCACACCCGGCCTATTTTATTTTTTTAAGACAGGATCTCACTCTGTCACCCAGGCTGGAGTGCAGTGGCATGATCACAGCTCACTGCAGATTCAAATTCCCAGGCTCAAGCAATCCTCCTGCCTCAGCCTCCCAAGCAGCTGTTACTACAGGCACACGCCACCATGCCCGACTCCTTTTTTTTTTTTTTTTTTAGTAGAGACAAGGTCTTCCTATTTTGCCCGGGCTAGTCTCAAACTCCTGAGCTCAAGCAATCCTCCCACCTCGGCCTCCCAAAGTGTTGGGATTACAGGCATGAGCCCCTGTGCCTGGCCTTCTTTTCTACCCAAAGCCACCAAACCCAAAGGGAAGTGAAGGTGAAGTAGAAGGACTCATACACATAACGATATAAGCCCAATGTACTCATTAAAAGTCCTTATTATTTCTCATTTCACTTGTACGACATTTACAATACATGAGATCTGCTTATAAGACATATCTATATAAAGACACTACAAATGCAATGTGTCCAAAATAATCATCTTCCCTGCTCTCCAATCACCAACACTCCTAATTTGTTCCTTCTTTCTATGTTCCCTATTGGGCTAATGACACTACCATCTACCATCTCCCCTGATCCGTAGTTAGGCAATTATATTTTTCTACAACATGAGATATTTTCCGCAATCTACCATTGTGCTTGTTGTATCTGCCCTACTGTTTCAGAATCTCAGTTCTGATTTTACCATGTAGTCTACCAGCTATGCCTCCCAGTTTCTATTCATCAACAAAGGAGTAAAGAGACAGAGACAAAGGAGTAAAGAGACAGAGAACTAACATTCAAATACCTTCTGTGTGGAAGGTACTCTATTAGGAACTTTGTATGTAGTCTTCACAACAACCCTGTGAAATGATATCTCACTTTTAAAATAGGAAACTAAATAAAGGTCAAAGCAGTTAACTGACATGCCTAAGATCAGAAAGCTGGTAAGTGGTGACCCAGCTCCATCTAAACCAGAAGCTCATGGTAACTACTTACACACAGAAAGCCAGTATCTTTAGCATGCCATAAGAACAGGGCCCACAAATATAAGGAGAACTTTACTTCAGAGCAACAGCCACTTAAATCAACATTTTTGGTACCAAACAAAAGTCATCTTTTGTTGTGGACACCAAAACCTTTATTTTACAACCTTGTCTACGAGGATCTTGGTGACTTTTTCATATACACTATTAAATCAACAGTGTTAAAATCAGTGTTAAAATCACCACTATTCATCATATGATTACTCTTCTATTAACAGAAGTTTTATCAATAAAAAGGAAATGAGGCTGCCCAGGATAATTTATTCATAGTAAACTCATGCTGAATGCTAGTTATCTCTGCATCCTTTTCTCAGCTGTTACTTGCCATTCTTACTGATACGTAGTCCCCAAACCTGAAAGTGGGACCAGGAAGCTGGAATAAAGAAAAGGCAATCAAGATTTTGGAAAGAAAACATTTCCAATTGAAACTAACTCGGGGGGAAAAAAATTCCAAATAAAGACATTTCAATTTTTCTTACATTTTGTGGCTTCATAAACAGTTTAAGAATTTAAAAATAAATAAATCACTTCAGATTGTCCCAAATCTGGCAAGAGCATAATTATTCTCTTACAGTTTTGCTCAGATATAGTTAATAGAGTATAAAAATAGGTCTATTTTCCATTTTGCTTCAGCCACTGTAGGGAGAAAGGGAAATATTTAACCAGAAAGAAAACATTAAAGGAAAATTAAGTCAAAGACAACAGATCTTTTATCCAGGTTACCCAAAATAATTTTTTTAAAGCATATAAATGATGAGAAGAAAATCAAATACTATACTTTTATCTCCAGGTAAAATGGATCGGTAAAATCGGTCCTTCTTTTTCTTCTCCTCTGGGTTTGGAGGCAGAGGTTTAGAACCATGGTTTAGGGTTCCAGCATCTTTGCTGCCGGCTCCAATCATAGTGCTGGTATTTCTCATCGGAGGGGCTGGGGGTTTGTCTTGAATGTCTAGGCCGTTATTTGACATTGTCACCACCAGCAGCAGCTACTAGAATCAGAAATAAGAACAATATAACTCTTTTATTATTTTTGACCAAAAGGAAATACATGTTAAAAAATTGCAAAGAATCAAAATTATACAGCCCTTCCTTCAGGGTCTAGCTCAAGTCCTTCCACTGCACACCATGATATTGCTAACACTCACTGATGTAAATGCCTACTATATGCCAAGCACTAATGAAAAATCACAATATCTTGCTTTTCTTTGCATTCCCATTCTGAGACATTGCAAAGCACGGAAAACCATTATGATGTAGTTGAAAGCAGAAATTTGGCCTAGCAAAAACTAAGTGTGAATCCCAGTACCACTTACTAACTTTAGAGAAATTCTTCAACCTCTTAGGTTTCATTTATTCATCTATGTGAAGATTAAATAAAACTGCTAACAGCATTCCACATAGTGAGTTCTCTGCCAACCTCTAATTTTATAACCTTAGACAAGTTACACTTTCCCTCTTGGGAATGGACTGTATCAAGGGTCAGGAAAGCTGCTGTTTTTGTAGATAGTTTTATTGGAACACAGCCACACCCATTCATTTATAAATTGTCTATGGCTTTTTTTTTTTACCTGATGCTGGCAGAGTTCAGTAGTTGCAACAGAGATTGTATGTCCACAAACTTACATTATTTACTATCTTGCCCTTTACAGCAAAAGTTTGCTAACCCCTGAGACTATATAATCTCTCCAGTGTTTCCCTCCTCTGAAATTCTACCTTGTTCTTTAAAAAAAAAAAGAGAGAGAGAGAGAGAGAGAGAGAGAGATGGGATTCTTGCTCTGTTACCCCAGGCTGGAGTGCAGTGGTACAATCATAGCTCACTGCAGCCTCAAACTCCAGGGCTCAAGAGATCCTCCCCACTCAGCCTCCAGAGTAGCTGGGACTACAGGCATGCGCCACCATGCCCATCTAATTAAAAAAAATTTTTTTGGAGACAAGAGTCTCCCTATGTTGCCCAGGCTGGTCTCAAACTCCAGGTCTCAATCAATCCTCCCACCTCAGTCTCCCAAGCAGCTGGAATTACAGGCGAGAGCCACTGTGCTTGGCTTTCTTCTTCTAAATATAAAATGGTCAATGCAGTAACCATCCTGTCCTATATGGTGCAGAATTTACTGGCAAAATCTCCACTACTTCTGAGAAACAGTAGAATAAAATCTAAAAGATAGGGGATAGGACAAGCGCGGTGGCTCATGCCTGTAATCCCAGCACTTTGGGAGGCAAAGGCAGGCGGATCACTTGAGGTCAGGAGTTTGAGACCAGCCTGGCCAATATGTTGAAACCCCCTCTCCACTAAAAATACAAAAATTAGCCAGGCGTGGTGGTGGGTGCCTGTAATCCCAGCTACTAGGGAGGCTGAGGCAGGAGAATCACCTGAACATGGGAGGCAAAGGCTGCAGTGAACCAAGATCGCACCACTGTACTCCAGCCTGGGTGACAGAGGGAGACTCTGTCTCTAAATAAATAAAGATGGGGGGGATTTCCTATCACATGTTATCAATAGTTTTAATGAAAATGTTATTATCTTAAATAAACGTCCTTGACAATGGATACATATGAATGTATCCAGAGTTAAAAATATTGCTCATTAGTCTTCCATGCTGCAGTAGAAATTATACATTTAACCATGACTATTTAAAATATAAGCTCTTTGGAGTTAAACACAACAGTGCTTTAGAGAATAATGGGTTCAAAAAACCAGCACAATAATTACCAAGAGCTTTTAGAAATATAGATATCCTGGCTTGGCCTCCATAAATTTTGATTTAGAACGGCTGAGTTAAGACCTAATTCTGTATTTTGAAAATTAGTGATCCCAATGCCAGTCAGATTTGAATACTACCGCTTTAGGCATCAATTACTTAAAATACTATGAATAAAATCTATAGGAGTTTTTTTTTTTAACAATTTCTAATAAAGAACTGATCCCCCCACATCCAGTTTTTTCCTCAATCCTTTATCCAGGAGCTGTCAGTAACCTTAGAACACACTACTCTTCTACTTTTAAAACCCTTCACTGGCTGGGAGCAGTGGCTCACACCTGTAATCCCAGCACTTTGGGAGACCAAGGTGGGCAGATCACGAGGTCAAGAGATTGAGACCATCCTGGCCAATATGGTGAAACCCCATCTCTACTAAAATGCAAAAAATTAGCTGGGCATGGTGGCGCGCGCCTGTAGTCCCAGCTACTCAGGAGGCTGAGGGAGGAGAATTGCTTGAACCCGGGAGGCAGAGGTTGCAGTGAGCTGAGATCACGCCACTGCATTCCAGCCTGGAGACAGAGCAAGACTCTGTCTCAAAAACAAAACAAAACAAAACAAAATACCCTTCATTGACATCTCAGGATAAAAGCTGATGTTTTTAGCTTGCTTTTAGAGGCCCTCTGTTATTTGACCAAATGCACCAATTAGCCTCATTTCCCACCACTACCACTCTAATTTCCCTTACACTCTATCCACACCCAACTTCTCCAACTTCTTCAAATATCCCATAGCTTTTACACTTCTATGCTTTTGTGCATGCTGATCCTTCTGCCTAGAATACCAATTTCCCTATGCTTCAACTATGAATTCACTCATCCTTCAAGGCTTAATTCAATTGTTATTTCTTCCTTGAACCCATTTGGAAATGTGTCCTCATCACTTCAAGAAGTTAGGTGCCCCCTCCTCCATATTCCCAAAGCAATGGGTAACTTTCCAGGTTATCCCTTCTATTATTGCTATTACAATTGTTTATAGGTATGTCTTCCCTGGGAGCCAGAATGTTCCTCAAATGTTGGGCCCAATTTTGTCATCTTTGCAATCCAACAATGCTTTATATAGTATCTAGCTCATAGTGAACTCAAATATTTTAATTAATCAAACTTTGCATAAAGATATATACCTTGCCTTTAGGAAGTTTAGTACAGATAAAATTCAAGGTCCTTCACTATCTGACATCAACCTGCCTTATCAACTAAGCCACTACACCTAGACACAGCCTAATTCAAACTAATTCAAACCTCAGAAATCTGTTCCACTGTACTTGTATTCTTATTTACTTATACACACACACAGACACACACACAAACACACACCCCAACGTGTTTCCTGTCAATGATTTCTCCCTTCTCTGACTGATAAAAATCTTACTCATCCATCAAGGCCAAACCCTAACCCCACTTCTTTGCATAATTCATCCTGACCCACCTTTGGCAAACCAACTGCTCCTTCTCTTTTTGAACAAAAGAAATCAAGCAAGCAAGGACAATCTTGTTAATGCAGATTAACTCTGATGTTCTTTTTATCCATTTCTTCCAGTTTCTCTTCCCAGATTTACCTTTGTTTTCCCTCCCAACTGTAACTCAAGTCCCTCAGCTCCCGCAAGAGAACTTTTACTGTCTCAGTTCTCAAGTGTACCTTCCCACTCCAGGCTGCCAGTTCCAAAATTACACTCCCTGCAGCCATCTGATACCCTAGTCAAGTCCTTCCCTGCCTCCCAGGTCCTTCAACCAACAGCTTCATTGAATGTAACTCCATTTCAGGCCCACAGCCCACGATTATGCCAACAAAGGTTTCACCAACCTTCCTGATACAGGCTTTTCTCCATTTCTCAGTCCTTTTACTATGTTTGGAGAATTCTGTGATAGATCTTCACTTTCAAAGAGATTCCATTATTACTTAAAACCTAAAATAAGCATTGGAATCTAATATTTCAATTCTTTTACTACATTCCAGCCTAGGTCATCCAGTCTATGCTTGAAAAGTTGCAATGACAGGAAATCTAAAATCTCCAAAGACTGTCTCTTCTATCTTCAGCCATCTCATTTAATGAGTTATCACTTATAATAAGCTCTTACACTGCATTGCAATAATTTGTTTACACATTTGCTTTCCCTTTCACCCCTCTCCCCTGCTAGACATAGACTATAAACACCTCAAGAACAAAGTTCATGTCCTATGTATTTCTCGATCTGCAACACCACGCCTGGCACAGAACAGGTAATCAATAAAGATTTGTTGAATAAACAAACGAATGAATAAACAAAGAAAAAACTTCCATCTGTTAGTACTAAATCTTGTATCTTAGAGCTATTCAGAAAAGACCACTATCTCTTCCCCAGACAGAACTTTAGATACCTGAAATACTCTTTTGAGACCTCCCAAATCTATTTTCTCAATGCCAAACATTTCCAGGACCTTCAACTATACTCACAGAACACAATTTTGTGCTTTCTTAATCACTTCCTTCTGAACTTGCTTAAGGTTTCTATACTACTTTCCAGCTTCCCTGCAGCCCTCCAACAAGCCCTTTCTTATAGGTTCTCCACAAGTCTTTCCTCTTTTTACCCTCATTGATCCTCCAATGGTCATTTTGTATATCTACACTCATCAAAATAATTAGCACATTTTAAAACCTGTACCATTTTAAACTTTGTTTACAGGAAAACAGGTCCAAAACAACAAACATGCTCAACTTTTGAATAAAGTGAGTATACACACCTTAATCTTCTAATAGTCTCTGTAGACCAAAAGTTTGGAAGGATGAAAAACCAATGCCTCAGACGTGCTGCAATATAAAGCTAGGCATGAGGCCAACATTATAACAGCTCAGATAGCACCATTCTATCCATCCTGGACAACAAATGAATACAACAGACAGAGAGAAAGACAGAGCGATCACATTTTACCAATGCCCCAGAGGCTCAGGGAACCTAACAATTTATGAGCAACTAATTATATTGAAGCATTAATTATGAATCAACTGAATGACTCTATAATAAATGCAGGATCACTGTGAGGTTTCAAAAGGTAGGGCAATATTTTAAAAGATTACTGGAATTAAAGTCAGGAGACCCAGGTTTAAGTCCTGGCTCTGCAATTTATAAGCCATCGCCCCTGTAGAAGTCCCATCACCTATGACCTGTAATTTGATGTTTCTCGCTATGCAGTCTCTAGACTTAATACTGGTCAAGAGGCAACCAAGGAGGGGAAGTGATTTGTGCCTCTTTTGAAGCATGCTATACAAGGCATAAAGATACAGTGCTACAGTAGAAAGACGGGAAAGAAAACACTTTTCAAGTAGCCACTGTGTGTAAGGTACTTTACATACTGAATCAAAGTAGACAGGGATTCAGAGAAGGAATGTGCTCACCAACAACTACCTCTTTCTACTCTTATTACCCTGGATTCCACAGTCACCGGTATAAAACAAAACCAAGTTAATCAACTATTTTAAGATGCACATAACATCAAAGCCAAAGGCTTCTTTGGAAGTCATCCAACCTGACTGCCTAATGTTACAGGTAGGAATACTGAAGTCCAGAGTGCAAGAGGAAATTACCTAAGATCACACAGCAATTTATAGGTAGAGTAGGGATAGAACCCTCTTTAAACTGATAGAAATTTTACTTATCCTTCCCAGCAAAACTCAAACCTCATCTTTAATTTTTAGTTTTTGTGGGCACATAGTAGTTGTATATATTTATGGAGTACATGAGATATTGTGGACACAGGCATGCAATGCAAAATAATCATATCATGGAGAATGGGGTATCCATCCCCTCAAGCATTTATCCTTTGTGTTACAAACAATCCAATTATAGTCTTTTAGTTATTTTTAAATATGCAATTGTTATTATTGATTACAGTCACCCTGCTGTGCTATCAAATAATAGGTCTTATTTATTCTATTTTTTTGTACCCATTAACCATCCCTCCCTTTCCACTAGCCCTCCACTACCCTTTCCAGCCACTGGTAACCATCCTTCTATTATCTATGTCCATTAGTTGAATTGTTTTGATTTTTAGATCCCACAAATAAGTGAGAACATGCGATGTTTATCTTTCTGTCCCTGGCTTATTTCACTTAACATAATGACCTCCAGTTCCATCCACGTTGTTGCAAATGACAGGATCTCATTCTTTTTGGTGGCTGAATAGTACTCCATTGTACATGTTCCATCCATGTTGTTGCAAATGACAGGATCTCATTCTTTTTTGTGGCTGAATAGTACTCCATTGTGCATATACACCACATTTTCTTTATCCTTTCATCTGTAAATAGACACTGTGATTGCTTCCAAATCTCAGCTATCTTGAACAGTGCTGCAACAAACAGGAGTGCAGATATCTCTTCAATATACCAATTTCCTTTCTTGTGGGTAGATACCCAGCTGTGGGATTGCTGGATCATACGATAGGTCTATCTTTAGTTTTTTGTTTGTTTGTTTGTTTAATCAGACCTCATCTTTAAACTCTCTGCCAAAGGATTTTCCAACTATACTGTTCTTGAGGTAATTCTAGCCCCTTTGTGTTCCGCTACTTCTGATTTATGATTAGTTCAGTCAAATCTAGCCAATGGCAAATATAAAAATGTTATTAGCACATTTAGGCTGGACTTGACTTTTACTAAAAGTCTACCATGAGCTAAGTGCCAGAAAAGATAAATGAATTCTTATTCCTCCAATCAAAAAAATATAAACACAGAATATGTAAGCAAACACATATGAAAGGTATGTACACCTTTTGCTGCAGTTGCAGGCTCTTCATTCAAGTGCAGTTCAAGTGCAGTTCAGCTTACATATAAAAATATATAAGGTGCTATGTATGCTAGAAACCAAGAACAAATAGATGAAGGAAGACAGATAGATAGGTAGATAGACAGATCATGAATAAAATATGACCTGACCCTAGAGGCTATCACCATCTAGTTAGCAGAAGGCAGAACCTAGAAAACCACAATGCCAGGCCAATTGTGAATAGTGCTGTAGAACAGTACAAACAGTAAAATGTCCAAACACACATGAAAGAAATGTTAAATTGAATTTGAGTGATCAGTGAAGTTTCAGAAAAGAGGTGGTATTAAGAGTAGCAGCTTAAAGAACAAATAGGTCAGACTAGTGGTCTTTAACTCTAGGCTATTAGAATCCCCTGTGAGCTTTTTTCTTAAAGCTCACTGGTGCTGAAGTTTTACACCAGTGCTGAAGTACTCAGGGAGAAGTATATTAATATCTGTAATTTATTTTCAAATGCATTTTTAAGAAATAAGATTGGCCGGGCGCGGTGGCTCACGCCTGTAATCCCAGCACTTTGGGAGGCCGAGGCTGGCGGATCACGAGGTCAGGAGATCGAGACCATCCCGGCTAAAACGGTGAAACCCCGTCTCTACTAAAAATACAAAAAATTAGCCAGGCGTAGTGGCGGGCGCCTGTAGTCCCAGCTACTTGGGAGGCTGAGGCAGGAGAATGGCGTGAACCCGGGAGGCGGAGCTTGCAGTGAGCCGAGATCCCGCCACTGCACTCCAGCCTGGGCGACAGAGCGAGACTCCGTCTCAAAAAAAAAAAAAAAAAAAAAAAAAAAAGAAATAAGATTAACAGGGTTATAACATAATATACATGTCAATATATAATGGATATGATAAAGTTAGTATATGAAAATGTTAATGGTAGGAGAATCTAGGTGGTGGGTACACAGGTACTCACTGTAAGATTCTTCTGATTTTTGAAATTTTACCTAATAAAATGTTGAGGAGGAAAACATTAATGCTTGAACTCTACCCCTAGAGTCGCTGATTTAATTGGTCTGGAGTAGGTCCAGGCATTAGTATATAGTGCTTGGCCCAAAGAAAAGAGACAAAAAATGAGTGAATGATTTTCATGGAGAAAGATGATGGCAAATGCATCCAGACCACAGAATAACATAAATGTGAGAGTACAGTGTGGCAGAATGCAACATAAAGGACTAAAATGGGAGACTGAAAAAGTGGGACAGTGCAGATCACAGCAGGTCTTTTATGTTCTGCACCACGTAGAGCACTAGACAGAAAAATGGTCCATTCTAAGCAGCTCTAGAATTGTGCAATAAATGCCCCATGTTAAAAATAAAAGATGGGGCTTTTAATTAAAAAACAAGGTTGTGGAGAGATGACAATGAGAAAAGAGGTATTGCCTGGAGGAGGAGACCATCTGCTACCCATCTGCACTGAGGACTCAGTGATGCCTTGAGTTCATACAATGGGATTAAGCATCACAGAAGATAAACGAATTCTGGTGCTTAGTCCAAGTCACACAATGAGACCTGGAGTTTAAGAGAGTCTTCCACACTGCCTAAGAGAGTTGCTAAAATTCTAGAAACAGTTTCCACAGAAAACCTTCAGGATTAACCATTTTTACAACTAGGATTTAAGCATTATTTGGGGCTGTTTTAATAATCACTAACATTAGATCACACTTTGGAGTTTACTGAAAACTTGGAAATCTATTTGGTATCATTTTTCTCATTCATCAGTGCAAATATTAATTCGTCAGCTACCGTTTGACAAGCTATGCATGAAGTGCTGAAGACAGAACAGTAAACAAGTCAGAAGAAGAAGAAGCAAAGCTTCAAAGATGCTGCCAGTCACCCAGGGTCATACAGCTAGTGGGCAGCAGAGGCAGGAACCTGAAATTAGGCCTGTGTGGTGATAGAACCACTACACCACACTACACTGCTGACTCTAGAGGCAAAGGAAAGGAATAGATAACCTCTAATATTAACTCGAGAAGAAGAAATAAAACCTGTTCCATATACTAATCACACTTTTTAGTCCAAACAGCTCACAGCAGCTGCAACTGGCATGACCAACACTCCATCCAGAACTGGGGAGTACTGTATGCCCTTGACGCCTGGTTATGAGAATCTGATCTTTAATTATATTGTGCCAGGAGGTTTTCTTTGGCAGGGGACTGGAATGCTGCAGTCTTGAATTTGCTGAGGGATGTCCTTCTAACATGTCAAAGATACTCCCACTATGCAGCCTGGCCACTTGCTCTGGTTTAGCAACACCTGCTAGAGCAACAGTGAGGAAAACTGTTGGCTGTTTCTGGGTGGTTAGGAAAGCTACTTTACTTTCTGATCTTCAGTTTCCTCTTAGGTAAAACGCAAACAAGACTACCTACTTTATAAAGTTATCACGAGAATTAACAAGCATATATAAAAGCACCTAGCATGCTGCCTGGCACAAAATAAATGTTCAACAAATATTTGTTCTTTCCCCCACCTATCTTTTTAGTTTCATCTCTACTATTCCCTAAACATGTCATTCCAGCTCACTATGCTTTCATGTTCCTGCCTTTGCCTATGCTGTTTTCTCTGCCTAAAATGCCCCAACTTGTCTGCCAAGCAAACTCCTACTCATTCTTCAAGGCCCAACCTGACTCACTTCCCCTATGAAACCTTCACAGAAGCCCCCAAATTTAACAGATCCCACTACTTCTGCTCCCGAAATGTAACAGCATTCTATGTGTACTTCTATGCAACAATTTCCAAACTTCATTATATCAACCATAATCCATGCTTCTTGTCCTCACCAGGCCATGAATAACTCAAGGGAAAAAACTGAAGTTTGTTTAATCTCTATATCCCTAGGCTGAGCTGGTACACACCTGGTAATTAGCCAAGGTTCACTGACTAAGGCAGCCTGGGTTAGCAGAAAAAACACAGGACCTGAAAGGATCCTGAAGAATCAGCCAGTTTTATTTTTATAAAATAAACACCTTTATTTTATGGGAACCTGGAACCTATAGGGTTATGCAATTTACCTAAGATCACTAAATGAAAGAGTGATAAAAACATTACTAGCTTCTGATTATTCTCTTGAAAACTCTCTTTCTACACTAATTACGTAATTTGAGACAGAATGAACAAGTGACTGTATCTGGGAGGCTTCCTACAATTAGAGAAGAATGAGAGGCAGCAAAGTGAAGTGGAAACGGCAGAGAAATTTAGAGTGACAGACTGAAGTTCTCTTAGGCTGGCTCTGTACCTCTAATCCTCCCCACCCCCATCCGCACCTACGCAACTTCCTCACTCCTACCACCTTGCAGACAGTCACTAGAGTTACTTCCAGAAACCAATATTTACAGGTCTTATAATCCTCTGCCTACCATCTTGGGAAATTCCTAATCTGCAACCCCAGTTGAGTTATTCCCAATAATTCAGGCAAAAATTGAAATTTAACCTTCAAACCTCCAAACCTCCCATTGGATGACCTGCCTTACAGGTTGAGGCCTGTAAGGCCTCATAAAGTTGAGGCCCTTACAATCGGAGAGCTGGAAGGAACCATAAAGGGGCCACTTCGTTCAACCTCCCAGGAAACAATGAAATCTATCGTACTGTCTCCTAGTTGGTTGACCTTCCAGCCAATCTCTGCCTGAACATGTCCTGATTTCCCACATTGCCACATGCTGCCTCAATGGAAAAGTTTATCTCAAAGTGTCAAAAACCATAGCATGAAAATGGGACAGTCCTCCCACCTCTAAAAGGTAATTAGGACTAAATCAATCAATCAGTCCTACAGTTTTCATTTACTTCAGTCACCCATGATCACTCAAACTCTCATCTCCAAACTTTTCTGTGAACCCTCTAACCTGACCAAATTCCCTCCCCCTATGGTGACTCTGGAACCCTTCCACTGTTCCCTCTGGAACTTCTCATTTGCCACTGGCTACACTCTTGCTCCTTTACCTTAAAAGAAATCTGGCTATGCCCTGAAGAAGAGGCTTCTCTACAAGCCCTCTCAATTGGAAGCTGTTTTCCCTCTTACACCCTACCTATCAGTGTAGTCCTTAATTTTCAGTGCCATTTCCAAACCATGTCTTTCTCTTCCTCTTGTAAAAACCTATATTTTCCTTTGAGTAGCTTCCACTGGCTGCTATCGCACATCTTTGCAGACTACTATTCACTTTCTGGTCACTCCCACTGAAAGGCTTTAGTTCCAGGTTCAATCTTCTTCTGAACCCCTCTAGTCATCATTCTAGGTGACTTCAACAGCCACAATGATGATCATGTCAACACCCTGGCCACTCCATTTTCTGACCTCCAGTCCAAGTTAGCCAATACTCTCATGATTACACCCAGGACCTTATCACCAAAATGTGCAACAATTCCAATACATAGAATGAATCATATATACTCCAGAGACAACCTTGCTCAAGAATTTCCACTACAATTCCTAGACTTCAATTTGAGCTCCAATAAACTATCCAGCAGTCCCCTGCCTTTTTTTCCTCTCTTTATCTAATCATGATCCATCAAAATTACTCAAACATCAAAAACCATCAACCCCTTGCCCTTCCCTCCTTTTCCAAAATTTAACTGGCAAAATCCTAGCTTTAGGATAGTTGAACTCAACTTTCTCCCAACTGTCATTATACTTAAGCAGCCAAATGTCCTAGAGAACATTACAAAACCCAGTTAACTGCTTTCACTTGAAAGTTATGATTACCTTCTGCTTTGGTTTGAATGTGTCCCCAAAGTTCAAGTATTGGAAACTTAATCCTCACTGCAAGTGTTGAGAGGTGAGATCTTTAAAAGGTGATTGGGTCATGAGGGCTCTGGCCTCATGAATGGATTAATGTCATTATCATAGGAGTAAATTAGTTATCAAGAGAGTGGGTTCCTGATCAAAAGGATGAGTTCACCCCCACTTCCCTTGTTACTCTTGCTCTCTTGCCCTTCCACCTTCTACCACGGAATAACACAGCAAGAAGGCCCTCACCAGATGCAGGTACCTTGGACTTCCCAGCTCTAGAACTTTAAGAAATATGTTTCTTTTCTTTAGAAATTACCTAGTCTGTCGTATTCTATCATAGCAACACAAAATAGGCTAAGACACTTTCCTACATATGATTACCCTACCTCAAATGGGAATTCAACTGGATTTTCCACTAGCCCTTTCCTTTAGCTAATGAGCTTACTTTTTCTTTCTTTTTTTTTTTTCTGAGATGGAATCTCACCCTGTCGCCCAGGCTGGAGTGCAGTGGCGCAATCTCGGCTCACTGCAACCTCCACCTCGGGGGTTCAAGTGATTCTCCTGCCTCAGCCTCCCGAGTAGCTAGAACTACAGACACAGGCCACCACACCAGGCTAATTTTTTATTTTTAGTAGAGACAGGGTTTCACCATGTTGGCCAGGCTGATCTCGAACTCCTGACCTCAGGTGATCCACCCACCTCGGCCTCCCAAAGTGCTGGGATTACAGATGTGAGCCACTGCACCCGGCCAATGAGCTTACTTTCAATGAGAAAATAGAAATCTTGGCAGAAGAACTACATCTTCCTACCCTCAAATCTATGTGCCTCCCTGTATCTGCATCCATTTTCTCCTTCTTCCTTCCAGTTACAATGAAGGAGGTGTTCTTCCTCTCATCCGAAGCCAATTCTCTCTTATCCCTGTATTCCTTCACTCGTTCTCACCTGGAATAATCTGCTCTTTCAGCTATGTCAACCTTTCCCTCTCTGTTAGATATATTCAGTCATTCAACAAACATTTATTGAGCATCTACAAAGTACCAATACTAATCTAGTTGAATAAGAGAAAGGCCTTGTGCTCATAGAGTTTATGGTCTAGTAAGAGATGCAGACAGAGAAATACACAAATAAATACACAATATCAAGTCCACGTGTATGTGTGAATATGAGGGGGAGGCGCATGCATGGGGCATGGTACATAAAAGAAGATAATCAAGACAGGCTTCTCTGAGAAACAGTTACTTAAGACCTCATTTAAATGAGACAGCAAATCATAGTAATATCTGGAAAAGCATTTTAAGCGAAGGAGTAATAAGTACAAATGTCTTAGATGAGAATACACTGGGCATGTAGGACAGCAAAAAGACTGGCAAGACTAAAGTTGAGTAAACAAAGAGAAATATGGTAAGCGACTGGGATCAGAGATGTAACCAGAGGTCAGACAGTGTGGAACTTTATAGGCCACAATAAATTTGGCTTTTCAGCAAGTGTGGAAAGACACTGAAGGGTTTTGAGCACTGATCTGATTTATGTTTTTAAACAGACCACTCTAGCAGCAGAGGAGAACAGGCTGCAGGGGAACAATGCAGAAGTGGAGAGACCATTAGGGAGTTATTGCAATAATCCAGGTGAAAACTAATGGTGGCTTAGATGATTGGCAATAGGGGGAGAGAAGTAATTCAAAGGCAGATACATTTTGAAGGTAGAGTCAAATGAGTTAAAGATTAGATACAGCATGTGATTAAAAAAAAAAAGAAAAATTAAGATGGTATCTAAATTTCTGGACTGATCTGAGAAATACTGGGTGAATGTAAACAAGTTTTGGCATCTCCTATTCAAAGACAGACAGACAGACAGACAGACACACACACACACACACACACACACACACACACACACACCCTTCCCTTGACACCCACATCCTCCTCCAAATACCACTTATTTCTCTGCTCCCCTTCATAGCAAAACTTCTCAGAACTGTCTACTTAAACTATCTCCACTTCCTCCCCTTCTGTCTGCCAACTAACAATCTACCATTTCATCAAAAGCAGTCTTGTCAAGATTATCAATTATCCCCATCTTGCCAAATCAAATCCTTATTTTTCTGTCCTCACGTTACTCAGTATCTTGGCAGCATTAAACGCAATTGACCTCTCTTCTCTTTCAAATACTCTACTTTCCTGTCTTCTAGGGAAGTACACTCACTTGGCTTTCCTTCCATCTTTCTGTCTACTCCTACCTCGTTTGCAGAATCCTCCTTCTCCAGCTATCATCCACACATCCAAGGCTTGGGACCTTCCTTGCTCGGAACCTTCCTTACTGATACACTACACTTTTCCCAAGATTATTTCCTCCATTCTCATGGCTTTACATATTATTAATACGTTGATAATGCCCAAGTTTTGATCTCTAGACCAAACAGCTTTCTTCAGCCTAAAAACCATCTATTAGACAACTCCACCTGCGTTTCTCATCAGTACCTCAAATCTAACAAGACCAAACGGAACTCTTGGTTTTCACAGCATCATCATGAGTTGTAATTATATTTGTTTACTTATTATATATCTCCCTCAATAAGTGATAAGCTTTGTAAAGGAGCAACGATATGCTTTTGTAAGTCTGCTGTGCTTACCAAAGTATACTCAGCAACTAAATAGGACTTGGCAAGAGTAAGCACTCAAAGCCAGGTGCAGTGGCTCATGCCTGTAATCCCAGCACTTTGGGGAGGCTGAGGTGGGTGGATCACTAGAGCTCAGGAGTTTGAGATCTGCCTGGGCAATGTGGTGAAACCCTGTCTCTACAAAAAATACAAAAGCTAGCCAGGTGTGGTGGCAGGCACCGGTAGTCCCAGCTACTCAAGAGGCTGAGGTGGGAGGATTGCTTGAGCCAAAAGGTCAAGACTGCAGTGAGTGAGCTGAGATTGCTCCACTACACTCCAGGCTGGGCAACAGACAGAGATACGATTTCAAAGGAAAAAAAAGAGTAGACACCCAGTATCAACACCAAGATTTACTAGACCCTGTCCCTGCCCTCAAAAATCTCACAGACTAATGGGAAAGGCAGATACATTAACCACAATAACAATACAATATGGTAACTGGCACTATTGATTGGTGAGAGGAAAGACATAGGTGCTGCATGAATCCAGAAGAGGGGCCCTTAACAGCCTAGGAGTCAGGGGACTTGTAGAATAAGTATAGCTATTACGTGCCTACTATATAATTATTATTATTTTTTTATATGATTATTTTTAAGCTTTATAATAACCCTTCAAAGTAGGTATGAATATCTTCCATTTTTATACATGAAGCTTAAAAAGATTAAAAATCAGGTAACAGTAAGTGGTAGAACCAGGATTTGAACTGAAGTCAATCTACTTTTAAGTCCCCCTTCCCCTTTTTGTGTTACATCATAAGAAGTCACTAAAAGTATCTTTTATAATTGCCACCTACTATCTGTTCGACCTTAAATAAAGCACATACTTCGTGGTTTTTGTTTGACCATGGAACTAAATTACCAGTCCTAAAGCCCTATCTACCCCACTCCTTTTCCTTTACTCACGGAGGATTGAGGTTCAATCCTCTCCTATTAGTCTGTGAGTTTTTCGAGGGCAGAGAAAGGGTCTAGTAAATCTTGGTGTCTATACTGAGTGCCTATTCTTGCCTGTCAGTGGCAACCCTAGGCTTTCAGGCTATAGCATCTGAGCAATTTTTCACGGCTTGAAAATGCACTCGGGAACAACCACAATGATATCTATATAGCACTTTACAAAGCATTTTCACGCATTCATTATTTCATCTGATCCTCACCAACCCTATGAGGTGTTAAATCCCTATTCTATAGAGGCCAGTGGAAGCGAAAATGCCTAGCCTAGCTGCATCTGGTCTCTGGACTCTGCAACCCGCCAGAAATTGAATTTAAGTAAATGGAACAGGGAGGAAAGGAAGGAAGAGATCAAATGACTCAGAGAGGGAGCTCAGCATATAGTCACCCAAGTGGCCTCGAGCCAGAAGTTAACAGGGACGAAGTCTGTTTCCCTTCCAAGGTAATGAGTGTTTGTTTGGCTATGGCACAGTGACCTGCCACATGGGATTGTTCTTTTTTTCATGTCAGCAGTACCTAGAGTCTAGCCCCAAAAGTAGGCAGAAAAGAGGATATAGGAAAACTCTTTGTACACTGTATGTATACACAAACTCAGGAGATAACAGGGTATAAGAGAATAGATATCACCTTCAGAGAAGACTTAAGTTTAGGTCCTAGCTCTGCCACTGTCTTGCTAAATCAAAAGTGCCCTCTTCTGCATTATCACAGCCCCTTGTGCTTCCTTCTACAATACTTACCACATGAGCGTCCACATTCCTTGATCTGCATTTGAGAGCAACAACTGAGGCCAGTTTCAATTTTTGTATCGCCACCAACCTAGTACCATAATTAGCATAGAGTAGATGGTTCAGAAATATTTGATAATGGATGGATGCAATATTCAAAGCTCTGTGAATATTGTACATACATATATACACACACACATATATACATACACACACATACACACGATCGTACGTACCATTGCACTCTAGCCTGAGCAAAACAGCAAGATCCTGTCTCAAGAAAAGAAAAAGAAAAAGACAGGCAATAATAGATGCTGGCAAGGATGGGGAGAAAGAGGAACCCTCATGTTGTTGACAAAAATGTAAATTAGTAGAGCCACTATGGAGAAATACACACACACACACACACACACACACACACACACACACTCCACATTCTGACAGTGAGTGCCAATAAAACAGTAATCTTGTCGTTCTCATCTCTGCTTTCCCTCTAACTCCCCCACTTTAAGGACAGTGCTCACAAAAATTCCGTTGATTAACGAAGTGGAGACAACCCACAAAATGGGAGAAAATATTTGTAAGCTATCCATCTGACAAAGGATTAATAACGAGAATATATAAGGCGCTCAAACAACTTAATAGCAAAAAAAACAAGTAATCCAATTTAAAAACTGGCAAAGATCTGAACGGACATTTTTCGTAACAAGAGATACAAATAACCAACAGGTACATGAAAAAAATGCTCAACATCACTAACATCAGAGAAATACAAATCAAAACCATAATGTGATATCATCTCACTCCAGTTAAAATGGCTTGTATCAAAAAGACAGGCAAAGGCTGGGCACGATGGCTCATGCCTGTAATCCCAACACTTTGGGAGGGCAAGGCAGGCAGATCACTTGAGCCCAGGAGTTCACAACCACTCTGGGCAACATAAGGAGACCACACTTCTAAAAAAAAAAAATTTTTTTTTTATTAGCCAGGCATGCTGACATGTGCCTGCAGTCCCAACTACTTCAGAGGTTGAGGTAGGAGACTGCTTGAGCCTAGGAGGTTGAAGCTGCAGTAGGCCATGATCGTACCATTGCACTCCAGCCTGGGCAACAGAGCAAGACCCTGTCTCAAGAAAAGAAAAAGAAAAAGACAGGCAATAACAGATGCTGGCAAGGATGGGGAGAAAGAGGAACCCTCATATGCTGTTGGTGAAAATGTAAATTAGTAGAGCCACTATGGAGAATAGCATGGAGGTTCCTCAGAAACTAAACATAGAACTATCATGATTCAGCAATTCCATTACTGAGTATATATCTAAAAGAAAGCAAATCAATATATGAAAGATATCACACTCCCATGAATCCTGTAGCACTATTCATAATAGCCAAAATGAAAATGTGTATATACACAATATATATTTGTGTATATATGTATATATACACACAACGGAATATTATTCAGCCATAAAAAAGAATAAAATCCTGTCATTTGCAGCAACATGGATGACACTGGATACCATTTTTTCAGGTAAAAAAAAAGCCAGGTACAGGAAGACAAATATCACATGTTCTCACTCATATGTAGGAGGTAAAAAAAGTAGATCTCATGATGATACAGAGTAGACTGGTGGTTACCAAAGGCCAGGAAAGGGAGTGAGGAGGATGAAGGGGGAAAAAAAGATATAAATGTACTTACTGAAACTGAACTGTACACTTAAACATGATAAACATGGTAAATTCTTTCAAAATTTTTAACTAAAAAAAAATTTGCTGAGTAGAAATCAGTTCAAAAAGCCAGTCATCAAAGGGGAAGATAATTAACCTATATAGTCCCCTTTCCCAGACTATAATCTTTCTCTTTCTACACACAAATAACCACTATCTTGTCCAGGCCACCCTCTTCTTCAAAAGAGCACTGTCTTCTCCTCCAGGCCTCCTCCTCCTCCTGTCCCTCCAACCCATCCCTGCTATCCTCCCTCTTCTTTCCTGGGCTACCTCCTTTCCTCCAGATCAGCACTATCTCACAGCTGCCAGAGTTTCTGGTCCTCCCAGTCACTCATCTCACTAAAGGGAACTTGAGCCTCTGCCCAGCACTACTTGACATTCTTGCTCTCCTCCCACTCAGGCCCCCCACTTCCCATCTTGCTTATTCCCTACTGCCTACCTGCTTGCTGCCCCACCACCACCAGCAAAGATGGGAAACAAATGCAGGAAGAGGGAGTGCTTGTTGGCAGGCCCAAGGCAAGGCACAGAGGCAGTAAAGAGAGAGAATGGTCCTGGGGAAGATAGAATTTGGAGGTAAAAGCTAGATGCAAGTGAGTTAGGTAGAAAACAATGTTTGGACCTCATAAACACAGGAAAAGGTCTCTACAAACCAGTAACCTACTAATAATAAGAAAGCTTAACCAAAAATTTTAGAAAAGAGAAGAAAGCCTAATCAAGAGGGGGAGGATCCAAGAGAGGGAAGGAAAGACTGGCTACACAGGGGGAGAAATACAAAAGGGGAAGCATGAGGGGAGGAGGAAGGGTGAAGGGGACGGCGGGAGAAAAGGTAGGCAGGGGGCAGGAAAAATGATCAGGAGGAGGAAATAGAAAGAAAAGTGAGGAGAGGAAGACGTAGAGTCATGAAAAAACTAGGGGGAGGAAAGAGGTCCAAAATAATCAAAGTAGGTTATTATCGGGCCTGACATGAGCTTCTTGGTGCCAGGTAATAAAGAAGGAAAGAATTATAGTGATTAAGATATTACCACAGCCAGGTCTGTCATTAACTTAGCAGAATAAGGAAGGGGCTCCAGAGAAGAGAGTCTAGTTTAACGCAACTTTATACCTAAGGACAGAAAAACTGGCCAGTTTAGAATCATTAACATACCTTGACCTTCTACTTCCCAACCCTACCTCCCTACACCTAACACACCTACGCATCACACTAAAATAAGCATCAGCATTCTCAGTCTCTGCTTTGTCCCTGAAGAACCACCAAGATGCCATTCAAAAGGCTGGCTGGAAGACAGGATACCAAGGTCTACTTCCCAAGTTCTCCTCTCTTCTACAGTGTTGAGGGGGACATCTCTGCAGCCCATTTTAGCACTTTAAACCAGCTCACCTCTCCAAAAGATGGTTTGACAGTCTGGAAAAGCCAGAGTAACAAACAATGTCAAGTCCTTCACTGCACAGATATGGCAACTCAAGCCACAGAGGATGTCTGAATAGGACCAGTCCCCCCAGGTCTCCTCCCTCCCAGTTCACTCAACCTCTTAACACAGAAAAGCCCCCACAGTCCCAGCAGGCCAGCGACTAAGCCAAGGCAGAGGAAAGCACCACGTTGGCCACCAAGCAGAAGGGCGCTTGCAAAGGAGCAGAGCTTCTGAGGCTGAGCGGTTCCCCAAAGGCGCAGCTTCCCCTTCACACCCTTCCCTGGGCAGAGCTCTGATTCCAGTGCAGGCCTAGCCCTGGGTGGGCTCATCTAAAGGTTCCACCCTCAGCCCTTTCTCTCATTTAGGGTCCCTTAAGGTAAGAGGAAAGTAAGACACCCCTCAAAATCTACTGGACCCCGTGTCACCACTCTCCGAAAGCCGGCGGAGATCCCCCAGAACCCGGCCCAGCTAGGGGAGCCCCAGGCAGGGCCGGCATTACCTGGTGGGGAAGGCTAGCCCCGGCATCTCTGGCGATTGTTTCCGTCGCAGAGCCGCACCTCTCCCTGCCCAACCGGGTACCCACAAGGCCCCTGCTCCACCGGCTCCGCTCGATTCAGCTGGGCTGGGCTCCTGGCAGCTCAGCCGCCAGCTCCCGAGGTGCAGCACGCTCGCGCTCTCGCAGGGCGGCAGCGAAGGCGCCGCGTCGGGGTTGGCGAAACAGAAGGGGCGGGGGAAGAAAGGAGGGAAGGAGGCGGGAGGAAGCCGCGCGCTTCTCCTTTTCTGCAAAGCAGAGCTGAGGGCGGGGAGACAGCTATCTTCCCACCCTCTCAGCTATTCTCCCCACCCAGTCTCCAGCAGGAGGTAATTTCTCTCCAGGGCCAGGTTTTCCAGGGCTTGTCAGAGTCCTGTGTGAGCTCCAGAGTCAAGAAAGACAACCAGAGCTCCTCTGTGCCTTAGTTTCTACAGATGAGTATAGAGGAGTCCCTTCTAAGATTCCTCAGGTCAGACCTACGATTCAGATTAGGCCTCAGAGAAAGAGATACACCTCCCCCCTCCCCAAACGTGCCAGGTTCTAATTCTAATGCTCCAGGAAGAATGCTAGGTGGGCCCCTATAGCTGCCTCTAAGCAAACAAAGCTCAGCAGCTGCTACATTATTATTATTATTATTTTGAGACAAGAGTCTTGCTGTGTGCCCAGGCTGGAGTGCAGTGGTTGGATCTTGACTCACTGCAGCCTTGACCTTCCTGGGCTCAAGTAATCCTCCCACCTCAGCCTCCCAAGTAGCTGGGACTACAGGTACCTGCCACCACACCCAGTTATTTTTATATTTTTTGTACAGATGGGGTCTGCCATGTTGCCCAGGCTGGTCTCAAATCCTGTTCTCAAGCAATCCTCTTCCCTTGGCCTCCCAAACTGTGGATTACAGGCATGAGCCACCACACCTAGCCACTGCTACCATTTATTAAGAACTATTATGTACTAGGTACTTTATAAATGTTATGTCTCTCTCAAAACAACCTTATGAAGTAGGCACTATACCAATTCACATACGTCAAAACGGAGGTCCAGGGAAAATGTCCAGGGCTCATACAATAAGTATTTTTTAACCAACTATTGTGCATCAGGCATTGTGATGGAACCTGAGCTGAACAACACATTATAGAACATTTACCAACACGGCCCAGACTAGTAGTGCCTCTAGTAGTGCCTCCCAATTACTGAAACAATAAAACACACCTTCACACATTTGCAAATGCTCCCTAGGAGGTAGTATTACCTCACTCTTCCCCCTCCCAAACCCTGCTCTTAAGAGACATGACAGAAGTCAGATTATGCGGTGTCTCTTTCGGGTCATAATTAGGAGTTAGGCTTTTGTTCCAAGTTTTAGCAGTGGGAAGGCTTTGAAAGGTTTGAAAGCAGAATGACAAACTCTAACTTACATTTTTTAAAAGATCACTGGCTGTTCAGTGGAGAAAGGGGGTAGGAGTGGAAATAAGTTAATAACTTCTCTCAGAGGTTCAGGCAACAGAAAATAGTAATGATTTAGACTAACATATTGTAAGATAATGTAAAAAGAAGCAAGCCTATTTTCTAAAGACACAGCTTGGAAGAAGCAGCAGCAGAACTTGGTGGAAAACAGAATACGATGGTGAAAGAAGTCAGTGACTTCTCCAAGACCACACATCTGGTAAATGCTCAGGAGTTCAAGGCCAGCCTGGCCAACATGGTGAAACCCCGTCTCTACTAAAAACACAAAAAATTAGCTGGATGGTGGCAGGCACCTGTAATCCCAGCTACTCGGGAGGCTGAGGCAGGAGAATCCCTTGAACCCAGGAGGCGGAAGTTGCAGTGAGCTGAGATCGCACCACTGGACTCCAGCCTGGGCAACAAGAGCGAAACTCCATCTCAAAAAAAGAAAAAGGAAAAAAAGGAAAGAAAAGGAAGGAAGGAAGGAAGAAAAGAAAGAAAGAAAGAATTGGTCAATAATAGACACCCGGAGAATTGCTGTAGTCTGAGGATTCAGCTTCAAAGTCATTTTAAGACTTTTTTTTAACCCCACACCATGTCCTTCATCCCAATTTACACAGGGTGAATGAGAGCCAGAAGCAGTCCTCTGCCTTAGACACAGCTTTTCAAACTAATAAGCAATAATCATAGCAACTTATCTTACTCGACTTCCCACCCCATGCAGCATCCTCTTATAGATGGTCTTCCAGGCTTTTCTGAAATACATGCAGGAATGAGGAGCTCACTTTCCACCAGCACTATGAGGCAGTGTTTCCTCACATTCAGCCAGGTGGCTCTCTGTAAATTTCTAATTCTGCTCCAGGAGCAACGTCCTCCAGGGCAAGTCACATTAAAGGCTTGCAACTATGTATGTATGTAGGCTAATTTATTATGCCCCTCCACTTTTTCTCTTCTCCAAGATAAATACTCCCAGTTCTTTTAGTCGTTTGTTCATTCAACAACTATTTAAGCATCTTATGCAAGTCACTGGGGATAGACACATCAGTGAACAGAACCACATCTTCAAGGAGGTGATGATTTTATGGTTTAGTATGGTGGCTTTTAATTCTCCCTGTCCACCAGAATAACTTGGAAAGCTTTAAATATGTGTAAATATACTAGAGTCCCAGCAGAGATTCTGACTTGGTTGGTCTGGCATGTGGCCTAGGCAATATATTTTTATAGATACAACTATATTGATATCTATTGGAAGACTGACTTGCTATAAAGCTACAGTGATAATGACAATGTGATATTAATGAAAACATAAATAGATCAGTGGAATTGAAGTAAATAGCCCAAAATAGACCCACACAAATGTGGTTAACTGACTGTAAAAGAGAAAAGGAAATTCAATGAAGAAAGGACAGTCTTTTCAATAAATTGTGCTAGAACTGGACATCCACATCCAAAAAAATCAACCTAGACACAGGCTTTATGCTTTTCACAAAAATTAACTCAAAATGGATCACAAACCATTGCATTTGCAAAATGCAAAACTATAAAATGTCTAAAATATAATGTAGGGGAAAATCTAGATGACCTTGGGTTTGGCAATGACTTTTTAGATACAGCCCCAAAAGCAAGATCCATGAAAGAAAAAACTGACATGTTAGACTGGATTAAAATTTAAAATTTCTGCAAAATACAGTGTTAAGAGAACAAAGAAACAAACCACAGACTGGGAGAAAACACATCTAATAAAAGGCTTGTATCAAAATATACATAGAACTCTTAAAACTCAGTAAGAAGTGACCCAATTTAAAAAAAACAACTGTGCAAAAGATCTGAACAGACACTTCACCAAGGAAGATATATGCATGACAAATAAGCATATGAAAAGATGCTCAGCATCTTTTATCATTAGAGAACTGCAAATTAAAACAATGAGATATCACTACACATCTATTAGAATAACTAAAATCCAAAACACTGACAACACCAAATGGTGACAGGGATATGCAGCAACGGGAACTCTCTCGTTCATTGCTGGTGAGAATGCAAAATGATACAACCACTTTGGAAGACAGTTTAGGAATTTCTTACAAAGCTAAATACAGTTATGTGTCACTTAATGACAGGCATACATTCTGAGAAAAGTGTCATTAGGTGATTTCATTGTTATGCGAACATCACAGAGTGTACACATACAAACCTAGATGGTACAGTCTACTACACACCTAGCCTATATGGTATAGCCTACTGCTTCAAGACTACAAACTTGTATAGCATGTTACTGTACTGAATACTAGGCAACTGTAACACAATAGTATTTGTGTATCTAAACATATATAAACATAGAAAAAGTACAGTAAAAATACGCCATAAAAGATTAAAAAAAAAACAGTACATATGTAAAGGGCATTTACCATGAATGGAACTTGCAGGACTGGAAGTTTCTCTGGGTGAGTCAGTGAGTGAGAGGTAAGTGAATGGAAAGGCCTAGGATAGTATTGTACACTACTGTAGACTTTATAAACAGTGTATGTTTACGCTGCACTAAACTTAAATTTTTTTTTCTTCAACAATAAATTAACCTTAACTTCCTGTAAGTTTTTACTTTATAAACTTTTTAATTTTTTAAAAACATTTTGACTCTATTGCATTAACACTTGGCTTAAGACACAAGCACATTGTACAGCTATACAATATTTTCTTTATAGCTTTATTCTATATGCTTTTTTGTATTCTTTGTATTATTATTATTATTATTAGAGACAGAGTCTCACTCCGTCACCCAGGCAGGAGTGCAGTGGCATGATCTCAGCTCACTGCAACCTCCACTTTCTGGGTTCAAGCAATTCTTGTGCCTCAGCCTCCCGAGTAGCTGGAATTACAGGCGTGTGCCACCATGCCCAGCTAATTTTCGTATTTTCAGTAGAGACGGAGTTTCACCATGTTGTCCAGGCTGGTCTCCAGCTCCTAAGCTCAAGCTATTCACTTGTCTCAGCCTCCCAAAGTGCTAGCATTACAGGTGTGAGCCACCACGCCTGCCTATTCTTATTTTTTTACCTTTTAATCTTTTTGTTAAAAACTAACACATAAACACACACTTTAGTCTAGGCCTACACAAGGTCAGGACTGTCAACATTAGTGTCTTCCACCTCTACATCTTGTCCCACTGTCAATATTAGTGTCTTTCACCTCTACATCTTGTCCCACTGGAAGGTCTTTAGGGGCAATAACATGCATGGAGCTGACATCTCTTATAATAACAATGACTTCTTCTGGAAGACCTCCAAAAGGACCTGCCTGAGGCTGTTTTACAGTTAACTTTTTTTTATAAGTAGGAGTACACTCTAAAATAACAACAAAAAGAATAATAAATATATAAACCAGTAACAGAGTCATTTATCATCATTATCAAGCATTATATAACACATATAATTGGCCAGGTGCTGTGGCTGACGCCTGTAATCCCAGCACTTTGGGAGGCCAAGGTGGGCGGATCACGAAGTCAGGAGATCAAGACCATCCTGGCTAACACAGTGAAACCCCGTCTCTACTAAAAATACAAAAAATTAGCAGGGCGTGGTGGCGGGCGCCTATAGTCCCAGCTATTCTGGAGGCTGAGGCAGGAGAATGGTGTGAAACCAGGAGGCGGAGCTTGCAGTGAGCAGAGATTGTGCCACTGCACTCCAGCCTGGGCAAGAGAGCAAGACTCTGTCTCAAAAAAAAAAAAAAGTACATATGTGTTCTATACTTTTATATGACTGGCAGCACAGCAGGTTTGTTTACACCAGCATCTCCACAAACATGAGTAATGTGTTGCATTAATATGTGATGATGGCTATATCATATATGTGGCTCATCACTGACTGAATCATCATTATGTGATTATAGTATTCCTAGGTATTTACTCAAATGAGTTGAAAACTATGTTCACACAAAAACCTGCTCATGAATGTTTATTGCAGTTTTATTCAGAATTGCTAAAAACTGGAAGCGACTGAGATATCCTTCAAGACTGAATGAATAAACTGTGGTATGTCATACAATATAGTATTATTCAGTAAAAAAAGAAATGAACTATCAACCCACAAAAAGACATGGAAGAACCTGAAATGTAGATTTCTAAGTAAAAGAAGCCAGTCTGAAAAGGCTGATTCCAACTACATGATATTTGGAAAAAGGCTAAACTATAGAAATAGTAAAAAGATAAGTGGCGGCCAGGTATTTGAAAGGTTGGGGTTAGTGGTTAAGGAATGAATAGGTGAAGCACGGGGCATTTTTAGGGTGTAAAACTATACTGTATGATACTATAATCGTGGATACACATACTATGCATTTGTCAAAACCTACAGAACTATACAACCCAAACAGTAAACCCTAATGTAAACTATGTACTTTAGTCAATAATAATGTATCAATATTGATTCATCAATTGTACATTAATGAGATGGTGATAATAGAGGAAATGGGGAGAGAGGGATTCTGCGTTTTCTTTTTTCTTTTCTTTTTTTTTTTTTGAGACAGAGTTTCACTCCTGTTGCCCAGGCTGGAGTGCAATGGTGTGATCCTGGCTCACTGCAACCTCCACCTCCCCGGTTCAAGCAATCCTCGTGCCTCAGCCTCCCGAGTAGCTGGGATTACAGGTGCACGCCACCACACCTGGCTAATTTTTTGTATTTTTAGTAGAGATGGGGTTTCACCATGTTGGCCAGGCTGGTCTTGAACTCCTGACCTCAGGGGATCTACCTGCCTCGGCCTCCCAAAGTGCTGGGATTACAGGCGTGAGCCACTGCGCCCAGCCGGATTCTGCATTTTCTACACAATTCTTCTATAAACCTAAAACTGCTCTAAAAAATAAAATCTATTAAAATAAAAAAGTATCAAGCAAAAAAATAGAAAGAAACAAAGACATACAAGATAAAGTTCATCTTCCTTTTTATTAGATTCATTAGACACAAAATTACTCTGACAAATTGCTATAAAGATTTCTAAGTACTTTCAATTTCTATGCTTATCTCATTGTGGGCTGGGAACAGTTCAGACTACACTTTCAGTAATGATGATCTAGCGTACCCTCCACTAAATAGAGTCCTGTTTGCAATGATCCTCTTACTGCCTGGTACCCTGAGGGAAACATGATACTCTAAGTGCAGTCTGTCCCTTGCAAAACATAGTGGAACTATCACCTCCTTTAACTGTACTTAATACTTCCAATAATTCAGTCTGAAGTTACATTAGATTTTTATCCACTGCAATGCCTTTGGCTGACATTGAGCTTCAGCAGCCAAAACCACCATTTTCATAAGAATAGCATCATGCTAAGTCTCCTCCAGTCTGCCCATATGTTGCCATTTCTTTTGAGACTTAAAATGCAGAACTTCATTGTCTTCCTCTTAAATTTCATCTTGTTGGCTTCAGCCCATCATTCCAAGCTTACTCATCTAAATATTAGTTTTCTCTTTCAGTTTTTGTCACCTACAAAGCTAATAAGTATGCCATCTCTTTAAACATTTTTCAAACATCTGTCATGTGCTCTTGCCTGTTCCAGGTTTTGAGGATTAAAGATGACCTAGAAATGGCCTACGTCTCCAGGAAATCACCACTAATAGGGGAAGTTGGCAAATACAAAACTAAAAAGTGCTGCACTAGAAAAATGACTGAACCAAATAAATAGGACCAGGTAGACGAAACAACAAAACATCTATGTACAGTATTAGGCAGAACCACTAATATCTTCAGCGGGAAGGATCAAATTCAGACATCTTCTATTTTAGATTTCAGTTCTGAAAAACCAAACGCTGGTTTGGTTACCAAAAGTTAACTGGCTGGCTAATACACTGTCTCTCTCTTTCAATGGTGGGTGCTGCTATAGGAAACTTGGCTAAGTTTAGTTCCCGCTGATGAAACACAATACTTATGAAATTGAGGCATACTGGTAAGATGCCAGCAGTTTTATTTATTACTAACAGAATCAAATGAGGTAAAAGCAACTTTAGAGATGACTCTGTACATTCAAAGAAATTAAATCCTGGAGATCTCAAATGATGTGCTGAAGTTATACAAGTTAGCAGTTAACATGTTTTAAGTGCAATAACTCC